>NC_000006.12:38847878-39150909 GCF_000001405.40 Homo sapiens
ACCCCTTGTATTCTCATAAACACTTCAGCAAGCCCTGATGATCAGAAAACAGGAGCCCTGCTATATGGGGGTAGCAACCCTGGGTCTCTAGCTCTGCAGAATCTAGTTGTAGTACCTGGTGTAATTCTCTCTCTGTGGGTGGGAAGAGCACACCTGTAAGTGAACATCAGACTTCAAGCTTGACTCTGGCTGTGCGGTCATCTTCTCCAGGTGAACCTGGTGATACCTAACCCTCTCCTGATCTTTAGGGATCTGATTTGTCCTGTCCCTTTAGAGATAGTCTGTCTCTTGCTGGATGAAACCTTCAAGACCATTCATAAAAGGAAAATCCCTGGATAGTGTTCTCTTTTCCTAGATTCAGTAGTTCCACAGACCAGTAACAGTGTCTCACATGTTACTCTCACAAGCAGACCCCACTTGGATTTGGTTCACAGACTTTTTGGAAAACCATCTTATTCCTTGCTTGGCATTTACTCCCAGAAGCAACCAGCACAGTTCCTTTGCTGGACCTATGCACCATAAAACTAGGCCCATTCTCCTATTCTATGACTGACACATGGGAACAATAAGTAAAATCACTGCAGTTATATGAGTTTTATTCATGAAAAGCAACAGTTTTTATTAGCTGTATGATATCTATTAGGAACTGCCCTTTAAGGACAAAACATTCATTCCCAAAGTAATATTTCTTCTGGAATTTACTTCGGTAAGGCCATACTATTTTCTGAATCTTCTTTGAAATGTGATTTTTTCCGTTCTTACCTTTTAGATACAATGCTCCATTTAAAAAAAATATCCAGAATTGGGTGTATAAATTGTCCACTTCCTCAGATATAATTGAAGAGTGGCTCGTAGTACAGAACCTTTGGGTTTATCTTGAAGCCGTCTTTGTAGGTGGAGATATTGCCAAACAGCTGCCTCAGGTAAATATGGCTTTTGTAATTACTGATAAAATAATTTGGTGTATGTTGTCTATATGTCTCTGTAAAAGTCTTCACAAAGACATATGGTCAAGGCTTGACTATGATGGGGTTTGGCAAACTATGGCCCACTTGCCTGTTTTTGTAAATAAAGTTTTATTGGAACACAACCACATCCATTCTTTTATATATTGTCTGTGGCTGCTGTAGCACCACAACAGCAGAGTTGAGTAGTTATAACTGAGATTATACGGCCCAAAAAGTCTAAAATCTTTACTATCTGGCCCTTCACAGAAAAAGTTTTTTAGGAAGTGCTGACCTCTGATTAGCAGAAAGAAGAAACTTACATAGTTTTAAACAGTGAATAATCTCGAGGTTGTTTGAGGATGTGAGGTACATTCAAATGCAGTACTATTATAGTAGTTCATGTCTTCTAAGAGTTAACCTCATAATATTCCTCTGAGAATAATATTAAAATTAATCTATATTCTGTAAGCACAGATCAACTTTAGTTAATTATTACTAAGTCTACTACTAGCAGATCAGAACATGCTGTGGAGCAAGAAAACAGCCTTGGGAGGCTGTAACAAAACCTTTAAAACAGCTCTATTGGGGCCTTTTAAATAAATGCCAATAACTGTAATAACTGATAGGTTTAGTCGATGAAGGTAACTTTGCTATTAGAAAATTAAGCCTGATCTTCCTAAACTTCTGTATTTACAAGCAAGATCTATATAGGTTAAAAATCAAGGATAAAAGAGGTTTTTTTTTTGCTTTTTTTTTTTTTGAAAATGGCCGATTTCCTTTGTACTAATAGCACATTTTTAAAACATTAAACTGAAATGTATCATTTTTGTTTTTTAATCAGAAGTCTGTATTTTTAAAAGAGGAAAGATTATGCCAATTGCTAGAGGCATTTTTGCAGCTAAGTACAAAGCTTAATATCATTCATAGTAAATAGAAAATTTTCACTTGCGAAAATGTAAATGAAACTTTGTTTTGTGGCTTTACTGTCTTTTTTCTTTTTTTCCCCGCCTTGGGGTACTATTGAGCTGTAATTATTCCAAGGATCCTGAGATCAAATTATTTTCATGCTTCTTCAGTTTGCTCCTCAAACCAAAACACCTGGGGTGCTGAAACACTAGATTGGAACTTTAAGTTGATAGCTCTGCAAATTAATCATGTGGTACTTTGAAAAACATGTTAAATGCAATGAAACAAATAAGCAATAAGCCTCATTGTGATAAAGAAGCATTTTAATATGCAGTTTTATAACTTTGGGTTTGTGTCGCTCAGAATTAATTCAAATGAAAAAAAATTGTCTGTTTAAATTATGCAGCCTGAGACTAATAGAGGCTGGTTTGAAGAACTATAGAAAATTCCAAGGTGAAGACTTTGCTTTTTTTCAATTATCCAAATGCTAATCTTTACTGGCTATGGATGCATTTTCAGGAAGCAAAACGTTTTCAGAATATTGACAAGTCTTGGATAAAAATAATGCAGCGAGCTCATGAGAATCCCAATGTGATTAATTGCTGTGTTGGAGATGAAACCATGGGACAACTTTTACCTCATTTACATGAGCAGTTGGAAGTATGTCAGAAGTCACTCACAGGGTAAGAGTTTAATTTTTAAATCACATATCATTTTGTATGTGACAGTGTTTTATCCCAAACTTACTAGTATTGACTACATTTCTGGTTTGGTAGTGATGGTTAAAGTGGGGCTAGGAACTTAAAATTTCACATAGATTGAACTTTTCTGTGAGGAAGACACCTTTGACTTGGGGGTGGTTAAGGCATTGTATTAGTTTCGTCAGGCTGCTATAACAAATTTCCACAGACAGTTGGCTTAAAGCAACAGAAATTCATTCTCACAGTTGTGGAGACAAGAAGTCTGAAATCAAGGTGTTGGCTCCCTCTGAAGGCTCTAAGAGAGGATCCTCCCTTGCCTCTTTTGGCTTCTGGTGGCTCTAGGAGTTTCTTGGTTCATGCCTTCATAACTCCAATCTCTGTCTCTGTCTTCACTTGGCCTTCTTCTCCTCTTCCTGTGTGTCTCTTATGACGACATTTGTCACTGGATTCAGGGCTCTTCAAGATCCTTAACTTCACTCCCTCTGCAAAAGCCCTTTTTCCAAATAAGGTCATGCTTCAGGATTTCAGGGAATAGGACCTGGACATGTCTTTTTGAGGGCTAAAATTCAAGCCACTGCAGGCGTAGAATAGAAATGTGCACTAAGAGAACAACTCACCAAACTCAAATATCATTTTTATTTTATTTTATTTTTACTGTCACAAGAGGATGGTGTCAGGATAATTTTTTTAAGGCAGTTCATTTTCAATCTCTATTTGAAATAGGGTGATAATACATCCTGGTTTGTCCAAGTTTATGCGTCTGTCCTGGCTTAATGGTTAGTTGTCCTCCCTTTCACTCTCAAAATGTGTTGGTTTGGAGATACGGTTTGTGCTCCCCCTGGGTTTAAGCCATGAGCTTTCCAGCAGTCTCAGAAAGGTCATAGGAGGGCATCTGATGAGAAAGGAGAGGACAGCAGATGATGGGGCAGCCTTGCTCTGAATCTCTTGTTTTCCCAAGTGTCATCCATGGTGGAGCATGGACTTTGGTTTTCACCAAACATTGCAGGGGTAGGTGATAAGTGACTTTAGGTGTTTGCTATTATCTTAGCAAAGATGTTAGTGATTATGTCTTGACTAAAAAAATAATAATTTAGGGGAAAAAAAACCACTTGGTAACATACTGTCGACTTTATTTGAAGGTATTTGGAGAAGAAACGATTACTGTTTCCAAGATTCTTCTTTGTATCTGATCCAGTTCTCCTGGAAATTCTTGGACAAGCCAGTGATTCCCACACCATACAGGTATAATCTAAGAATCTGTGATCTAACTTGCTTTTCCCACGACATACACAATGAAGAATAAAAGTGAAGTTAAAATCTTAAAAATGCAGGCAGGAAAGAAGAGTATTACAAATTACATTGATCATAAAATTTCATATTTTCTGTGTATTTGGAGCCTGTCATCCTGATGCAGTCCAGCAGTGTTAAGTGACTATGCACTGACTATGCCATTCCTAGCTGTGTGATCTTGGCAGGCTTCCTAATTTCCCCATCCCTCAATTCCATATCTGTAAAATCAGGATATTAATGGTTCTCACCTCACAGGACTGTCATGAGGATTATATGAGATCATGCATAGCAGAGTCTCTAGCACACAGTATGTGTTTATTAAATCGAATTTATCATTATGAGTATTTTATTCTAAATATTCTTAGACCAAATAGGGATTATATTTTGGATTTGTCCTTTTTTCCTTCCTCAATACTTCTCAAATGCTTTTAGCCATTTCCTAGAGCAATACTTTGGAAGAGGAAAAGAAAAACCGTAGCAAACTGAGAGTGGGAGGCACAGAAGGTCCCATCCCAGGGCCAATTCTGGTCTGGGGATCTGGGAAACGGCTAATGTAGTTTCCTTGTTGGTTTCCAGGGACTTGTAACAATGAGAAAAGAGAATAGAAAGGCTCTGTGAAAGGTGGAGGTAGAGCTAGGAGAGATGGCAGGACTGAGCTGTATCTGTCGGGGGAGGAGGGGGGAGGCGGTGTGGTCCAGTCCCCATCTGGTGGAAGGTGACAGTCCTTAGTCTAATCTGCATAGCATGGGAGGGGCCATTTGCAGGACTTGGAGAAAACATTCCTCTGGCCTTGATTTTAAAAAGTAGACCTCCAAGCCAGTTAAGGGTCAAAGCAGAGTCTCTCTCTATTTTTTGAGACAATAAAGTAAATACTTAACCTTTTAAAAAGATACAAAATATTAAGGCTTTTAAAAACATCTCAGCGGCTTTTGTGTCCAGCCTCATGTGTGACGTTTTCCTCTGTCTTACAGCCGCATCTCCCTGCAGTATCTGACAACATCAATGAGGTGACATTTCATGCAAAAGACTATGATCGCATCATGGCCGTCATATCAAGAGAAGGAGAAAAAATTGTTGTAATTTACCTTGCTTTAAATTTTTTTATTAGAATTTCTTTAAAAACTTAGGTTGAGGAGAATACAGTTCTCTTACAGAAAAAAACAGGAGGAGAGGGAGTTCTCATTCTACAGCCCTGGGCTTTGTTAAAAACTAGTTTAGATAAATCCTTTAACTTCTCTGAGACTCATTTTGTAATTTATGAAGTGAAAGTTTTGGACTAGGTGATCTGTGTAGTTCCTTCCAGCTATAGTATTAGGTGATTTTACCCATATTTAAAATATTTTGTATAAAATATGAAACTGTTTGCTTGGCATAGGGCACTATGATTTATTAAGTGTGCATGGAACGTCTGTAAAAATGCCAAATTATTATCAATTTATAATATCCTTGTAATTTTGTTTTAGTTGGATAATTCTGTTATGGCCAAAGGTCCTGTGGAGATTTGGCTACTGGATTTGTTAAAAATGCAGATGTCATCATTACATAATATAATTAGATCCGCTTTCTATCAAATCAGTGATTCAGGATTTCAACTCTTACCATTCCTCAGCCACTTTCCAGCACAGGTGAGAATACACAATGCTTAAGTAATGGTGAAAAGAAATGGAAATAAAGGGGAAGGATGCTTAGCAGGTGGTTGACCTGATGGTGTGAGGCAATTGTAGCTTTGAATTAGGTTAGAGTGGCCTACTCACACTCATTTTAGCCTCAGCTCCCAACCACCTGCTTGTCAACCTACACCATTCTAGACCAACCCATCCCATGTCCCAGAGGAGGATATGCCACTATTTTCCCATCATGAAGGATACATACATTGAGTCTAATAGATACATATGTAAGCGTGTGTGTGTGTGTGTATTTGTATACAGAAACTCCTCGACTTATGATGGGATTATCTCCCAACAAACTCATCATAGTTGAAAATATCATTAACCAAAAATGCATTTAATGCATCTAACCTACCAATCATAAGCTTGGTCTAGTATGTCTTAAAGATGCTCAGAACACTTACATTAGCCTACAGTTAGGCAAAATCTTCTAACACCAAGCCTATTTTATAATAAAGTGTTGATTGTCTCATATAATTTATTGACTACTACACTGAAAGTGAAAAACAGAATGGTTGTGTGGGTACTCAAAGTACAGTTTCTACTAAATGCATATTGCTTTTGCACTGTCGTAAAGTAAAAAAAATTTTTAAGTTGTACCATTGAAAGTTGGGGACCATCTGTGTGTAAGTGCACGTGTGTGTGTGTGTATATATATATGTATATATATACACCAATTCATAGATATGATGTGGATATAGATATGGATATATGTAAAGGGAATGAGCATACCTTTTCTTGAAATGAAATCCATCTTGTCTTTAATTTTCCCTTCAAGCAATTAAAAATGGACATAAATTGTTGAGAGGCTTTTTCATGCAACTAATGTTTAGAAAGTGAAGACCTCAAAGAGGCCAAGATTGGAGCAGGTACCAATGGTTTCATTACACTTTCATTCAAGAGAAATGAAAAGTGATGATTTGTGATCTGGCCAGAGAGAGCATGGGATAAAAGGCAAGAGATATCCAAGGAAAACGTAGGCAATTTTTGCCCAAATGGTATTTCTTCTCCAACTACTCCTCCCAACCTGAGCTCCAAATCCTGAATTAGTGCACACAAAATGAAGACAGCTGAAATGATGTATCATTTATTCAAACCACAGAAGGACAGAGATATAATCAACCTTTATTGGAGAGAATAATATTGTGATTTTTATATTATATAATACCCTGGGAAACTTTAGTATTCTTATTAGCATTATTACCTTTGTGATAAAGCTTATAAAATACTTTGTTAAATTGAGAAAAGAGTTCCTGAAACTAAATCCACGTATTTTCTTTCTCCAGACCCTGTATATCCTGAAGGAGAGGCTTGGCCTAAATTAGGCTGAGGATTTAGCATTAAGTAGAGAGTTGAGAGCAAGTTCCAAACAGTGGTGAAGTTGAACAGGATGTAGTAGGAAAGATGACTAGTTTTCAGGATTTTCTCTAGTGTATGTGTGTATATATATATGAACATATATACACATATGTATAAAATACTTTGTATTTAATATATATACATATATACATAAATACAAAGTATTTTTACAATGTATATAATACATATTTTACAAAGTATTTTATACAATGTATATAATACTATATATATAATACAAAGTATTATATACATATATACATATGTGTATATATGAATATATTCACATAAGTATATATGAATATATTCATGTATGTGTATATATACATGTATACACATATATTAAATTTTTTAAGGCATTTTTTCAAATGACTGAAATCTCTAACTATCAAGTTAATTTAACATTTTTATCTGAAATTGTTTAAAATTCCACTTCTGCTTTCTTTTAAAACATGTTTTAATTGTTTGAATGCCATGGATCCTTGCTGCAAAATTTTGGAAAATGCAAAAAATATAAAAGTGGAATACATAGGTGATGGGTTGATAGGTGCAGCAAACCACCATGGCACACGTTTACCTATGTAAGAAACCTGCACGTTCTGCACGTGTATTCCGAAACTTAAATAAAATAAAAATAAAATAAAAGTGGAAATAAGAATTTCCCATATTTCTACCACCTGGAAATTATGACTATTAATATTTTAGTGTATTCCCTTCCAATACGTTATTTATGTATTTATTGCTGTTTTCTCCTTTGTTCTTTTTTTAAATTGACATATAACAATTGTACATATTTATGGGGTGCATAGTGATGTTTTGATGTGTATAATATGTCTTGTGATCAGATGAGAGTAATTAGCATATCCATCATCTCAAACATCATTTCTTTGTGTTGGGAACATTCAATATCCTCCTTCTCGCTATTTGAAACTATAGGTTATTCTTAACTATAGTTATCCTACAGTGGTATAGAACAAGGGTCCCCAACCACCCCCACCCGGCCCGGCCACAAACCGGTACCGGTTCATGGGCTATTAGAAACTGGGTCGCACAGCAGGAGGTAAGCGGCGGGCAAGTGAGCATGACTGCCTGTGCTCCACCTCCTGTCAGATCAACGGCGGCATGAGATTCTCAGAGGAGGGCGAACCCTATTGTGAACTGAACTGTGCATTTGAGGGATCAAGGTTGTGCGCTGCTTATGTGAATCTAAAGCATCCTGTGACCCCCGTCCATGGAAAAATTGTCTTCCATGAAACCAGTCCCTGGTGCCAAAAAGGCTGGGGACCACTGGTATAGATCACTAACACTTAGTCCTCCTACCTGGCTATAATTTTGTGTCCTTTAGCAAATCCATCCCTATCCTCTTCTCCTTACCCTTCCCAGCCTCTAGTATCCTCCATTCTGCTTTCACTTCTCTGAGGTCAGCTTTATTTTAGTTTCCATGTATGTGTGAGAACATGTGGTGCCTTCTCATATTGTTTAATGTGCTTATTATAGGCATCGAGTAATATTGATGAGAATGAGCATTCTTGTTTTGCTGTTTTGTTTTTTAATGAGACATCCTCTGGTTTTCACCACTAAGTCGCATGCCTTTTTAGACTGAGTATAAAAACATAATTTTAAGCTGTTCTTGGTGACTCAAGATAATGATTGTAAAGACTTGCCTTTGGATAGACATAATTATGCAGTGGCTTTTGGGGTCTGCTGGTCTATTTGTCTTTAAGTCAGGCAGCCTTACACTGCTATGCTTTTGTAGTTTTTCTCTTTGTCTTTCCCCCCTTGGACCATCATCTGCTGCTGACCAGAATCTGCTTGCTCTTGGGGGGCTTTCTGACACTGCTTGTTTTCTCCAGATCCCATTGCTCACTTCAGCCAGGTGCTTTCATTTATCTTTAGCTGCAGCCCTCAGGATTGGCCACTGCTCTAGCAGGAAAAGTATCAAAGTCCCTGATAAGGCAGGGACAGAAAGAGGGTTTTATTCTTTCTTTTCTCACTGTTGAGCCCATGCCAAGCAGTATCCACATACTGCCTGCCCCGCTTTCAGTCCTCTTTTTTGGTCCAAATGATGTTGGATCTGTCATTCGACTCTGGATGAATGAGAGCTCCTGAAGGGACAACCCTTTCAGTGAAGGGGTGAGGGTGGGGCATGCTCAGACCACTTTTATTACCTTTTCTGGGGCAGAAATTGTAGGTTAAGGTGACATCCTCTCACAGTTTCTTTATGACTTCATCAGGATACAAAGAATACAAGCTTCTCCCCTTCTCATTTTCTGTCTCCCTCTCTCTTCTATAGATAAGTATAGAGACAGAAAAGTAGACGTAGATAAAAACGTGGATATCAGAGAGAGGGAGCAATCAAGAAAGGAGATAGGCAGTGTATTGTTTTTAGAAGAGCAGAGAGACCTTTGGGAAGCCCTGTTCAAGAACAAGCAGATAATAAAGAGTTCCTTTGCTTTTCTTGAGAAAGAAAAATCGTTGCATGGAAGTATCCAATAGTCTCAGGCCCTCTGTAGAAAAATTTCCTAACCATCTTCTATAACACACATATAGTTCAACAAATGGTAGCCAGTATTTTAATCATCATTAATCTATCTACTTTGAAATAATTAAATATTAACGGTTAAAACTTTAACTGTTTCCCTCCTTTGGGAGTGAAGAAATGCAAGTCAATCTCATTTTTAGTTTAAAATGTGAATAAGTGACCACCAAATTTTATTGCAGATGTGCTTTAAATATTTGGCAAATTTTAATATTTTTCTGCTGGATCTGTAGGTTGGACTTCTGGGAATTCAGATGTTGTGGACACACGATTCAGAAGAGGCTTTACGTAATGCAAAAGATGACAGGAAAATCATGCAAGTGACCAATCAGAAATTTTTGGATATTCTAAATACTCTCATTAGTCAGACAACACATGATCTAAGCAAGTTTGATAGAGTGAAGTTCGAGACTCTAATTACCATCCATGTGCATCAGAGAGATATTTTTGATGACTTGGTAAGGTATCTTTTTTTTTAATTTAGTGTACTAACTAATAATGAACAGCTAAGAATTGTATATGTTGCCTAACTTACATGAACTTTCCATTTACTTGGTCCTTTTTCATAACTGTCCATCAATATCGTGTCCACAGTATTGTATTTCTGTATTGGATGGCTTAAACAACCATATTATATATTCATTTGGCACTCTGAAAGTTTGGAACCAACTGATGTGATATGAGCCAGCTAATTGTTCCATTAAACCAAATAACCAGGAACATGATATAATTTAGGTCATAAGCTATGCTGGGTCGATTGGAAAAGGAGCACAGATGGAACGGAATCAGGCTTCAGAGCACTCTCACGGCTGTTCGTCCAGTTGATGGTGATCATGGGCTTGATTTAGGCAAAGTTCTGTAGGGTGGGACTAAGAAGGATAAGTGTTTGAATTCCTTTAGAAATGGGACTCTAACCAGTGGCCTTGACCAAGGCCAACTTCTCCTAAAGCAAGGATTTTTCTATTACAGGTGGTTTTGAAATGCCACTATTTGATAATCTTTACCTCCCATTTAACTCCTATTGCTTTAGTCTACTTGATTTGATACATTTTAAAGGTATCTCTTTCCTTCATCAGAGACACATAATTCATGCAGGTTGGGTCCTGTTTTAGAGAATGTGATCACAGACTGCCTGTTTTGAAGTTTTACCAAAAGTTCTGATCAGATAGTTTGTATTTATTGAAGATTATTTGAAGGACATCCAGTCAGTCCGTCCATCCCCCTGCAACCCAGATCCTTGCTTCTCAAAGTATTACATGCTGACCAGTGCTTTGGTATCACCTGGAAGTTGGTGAAAAGAGCAGAATCTCCAGCCTCCCTCCTCCCATCCAAGACCTACTGAATCAGAATCTGCATTTTATCAAGATTCTTAGGAGATTCATATGCATATTGAAGTTTGAGGAAAAACTGCTCTAGGATTTATCTCTGGATTAAGCTACTATCAGAAAGCTGCACACTTATATTGTTTTGGCCTTCCACGGACTAGCTTTTACTAATTGCAGTTACTATTATACTTTGACTTTAATTGATGTCCACCTCAAGAAGCACTAGTATGGAGTTCATTATTGTATCTGCTGTCAGCATACGTTTGAGGATGTTGTCTATACGTCTCTCACTGGCTCCTAAAACTGAAGTCCTGTGAAAGAAATTTCTTTTAAAATTAAGTGCTGAGCAAACTTTACTTTACATCCAGAGGGATTAAAAAAAATAAACCTGTACATAAGGAAAACTATGAAACCATTTTCTTTTATCTTAATCACCATTGAACTGTTTGCATCCCAACTAAATGAGATGTCATGGCCAACATATATGCATTTTATTTTTCCATGTACAATTATTAGAACAACCTGATATACAGCAAGAACTCAATAAATATATTAACTATTCTTCTTTTCTTCTCCACCTCCTCCTTACCATCTTAACAGATGGTTGAAAGTAGCTGGCTGAGAGCATCCCCATGGCCTTGAGTCCTGTGTTACAGAGCATTCCCTGTGGGTGGGGCCAGACTGTGTTACCTGAAAGTAACTCAAGATGATGAATACAAACTGTGCTTTAGGTGGGAAGCCAGTCCTTAACTAGAGGAGGAAGCAAGATCATAACCAAACAACAAACAACAATAGCAAAAAGCAGGACTGTAAATAGCAAGGAATATGGAGGCCTGGTCAGATGGAGATCTGAACATTGTATAGTAGCCACGAGTCCATTTTTTAGTGTCAGTTGAATGACCTGGAAGTGGGCCTACTGGATTTAAGAGCAGTGAAGGGGACCACTTGCCACTTCCTGTGTTGATTCCTCTGAATGGGCAGGACTGGTGTTTCACCAGTTTCACTGGAAAGTCACGAAGCTCCTCAGAATGTGGTTATGATGGAATGGAATTCCTAAGTTTGCTTACCTGGTTTCTGTCTCTTTGAACAGACCAGGTACTAGAGCTTGCATCCATGGCTATGAGAGCCCAGTACCTCTTGCCTCACTTGTATATGCTGATGACTAGGCAGATTGAGTGGCTTGGCTATAGTGCTGGTGCAGGGAGACATGGGCATATATAACCATGTGTTTCCCTGCTTAATCCCTTTAGTGGCTTCCGACTGCTATGAAGACAATTCCTAAACCCCTTCCCATGGCCCTGTGAACCCTCAACTCTCATGCTTTCTCTAGATCCCGGGATGCCCCTAGCTGTACTGACCTTTTTTCAATTCCTTGAAGATGCCAATCAGATCTTCTAGACATTTGCCTATAGCACTTACTCTTCCCACACCCTCATGATCCCTTTTGTTCCCCGCTCCTGGTGGCCCTGGCTAATTCCTACTATTTATCTGGGTTTTAGTTGAGATGTTTTCTTCCTCTGAGTGCCCCTCTCAGATATCCTGGAGTAGTTAGGTCCTCCTGCTCCATATATTCATGAGCCCTGAATTTCGGTGGTGGTGCCCTTTGTACTTTATTGCAATGATTTGTTTCACTGTTTGCCTTTTGCCCTTTTCTGTAAGCTCTGGAAGCCTGGAACCATCTCTGTCTTTGTTTGCCTAGCACAGTGTCAAGCATAGGAAGAAACTCAATAAATATTTGTTAATAAGAATCAGTTCATCAAAGAGTGAATTTTAAAAACTGCCCACATGCTTATGTTTTATGCTATTGCAATTCAGTATATAATTTTTTTGTATTTTATGTTTTTAAGGTAAAAATGCATATCAAATCACCTACTGACTTTGAATGGCTAAAACAGAGTAGATTTTATTTTAAGGAAGATTTGGATCAAACTGTGGTGTCTATTACAGATGTTGATTTTATTTACCAAAATGAATTTCTGGGATGTACTGATCGTCTTGTTATCACTCCATTAACAGATAGGTAGGAAACCCAGTTTTCGTTTTTTATTTTGTAATTTTAAAATGTGCATAACATTATTTATAGTTGAATTTGAAATATTAACAAAAGCAGATTTCTGTCATGCTGGGTAGATGCTAGCTCATTAAAGTCAGCCTAACAATGAAATAACCACTTAAATATACATGTGCATTGAATTTTTATGAAGTAGAAAAAGATAAAAGAATAAAAGCAAGCTTGAATGTTGACTGTGAGTGATTTAATGGTGAATTTTAGATTGCAAGATGGAAAAATATTCCTAGAATCCCAAAAGAAGTTAAAATTGCAAAGAAGGAAGGTCCCTTGGAGATCATTTAATTTAGTCTTTTTTTCAGATGTGGAAATTGGCACCTAACGTACATTTTCATGGCCAATATGAATAATTAGTCAATGGCAGATCCCGTCACAATTCTTTCCATTATATGACACTAGGCAATTACTAGGTCTTTTTTATCCCATGACACCCAGTTAAGTATGCTGTGCATAGAAAACATTCAATAAATGTTGTTAGAATTGACTTAAATTGCGTTCTTTAATATTAAGTGCTGCTGTTACTTTAAGTAGGGCTGCCTCCAGGTGAAATTATATCAAATCACATCTTCAGCCTCCTTTTGATTTATTGAACCTATCCCTTTTATATGCCCAGTGCCATAGCAACATAAATTTGTCAGTGTTTTCTCTTCTATTGGTGTTTACATATTAAGCATCGTGTCTCATGAAGCTTTACTAAGATCTTTACTAAGTTTTACTTAGATCCAAAACAAATACAACAGAAGCTGGATCATGGATACAAAGAGATTTATTATATTAGTATTCTTTGCACTTTTCTAAATGAGCGAATTATTTCATAGTGAAACTATTTATTTACAGTGGTGTGCTGGAGCTGACTTGCATCAGCCTGTGGTGCTTACCTGGTTTCTTTTTTTGTTTTGAGACAGAGTCTTGCTCTGTCGCCCAGGCTGGAGTGCAGTGGCGCGATCTTGGCTCACTGCAACCTCCACCTCTACCTCACAAGTAGCTGGGACTACAGGCGCATGCCACCACGCCTGGCTAATTTTTGTGTTTTTTAAATAGAGACAGGGTTTCACCGTATTGGCCAGGCTGGTCTTGAACTCCTGACCTCATGATCCGCCCACCTCAGCTTCCCAAAGTGTTGGGATTACAGGCGTGAGCCACCATGCCCAGCCTTACCTGGTTTCTGTCTATGTGCATTTTGCCCCGACTTTGTGATATCACATTGGTAGCTTGCCATTGACCACAGTGGAAGAATTTATACAATAGATATTGGCAAACATGAAAACCAGGTTTTTTTTTTTTTTTTCTGGAGAGCCAGTTGTTAAACATTTGCCAGCACAATACTGCTCATTTGGTTCTCCTGACTGTAATGGGAGGAAGGCCTGAGGGTTTTAAGTCAGGGTTGAGGAGTTTTGAAATTAGTCTCAAGAAATCTTTGGGCTCACTGTAGTACTTTTAATGAATATCAAGTACCCTAACCTTGTTTGTTCACTTCTTTTATGTGGGCTACTCAGACTCTAAAATAAATAGGCCCATTCCAATCACATTGGATTTTTGCTTGCGCCATCCTGTAACGTGTCATCCCATACTCACAATGCTTTATTGGATGAACATTTGCAGATGCTATATCACGTTAGCTCAGGCCTTGGGCATGAACATGGGAGGTGCTCCCGCAGGACCTGCTGGCACTGGCAAAACAGAAACCACAAAAGACATGGGAAGGTGTTTGGGAAAATATGTGGTCGTGTTCAATTGCTCAGATCAAATGGATTTCAGAGGCCTAGGAAGGATTTTCAAAGGCAAGTGTCAAATAATGTAGATTATTTTAGGTGAATTTATTTTTATTGCCTTTTAATGTTATTTTCTGATATAAATCCAAAGTGACGTGATCTCATATAATCTACATTAGTATGGGTTGATCCGTATGATATTGCCATTTTTCTAGGTCAAAAATGGCTGGATATCAACAGTTTCATATGGTTCAATACTATTGCTAGTGTTATAGTCTATGCATGGAATGTGTGTTAGATTACGAAAATGGAATCAATCTATAATTGCCTGAAATAATAGTAGAGAGGATCAAAATAGCAAACAGGGGACACATGTGGCTTCCCTCCCACAGAAATGAAAGAATTTTAGAAAGCATAGCAACACTGGAAAATAAGAAGGGGGTGGCCATCAGCAGATGGAAAATTTTGAGAAAATCCTGAAAGGTACGTAGAACATGTTTTCAGATGGACAGAGAAAAAAATATTTGAAGACACATCAACCTCAGAGCTCAGTACTTGGCGATCTTCTCTTTTCTATCTACATGCATTCTCTTGGTGATCTTATGTAGGTCCAAACTTTAAATGCCATCTGTATGATGACTCCAGAATTATATCTCTAGCTCGGACTTCTTGAAACTCTAGATTCATTACGTACAACTGTTGATTTAGCATGTCCACTTAAATGTCTAGCAGGTGCAGATTCACTATGTTTAAAACCAAACTCCCGGCCGGGCACGGCTCACGCTTGTAATCCCAGCACTTTGGGAGGCCGAGGCAGGCGGATCATGAGGTCGGGAGTTCAACCATCCTGGCCAACATGGTGAAACCCCATCTCTACTAAAAATACAAAAATTAGCTGGGCATGGTGGTGCGTGCCTGTAGTCCCAGCTACTCAGGAGGCTGAGCTAGAATTGCTTGAACCCGGGAGGCGGAGGTTGCAGTGAGCCGAGATCTTGCCACTGCACTCCAGCCTGGGCTACAGAGCAAGACTCTACCAAAAAAAACAAAACAAAACAACAAAAACAAAAACAAAAAACCCCAAAACTCCTGATCTCTAGGTGCTCAGACACAACAACAACAACAACAACAACAACAAACAAAACAACCATCCCCAAACAACTTCGACCTATCCTTTACTCCGCTCTTTCTCTTATACTCAGATCCAATCTGTCAGCAAACACTGTTGGTTCTACTTTCAAAATACCCCCAAAATTTGTACTTTCATCTTAGCAGTGTACTGTTTCCATTGTTTTGATGAAAATATACAAATAATTAAACCTCTCTTTATCACTGGAATTAAATATGTATTTATCAACAGCCAGATATGAAACTTTACATAATCCCGTTTCAATGTATAATGGTTTGGGAGCACTGGAGAAATGATTGTTATCAAGAAGGTATATTATAGAGTAAAACTTTACAAATTAACTGTTTTTCATGCCAGGTCTTGCACAGTCGGGTTCCTGGGGCTGTTTTGATGAGTTTAACAGAATTGAATTGCCTGTATTATCAGTGGCAGCACAACAAATTTATATTGTTTTGACAGCAAGAAAAGAAAGAAAGAAACAGTTCATTTTTTCTGATGGTGATTGTGTTGATTTAAATCCAGAATTTGGAATCTTCTTAACGATGGTGAGAAAAAAGGCTTTAAATGCAATTTAATTAGTTTAATTGTTACAGACATAAATAAAACAAAGCATGTGTTAATGGGTAGATGACCAACTATCCAGGAGTTATAAGCTGTTCTC
This sequence comes from Homo sapiens, assembly GCF_000001405.40. Taxonomy (NCBI): domain Eukaryota; kingdom Metazoa; phylum Chordata; class Mammalia; order Primates; family Hominidae; genus Homo; species Homo sapiens. Next base: position 38,864,177 of record NC_000006.12, read on the forward strand.
TCTTACCATATGATTTTTTTTATGTCATTATAACCCAGACAGAAGATAAAATAGTAATTTTTTTCAATTAAAAAAAATTCAGATCCAGACCTACAGAGGTAATATGCTAAGGATAATAATAGATACTGTTTATTGACCACATAGTATAATATGTGTAAGGTGCAGGCTAAATGTTCTATGTGCTATATCAGATGGCATAACTCATGTGGTTCTGCAGTAACAAACAATCCCTAAATCTTAATTGCTTAAAGCCACAAGGTTTATCTCTCTGTCATGCCACATGTCCACTGTGGGTTGACTAGGGTAGAAGTAGGAGGCCAGGGCTGCTTTGTATGTCTTTACTCTAGTACTCGGCCTGACGAGGTACCTACTATCTCAATCATTGCTCTTTGCTGTAGCAAAGGAAAAAGAGAACATGAAGAATTGTGCTCTGACTCTTAGAGTTTCTTTCCAGAAGTGACACAAGTCCTAAGACATTGGCTAAAGCAAGTTTCACGACCTAACTTCAGGGGGTGGTGGGGTGGGGGAAAACGTGCCATCCTATCGTGTAACTAGAAACAGGAAGGACCTGAAATATTCTCTCACATGTACACTGTATCTTATAGCTATGATAGCCCTCTGAAGTGGATATTATATAGCTGACTTACCTGAGGCTCAGCGAGACTTAAAAACTTCCTAGGTCACCCAGCCAGTAAGAGAAAGAAGAAGTTGTTGTCTCTCTAACATAAAAATCTGACTGCTTAACCTCCACACTTGGTTTTTCTTTGACACCGAATAAAAGGAAATAAAAATAAAATTTCTGCAATAATTTAACAAGGTCCTATACGAAAGAATTGTAACAAATTCAGTTACCATGTGATTAAGGGTGAGCTTTGAGATTCAGTGTTGTAAAGATAGGAAACCAAAGGCATGAATAAACGGGAGTTTTTATGCTTTTATGTATCACCAGTTTTAAAGCTTTTATGTGTTTTCCATAAAGTTAAATCTCGAAGTTGCAAGATAACACAAAGCACTCTGAGTTTTTAAATGTCCCCATGGATAAAGATGATAAATTATAGGAAGCAAAATCAGAAATGTTTCTGATACACTTTATTGTAAGCAAACATCCAGTAAAGCAGTTAGGGGGAAATAAGAATAATCTGAAGTATTGATTATAAGTCAGGAAGTGGGATGAAGAAATGTACTCAGTGTAAAACTGTGGTCTAGAATTTTACAAAAAGCTTAACATGCTCCCTGGATTAAGAATAATATTGGAAATAGCAATTAGATATTGCATTAAGCTGTGAGTAACTGAAACCTAAAAAAAATTGTAGTTTAACATGTAAGGATTCTCTTAAGATCCTTTTATGGTTCTACTCCATCATGAATTCCATCTTCAAGGTCACCTTATGAACCAAGATGCTACAGAAAGCATCTCTATTGTGTTGCAGCCAATTGACTGAGTCAACTCTCTTCAAAAAAACATCAAGGATATTTAGTACAGTGTGCCCCTTTGCATCTCGCAGTGTAGAATATAATCACAGCAGCTGCAAGGCAGGCTGGGAAATGTAGTTTTTAATCTAGGTGTTGCTGTACCCAGCTTGCAGGTGGGCTCCTGTGGCTCAGGAAGGTTAAGAGGAGTATTGAGAGGCAGCCTCAATTTCTGTATTTCCAGCCCCTAGCAAGGTACCTGGCCTATTGACAGTGCCCAGTAAATGGTCAGGGACTGAAGGTTTTTAACAAACTTGCCTAAAATAACTCATTCCTGTTGGCCTTACTTGTCTTTGAATCTCCAACCTTCCTTTGAGACTTGGGTCTGACCTCTGTTCAACCTGTTGCTTCTTAGGAGGACTTCATTTCCTGTCTGTCTCTACTTTTGTCCATTTCAGTGTTTTTCCCATCATTCCCTTCTTTATTTCCCCTCACTGCCATCTTTATTTCTCCTCACTTCCATGGGTTTTTGTTAGCCAAAGAGCTCTGTAACTGTGGCTGCAAAGAATAATTGAAGAGATGGAATAAAAAAAATGCCCAAGGAAGCTCATCAGTATAAAATCCTTAGTTTTTTTCTTCTTTCAATAACATACTTTAGACCATAATTATCAGGTATCTATTCAGTTTTCTCTTGTATTATTTCACGTTCTTTTCTATTTTTAAGCCAGCAGACACAATTTTCTATTTTTTAAGTCAGTAGACAATTTTGCCACACAAAATTGTGTGTGACTTTATTAATATCATGAAAATGGAAATATATAAAAGGGCATATAAATATTAATATACATGGTCTAATACATATTGTTTTGAGAAAACAAGAGTATTTTATGAATCTAATATTTTCAATACCATCTTAAAATCTGAATTAGGGGTTTGAAATATATTTGTATTCAGAAATGAAAATTGTTTTAGCAATTAAAAATTAAACATATTTTAACTTTTAGAACCCTGGATATGCTGGGCGCCAGGAACTACCAGAAAACCTAAAAATCCAGTTTAGAACTGTTGCTATGATGGTTCCTGATAGACAGGTATGCACTAGGATTTAAAAGCATAATGTGCTTTATGTTCTTTACTTGTTTTTCACTAAAGTTGAAAAAAACTCACTATATTAATTTTCAGATCATTATGAGAGTTAAACTTGCAAGCTGTGGTTTTCTTGAAAATGTTATCTTGGCTCAAAAATTTTACGTTCTTTACAAACTCTGTGAAGAGCAACTTACTAAACAGGTAACTTTATAGATCTGCTTTCCTCCTAGCAATAGTATTTGGTTTTTTTGCTTTGTAATTTTCCCTTGATAAATACTCATCAGTGAGTTAAAATCTCATTGACTCTTTTCTAAAATGCTTTTAGAATTAATTTTACCTATTGGTTGTGTATTTTTAAGACCCTTTTATTTTGAAATAATTGTAGATTCACAGGAAGTTGCAAAGGAATGTACAGGGAGGCATGTACCCTTCACCCTGCCTTGCCTGGTGGTTGACATCTTGTAACTGTAGCGCAATAACAAAACTGGAAATGGACACTGAAGCAGTCCACAGAGTTTAAGGTTTCATCAGTTATACATGCACTGGTGTGTGTATATGTGTGTGTGTGTGTGTGTGTGTGTGTAGTTGTATGGAATATGTAAGATACGGCTCTGTTCCATCACCACAAGGTTCCCTCATGCTACTTTATAGCCACACCCACCTCTCTCCCAAATCCCTAACCCATTAACCTTTTCTCCATGTCTAGAATTTTATTGCAAGAATGTTATGTAAACGGAATCACATAGTATGTAACCTCTTGGTTATGCATTTAAAAATCTATTGTTTGGGCCGGGTGCCGTGGCTCACGTCTGTAATCCCAGCATTCTGGGAGGCCGAGGCGAGTGGATCATGAGGTCGGGAGATCGAGACCATCCTGGCTAACATGGTGAAACCCTGTCTCTACTAAAAATACAAAAAAAAAAAAAAATTAGCCAGGCGTGGTGGCACGCGCCTATAATCCCAGCTACTGGGGAGGCTGAGGCAGGAGAATTGCTTGAACCCGGGAGGTGGTGGTTGCAGTGAGCCGAGGTCCCGCCACTGCACTTCAGCCTGGATGACAGAGTGAGACTCCATCTCAAAAAAAAAAAAAAAAAAAACAAAAAAGAAACTATTGTTTGTTGCTCAGACTGTATCAGACTATATTATTCTCAAAAGATATTTAAGGTGTGAATACTTACTTGATCTTGCAGCTTGGATTTTCCCATGGAATGATCATATTTCAGTCAAAGGAAAGGCAGGAAGTTGAGCTAATAAACCTTTGTGGCTTAGTCACCCCAAAACTATCCCATATAAGTATCAGAATCGACCTATATGCATAGAGTGAGCCGTGAGTCTATGTTTAGTTTTTCAATTAAACCATCTTTTTGCCCTCTTCTCCCATCTCAGGTTCATTATGACTTTGGATTGAGAAATATTCTGTCTGTATTGAGGACTCTTGGATCTCAAAAAAGAGCCAGACCAGAAGATAGTGAATTAAGCATTGTCATGAGAGGACTAAGAGATATGAACCTTTCCAAACTGGTATCTTCTCTGAATTCTCTTCTTTTCCACAATTTTAATATTGTTTCTTTCTATTTGGTGGACAAGTAGAGGTAGGCTGATGTTGAGCTGTGAGCACCCATAATTACAGGGATAATAAGTGTGCAAAGCTACCACTGTGCTTCCAGAAGAAAGCAAAAGACCCCATGACCTGTGTGACCAACATGGACTATAAGTGCCTCCTTTTATCAGCTGTGTGCAGTGAAACAGGTCATCAGTGGGCTTCAGCTCCAAGACTCAACCTAGTTGTCTACCATTATTCACAAAGTGACACAAATTCTCAGCATAAGAATCTGGATTCACAGGGAACCATGAGAACTTTTTGCTTTCTCTGTATGTGACTAGCTTATCTCAGATATATCTCTCCCAAAACATAAACATCATTTCTATTTTCCAAAAACACATTGAAAATTTGCTGTGGAGAGCATGCTGCTTTCATGCTTGTCATGGTTACAGCCTGATTTTTTTTTTTTTCTTTGAAACAGACTCTCAGTCACCCAGGCTGGAGTGCAGTGGTGCAATCTTGGCTCACTGCAACCTCCTCATTCCAGGCTCAAGCTATTTCCCTGCCCCAGCCTCCTGAGTAGCTGGGACTACTGGCACACACCACCATGCCTGGCTAATTTTTGTACTGTTTTGTAGAGATAGGGTTTTGCCATGTCACCCAGGCTGGTCTCAAACTCCTGGACTCAAGTGATCCACCCCACCTCAGCCTCCCAAAGTGCTGGGATTACAGGCATAAGCCACCAAGCCCAGCCCAGCCCAGCCAGGTTGTTTTGAATAGCTGATGGACAGGTTCATGTGACATATAAGGATTTCTACATGCCACATATTGTGCCCATGCCATGGGTGTACAAAGTTGAAGAAGAAGTGGTTCAGGAAGCTACATTCTAGTTACAAAAACTAACATCTGTGGAGTTCATTAGTGTTACAAAGTCTTTTCAGGTGTATCGTCTTATTTGAGCCTCACAGCAACTCTGTGGGGTCTGGATGGCTAGCTTGTTTATTGTCACTTCACTTATTGGGGAATGGAGACTAGAGGTTGCAGGATTCCCCCATAATCACCATCAGCTGAGAAGAGGGGACAAAAATTTATAAGATTTTCTGGTGCCAAATCCACTGCTCCTGCCAGTATACCTCACTGCCTGTATGACCAACATGGACTGTAATGGAGGCTTAGACTCCCTAAGTCACCCAGGCTGGAGTGCAGTCTAAGCCTCCCTTAGATAATGGTATTTTGGAAATTCCTAGACAAGTACTCAAGAAAGCATCAGCAAAGCCCTAGAGAATAAAGAGAAATCATAAGGGGTCAGATGTTGGGAACAGGGCAATCTATGCATTAAAGACATTGCAAGCAAGGATTGGAGTCAGTGTACTCAAACCTACTGCTTATAAGAAAGGCTCAGAACACTGCCCTGATGGACTTTTGCAGCCATTGTTGGATGAAGTCATGCAGGGTTATGGCTATTTCCCCAATTTAAATAAAATATCCGTTCTTTAATTTCATGGGGTTGGGACTACAAATTATCATTTTTAAGGTTAATGCAAATGCCACTGTGAGAAGCAAAGATTCATGTGATAAAGTAATGAGGTCGTACTTTGGAGCAGTAGACTGGGGCAGGATTGTAGAACACATTGAATGCTAACGAACTTTGGGTACAATATAGATTCAGTGGTGATTGTATTAGTCTGTTCTCACACTGTTAATAAAGACAATTTATAAAGGAAAGAGGTTTGATGAACTCACAGTTCCACATGGCTGGGGAGGCCTCACAATCATGCTGGGAGGTGAATGAGGAGCAAAGTCACGTCTTTACATGGCGGCAGGCAAGAGAGCATGTGCAAGGGAACTCCCGTTTACAAAACCATCAGATCTTGTGAGACTTATTCACTATCATAAGAACAGCAGGGAAAGACTTGCCCCCATGATACAATTACCTCTCACTGGGTCCCTCCCACGACACGTGGGAGTTATGGGAGCTACGATTCCAGATGAGATTTGGGTAGGGACACAGCCAAACCATATCAGTGATATTCTGGAGAAAGTACTAGAGAATACAAGCCTGATTAGGAGAGTAATAAATGGTTCTCTGGGGATGAAGTGATAAGTACTATGCACATCCCAGCTAGCTGATAAATGTTTGTTGACTGAATGAGTAAATTTATTTTAAACTATGCCACCTTAGGTTGATGAAGATGAACCCCTGTTCCTCAGCTTAATCAATGACCTGTTCCCAGGACTGCAACTGGATAGTAATACTTATGCAGAACTGCAAAACGCAGTAGCCCATCAGGTTCAGATAGAGGGTTTGATTAACCATCCACCCTGGAACCTGAAACTCGTGCAGGTAAAGACATTTTAATCTATTATTAGTATAATGATAAGTATGTGTTAAACATTCCTGTCTGAATAGAAAAACTCATAGTTAGTCTTACTTGATGTAAATGTTAAATGAAAACATCATATATACATCATTGCAAAAAGAATACTTGGAAGGATGTGGTGGTCCTAGGAAGATAGTATGGATTTACCCTGCCTCACAGTAATCAAGCAGTAATTTACTGCAGTTTTTACTTATACCTGGTGACAATGTTGGGCGGAAATAGTAGGTTATAAAAACTCTAGGGGAACGGAACAACGCAGATGTCTTCTTGTGCCAATCTGATAGTACTGGCTGCAGCTGGGTGCCTCAGTGGAGTGCAGAGCCTGAGGAATCTGGGAGTGCTATTTTGCTCCTGCTTTGTGTGTGGACATGTTATATCCTTCACCTACACTAAAACCTGAATCTTTTGACTGCATATGTTGGTGTCTTTCTGTTCATCACATTTCATCCTTGTGACAACCATCTAACCACTTGATTGGATTACCAGTAGAATCAAGAACTTGTAGCAGAGACACAGGATTAAATCTCTATGAGCTTGATGCTTTGGGAATATTTTCCAGAGCTTTTGGAAAATTAAGGAGCTGAAATTGTGGACATTGTTGAAAACTGCATTTGAAATATTAATATAACGATTCTTATTTTAACTTACTGTTCTTGCCAGATTATAAGATGTGCAAGTATCTGAGATACATCCAAATCTTACAAAGAAATATGTGCATGGGGGAAAAGTCTTTTTCATCATTCATGTACTGGAAACCATTTTAAGAGTTTAAAAAATTTCTGGGAAAACATGATTTTATATATGATATGCATACAGTATACTGAGTTTTAAAATTCTTGCCATCTCAATGGGTGGCGACTAGAATTTTGGGTTCTTTGTTGATGTCAATAACATTGCTCTTGAACATGTCAGGAACAGTGCCTCTGTTGCTTTTAAACTATAGTTTACAATGGTAATACATTTCTGTCCAAAATGTTAGGAGAATAACTCACTCTCCCTCTGATCAGCTGTCAGACCTTTGACTTCTTAATTTTTTTAATGAGAAAACTGCAGACGGGATGTTATAGCAGCGGCTGTCCATGATCCTAGCATGTCTCCTCGAATCTCTTGTACCATTTCCACGTGCCCCTGCCCAGCTTCTGTGTGTTTTCGCTTCTAATAGCAAAAGGAGGCCTGGAGCCATTTTGTTGGCAGGCACAAAGAGTAGGTGCTGCACGGGAGTTTATTTCCCATCCACCCCCAAACAAACGTCTCTAAGAGTTGATGGAGTAGGAAAGTCAAGCTTGCCTGGTTCCAGGTGGAGCAATCTTTGAGGTGTAAGTTACACTCCAGTCTCCCGAGGGATCAGGCTCAAGTCTGTCCTCTACAGGGCTTTGTCCTCAATCACACCTTGCTTGGCTTCTTCCCATTCCTGTCCTGCTTTCCTCTTCTCTTACTGGTTTCTCCTGGGAGCACTACCTGAATAAATCACTTGCACAGGAATCCTCATTCATGATGTACTTCTGGGGAATTAGAAGGCCCCTTTGAAACGGATCTTCACTGTGATGCTCTGCGTTGCTGCTTTCCACCACTAAGGGGCGATATCATCACATTGGATGCCGAGAAAGTTTGCGCATGGAACAACTGCTGGTTATAGACCAACAAGCCAAAATCACAGGGAATCATCACGCAAGAAGCAAAAACTAGATGCTGAGTTAATTATTTCCAAAATGTAATTCAAGCTCCACATTGTTATTACTTTAGCACATATCGTTTTATAACGTGGTGCTCATTTGCTATGCACATCTAGTAAAACAACATTTTTTACAACTTAAAAATAGTGAACTAGTTACGTTAATGAAGAGCTTATTAAAGCCTTTAATCTTCAAGTAGCTACTATGAATGTCAGCAAGAGACTCATAAATTACATATTTTAATTTACTGGTTAATTGTGTAGTTATATGAGACGTCTTTGGTACGGCATGGCTTGATGACTCTTGGGCCCAGTGGTTCTGGAAAGACAACCGTTATCACGATTCTAATGAAGGCGCAAACAGAATGCGGAAGGCCTCATAGAGAAATGCGAATGAATCCAAAAGCCATTACTGCACCTCAGATGTTTGGCAGACTGGACACTGCTACCAATGACTGGACAGATGGGATTTTTTCTACTCTGTGGAGAAAAACATTAAAAGCTAAAAAAGGTATACACAAACCTCCTTTGTGATCATTTTTTCCCTGCTAGCGTATTAACACAGTATTTTTTTGATTTTTCCATTTTAATTACTTGCAAGTGAAAAGTGATTTTCTGTTTTAATTATTTTCAGGTGAAAACATTTTCCTCATTTTAGATGGTCCTGTGGATGCCATCTGGATTGAGAACTTAAATTCCGTTTTGGATGACAATAAAACTCTGACGTTAGCTAATGGAGATCGCATTCCCATGGCCCCTAGTTGTAAGCTTCTGTTTGAAGTCCACAATATCGAGAACGCCTCTCCTGCCACGGTTTCTAGGATGGGCATGGTCTATATCAGCAGCTCTGCTCTCAGCTGGAGGCCAATCTTACAGGTGGGGCAGAGAGATGGGAAGAAGAACCCTCAGAGTCTCTCCACGTTTCACTTTCTCAATAAACACAGATTCTGTTTCTTTGTTGCAGGCATGGTTGAAGAAACGCACTGCACAGGAAGCTGCTGTATTCCTGACACTGTATGAGAAAGTCTTTGAAGATACATACACATATATGAAGCTAAATCTCAATCCCAAAATGCAGCTCTTGGAGTGCAACTATATTGTGCAAGTAAGATTTTTTTTTGTACATTTACTACTTCGATTTTGATTTTTTTTTCACTCAGTTGCAGTTTACAGCCATCTGAAATAGAAAGTTCAGACAGTCCATAAAAATCATTTGATGATGTGGCTGTAAAAGCTCTGATAATTTTGATTTCTATTAAAGATCTTCTTAATGATCTTACTGTTTTCTCTATTATTTTCACTTCCCAGAGGGATGTTGTCAGAGGAAGGGGAATGAACTATCTTTCCCATTGTCAGGTTTAGTGACCTGTCCCATAAAGTGTGTATAATAATGACAGTCAATAAAATATAGTAATTAATTAAATTTTAAAATAAATAAAAAATAACACATACACCTACACACACACACACACACACACACACACACACACACACACACCCCTGCACTCCAGCTGGGGCGACAGAGTGAGACCCTGTCTCAAAATAAATAAATAAGTAAATAAAAATAAATAAAGTTGGTAGCTTCGTGGGAAAGAACAGAAAGGGGCCTGTTGCAATCAAGAAAACTTGGGAGGCAATTTTGGCTTTGGAAATTTAGCATATAACAGGTAAGGAAAATCTTTAAATAAAAATTATCTGACAAGTAGTTGTAGCATTGTTTTTTCCCTTTCTTCCTTCCTTTCCTCTTTCTTTCCCTTTTTCTTTTCTTTTCTTTCTTTCTTTCTTTCTTTCTTTCTTTTTCTTTCTTTCTTTCTTTCTTTCTTTCTCTTTCTCCTTCCTTCCTTCCTCCTTCTCTCTTTCTTTCTTTCTCTTTCTCCTTCCTTCCTTCCTCCTTCTCTCTTTCTTTCTTTCTCTCTCTCTTTCTTTCTCTCTTTCTTTCTTTCTCTCTCGCTCTCTCTTTCTCCCCTCCCTCCCCTTCCCTTCCCTTCCCTTCCCTCCCCTTCCCTCCCCTCCCCTCCCCTCCCCTCCCCTCCCCTCCCCTTCCCTTCCCTTCCCTCCCTCTCTCTCTCTTCTTTTCTTTTCCTTTCTTTTCTTTCCTTTTCTTTCTTTTCTTTCAACAAGGTCTTGCCTGTTGCCCAGGCTGGAGTGTAGTGGTGCAATCAATCATAACTCACTGCAACCTTGAAGTCCTGGGCTCGAGCTGTCCTCCTGCCTTAGCCTTTGAAGTTGTTGGGGCTACAGGCACACACCACCATGCCCAGCTAATTTTTAGATTTTTTATAGAGACAGGGTCTCTGTATGTTGCCCAGGCTGGTCTAGGCTCCTGGACTCAAGCAGTCCTCCTGCCTCAGCCTCCTAAAGTGCTAGGATTGCAGGCATGAGCCACCATGCCCAGCCAGCATTCTTTATTTCCTACTCGGTTTTCCTTATTAGTCTTTGAGTTAAAACAGAATTAATCATAGATCTTCAAGGGCTCTCCTAATTCTGATCTATAGGTGATCTCTCCTTACACATTCTAGAGCTTCAATTCTCAGTTAAGAGAGTCAGTCATTTGTGGGTAGGTTAGAAACAATATATAAGGCCGAAATCAGTGAATTATTTAGTAATTACTTTAAAATGGATCATAGAAGACAATATTTTATTTTGAAGTAATTTTGTTTTGAAAGACCGAGGATGTCCTACTGTACTTGTCTTTCTGATGCTATAGGGCATTGGCACACTTTTTCTTAAAGGGCCAGGTAGTATTAATAAATATTTTAGGCTTTGCACAACTCTCTGTCTCAACCACTCAGCTTTGCTGTTGTAGCACAAAAGCAGCTAGAGACAATGCATAGGTGAATGAGTGTGACTGTGTGTGTGTTCCAGTAAAACTTTATTTACCAAACAGGTGGCCAGCCTCTAGGGCCACAGTTTGCTAAGTCCTGCAAAATTTTACAAAGAAATAGAATCTTTGATCTGGAAAATTTAGATAACTTAACTTTAGAACCAGTAGCTACCTTAGCTGCTTACATCGAGTCTAGGCCTTTTGCTTTCCCAGTAGGAAATTGAGACTCAGAGAGGTCAGTGGGATGAGCTGAGGGTTGAAACCACAGGAGCAGATTTTCAGTTCAGCATCCTTTCTGCTAGACCATGCTGCCTGTCTAAAACAGGATAGCCTTTCTTCTACGTGCTGTTGGCTGTAGGACGGTGATCAAGCAATAGCTTGAGATATATCTATTTTTCTTCTCTCTTCCTTCCTCCTTTTAATTTTACTATTATTTACAATTTTTTATTTTCAAAATTTTAATTTAAAAATTTATTTTATTTGAAACATTTTCAGTCTCTCAATCTTCTGGAAGGGTTAATTCCCTCCAAAGAAGAAGGCGGTGTTTCCTGTGTCGAACATCTTCATAAATTATTTGTGTTTGGCCTAATGTGGAGTTTAGGAGCCCTTCTGGAATTAGAAAGCAGAGAAAAGCTTGAAGCCTTCTTACGGCAGCATGAAAGCAAGTTGGACTTACCAGAAATACCTAAAGGCTCAAATCAAACCATGTATGAGTTTTATGTTACTGATTATGGTAAGCCCACTGAACTATACCTTAAATGAAATGACTTTTTTCAAATGAGAAAATATAAGCTTTCATAAACTCTTCTATGAGAGAATATTAAAACAATTATGAAAACATAATTGTTAATACCATTTTGAAAAGAGCATGTATTTGAAAGAGAGTGGAATTTTGCATATGAATTGTGCCCGAAACTGATATTGAGACTCTTGACTTCTCCTTTTGGAGTGGGCTCAGTAAAATCTGGCATAAATAAGTTAGTAATACCTTGTACAACATCTACTTTCTAATGCTGGAATAGGAAAGGTAGCAGCGTGGAGAACACAGATTCTTCATGATGCAAAGCATGCTAATACACATAACGGATCAGCCCCACAATTCCCCTGTTGGGAATGCCAGAATGAGTAGAGAATGAACGTAGCAGATTCCTCAAGGTCCAGCGCTGTCACCTTAGCCCCCCAGCCTTCCATGTATGGCCGGGCCCAGCTCACTGCTCCTTAAAAGAAATGCCTTTGAACTTGGTGCTTTCATCCAGAGCCCAGGCCCTGATTCTTCAAAGTTCCAAAGAGGAAAAATATGCTTCCTAAAAACTCTAATTACCTCTGGTTCTTCCTAAAAACTCAAAAACAGCAATAGTCTTTTGTTTGTTTGTTTTAATGAATAAACTGAAGGACAACTGGAGCAGGAGAGTAGACAGCAATAGCCAAATTTTGAAAGCAAGAAAGCAGTAAGGTAAGCGGCAGTCGATTTAGCACACTGGCAGTGGGAAGAGCTGAGAAGTAATTGAGAAGCGCACGTCACAGGACATTCAAAGGGCTCAGGAAGTGGAAACTGGGGCAAAAGTTGAGCTAAAAACCACAGGGCTGGTTATAAGTCTGTTTGAGAAAAAGACCTCCTGGGCCGCTTTCCAAAGCCCTGCTGCCAGACAATCGGCCTTCCCCACACTGGCAAGACTAAAGAGTTACTGTTTGAATCGTGTAAAATAGAGGGTTTCCTAGACTTGGGGACACCAGGCACATTTAAGAGTGGGAGAATCATACCAAAACTGGGGATTAAGTGGAAATTTGTGTTTGAAAGGGACTGAGATAAATAAATTTTTTCAGTGGGCCATCTTTAACCAGAAAGGCCAATAATTGTATTACATGTGTTAGATGCTGCTAAAGGTTTGAGATGGCAAAAGGGCACTCTAACTCAAAATGCAAACTAACAAAGGAATCTTTAAATCTAGATATGCACTCCCTTAGAATCCAGAGCCAAGCTCCTCCACAGCGCTGCTTTCTGAGCAGCCGGAGTTCTATGATGTTTAAAGGTTCAGATTGCCTCCCTCTGAGTGCCTTGTCCTTATTCAGAGGCCGGGCCCCAAGTTACTCAGAGAGTGAAATTCATCAGCAGCAATTTTCCAACCATGGCAGAGCCTTGGTTAGGGGATTGAGATGGCATCTAATAAGGAAGCCAATAAAATAATTACCTTCCTCTGTGCCATCAAAAATATGTATTGCCACATTTCTTAAAGAGCAGTCCAGTGATGTTTGTGACATTTTCTTCCAAGTAGCTAGGACTGGTTCTGTAAGTTTAGACAATGATGTTTTCTTATTTTTAATGGAGATGTTAACAAAAGGTTGACAACAATCTAGACTCATATTCCTTCTTCAAGGTGGTCCTGAAGTGGTCTGTTGACTAAAATATTGAGGGGTTGCAGGCATTCAGTCTTGCCATCCTAAGTAACTACTTTTGACGAAATTTATTTGCCCGAGCCTTTGTGGCCACGAAATGAACTAAGATATTATGCACTTAGTGGTTATTTAGGGCCCTAACATGTCCACTCAGCTGACTTCTAGCCAGCCCTTTCTTAACTCATTCTTCATCCATCCTTTTAATTTTTTTATGGACATTAACATCTTTGGAGAAGACTTCATTCATAGATTTAAAATGAAGTAAGGAGACTTATGCTTCCAGCGAAGATGGAGTAATGGGGACTGGGTTTAACCTCTTATATTAAAAATATAGAAAACTGGACAAAATGTGTAAGACGGTTTTTTTTCAGAGATTGGACAATAGGCACTACTGGACTGAAATCACCGAGGGAAGTGAAACAAGGTGATTGCATTAGTTTATTGCATGGATGCAGTTTCTAGAAGCAGCTCAGGGAGGGGAAGATCAAATAGAATTGGCTGTCTCACCAAATGAGAAGGCAGAGGTTGATTTGGGAGAGGCCAAGGTGGCTGGAATTTGCAGGGCAGAGCACCAGAGAGGAGAAATCTGCACAAGGAGGAAGTGTCAGAGAACAACAGAAACAGAAAGACAAATCCACAGTTATACTAAAGGTGTCAATATTTTGAATAATTGATAGAACAAATAGACAAAATTAGTAAATATATGGAAGACTTTAACAACACTATCAATACCCTGAATTCAAAATTATAGAATGCTTCAGCCCAAAACAGCAGAATATACATTTTTTTCCAGTGCACGGAAAACACTTACCAAGATATTCTGGGTCATATAACAATTCTCGATAGGGAGACTTTACAGCACTTTATGTCTTTACTAGAAAAGAAGAAAGGTCTCAAAACAATGATTTCAACTTCTTCCTTAATAAGTTAGGAAAAGAAAAGCAAATTAAACCCAAAGTAAGCAGAAGAAAGAACCATGATCAAAGCAGAAATCAATGAAACAAAAAATAGAACAGCAACAGAAAAAAATCAATGAAACAAAAAGATGGATCTGAAAAGATCAATAAAAAGAATAAATCTCTTATTAGAGACATCAGAACAAAAGAGAAGACATACATTACCATAGTCAAGGATGAAAGAGAGAACATCACTACAGTCCTCACAAACATTAGAAACATGACGTGAGTATATTAGAAACAACTTTGCAAGAACACATTTGACAATGAAGATGAAATGGACAAATTTCTTGAAAGATATAAACTACCAGCCATCATCAAGAAGAACTAGATATTGCACAGCATGCTGAATATAGTTAATAACTGTGTTGTACATTTCAAAATTGCTAAGAGAGTAAATTTCAAATATTTTCAACACAAAAAAATGATAAGCATTTGAGGTGATAGATATGTTAATTCGCTTGTAATAATTCCACATGATACGTTAATTCGCTTGTAATAATTCCATATTGTATCCATAAACCATAACATTTTGTTCCCCATAAATATATACAATTGTAAATTGTCAATTTACAATAAAATTTAAAAAGAAGAAATAGATATCCTAAATAGCCCTATATCTACTAAAGAAATTGAATTTGTAGTTAAAAACCTTCCCACAAAGAAAAACACCAGGCCAAGATGATTTTATTGGTGAATTCGACTAAATATTTAAGGAAGAAATAATACCAACTGTACACAAACTCTTCCAAAAGATATAAAATGTACAATAGGAAGAAACACTTCCCAGCCCATTTCATAAGGACAGTGTTATGCTCATGCCAAAACCAGAGAAAGACATTCCAAGAAAAAAACAAAAACAAAAAAAACTATAGACCAATATTCCTCAGGAACATTGACGAAAATTTCTTAATAAAATTATAACAAATCCAATAGTATACAAAAGTCCAACTGTGGCTTTTATTCTAGAAATGGAAGATCAACATTCAAAAACTGATCAATATAATCTGCCATATAAGACTAAAAACTAAGCAAGCCATAAACAGTCATCTAAATGAATGAAGAAAAGCATTTGGCAAAATTTGACACTCTTTTGTGATGAAATAGGAACTTTATCATCTGACAACATCTACAAAATACCTACAGCTAACGTTATACGGAATGGTAAACAACTAAATACTTCCTTCCCAATATCAAGAACACAACAAGGACGTCTTTCTCACCTCTATTCAATTTCATTTCTATTCAACATTGTACTAGAGGTTCTAGCCAGTGCAGTGGGGGGCAAATCAAATGTCTATAGATTAGAAAAGAACAAGTAAAATTCTCTTTATTTGCAGATGACATGACCATCTGTGGAATCTTCAAAAAGTTATTAGAACTACTAAAGGATTTTAGCAAGGTCACAGGACAAAAGGGCCATACATTTGATAAGTTATATTTCTATATGCTCACAACAAACAGTTGAAAATTGAATTTTAAGAATACCAGTTAAAATAGAACGCAAGGCTGGGTGCAGGGGCTCACACCTTCACACCTGTAATCCCAGCCCTTTGGGAGGCCGAGTGGGGCAGCTCACCTGAGGTCAGGAGTTCAAGACCAGCCTGGCCAACATGGTGAAACCCCGTATCTACTAAAAAAAAACAAAAAAATTAGCCAGGTGTTGTGGTATATGCCCGTAAGCACAGCTACTCAGGAGGCTGAGGCATGAGAATAGCTTGAATCTGGGAGGCGGAGGTTGCAGTGAGCTGAGATTGTGCCACTGCACTCCGGCCTGGGAGACAGAGTGAGACTCTGTCTTAAAAACACACAAACAAAAATAGAATCCAAAAAAAGAATACTTAGGAATAAATTTAATAAAATACGTGTAAGATCTGTATACTAAAACTGTAAAACTGCGCTGAGAGAAGCTATAGAAGGCCCAAATAAGGGGACAGATCTTATTTAAACATTATTTAAAGATTATTTTGCTATTTGAAATAGCAAAATCTAGCCAGTGCGATGGGGGGAAAAATCTCTTTTGCTGTTTAAAAGTCACTATTAAGAAAATGAAAAACCCAGCCACAGACTGTAAAGAACTATTTGAAACATATATATCTGATAAAAAAAATTTATCCAGAATATGTAAAGAACTCCTATAATCCAATAACTATCAATAGGCAACCAATCTAAATTTTAAAATGGGGAGGAAATTTCAGTTGATACTTTGCTAAATAAGATAAGTGAAAGGTGAAAAAAGCATGTGAAAGATATTTAACATCATTGGTCGTCAGGGAAATGCAAATTAAAACTCCAATGGGGTCTGGGTGCAGTGGCTCATGCCTGTAATCCCAACACTTTGGGAGGCCAAGGCGAGTAGATCACTTGAAGTCAGCACTTCGAGACCAGCCTGGCCAACATGGTGAAACCCCGTCTCTACTAAAAATACAAAAATCAGCTGTGCGTGGTGGCGGGTGCCTGTAATCCCAGCTACTCAGGAGGCTGAGGCAGGAAAATTGCTTGAACCCGGAGATGGAGGCTGCAGTGAGCTGAGATCGCACCACTACACTCCAGTCTGGGCCACAGAGGCAGACCTTGCTTCAAAAAAAACAAAAACAAAACCCCGCACAATGGATATCATCACATAGCCACTGGAATGTCTACAGTTAAAAAGGTTAATAATGCCAAATATTGGTGCCGTAATAGAGCACCTAGAGCCCTCATATGCTACAGAATGGCACAGCCACTTTGGAAAATAGTTTGGCAGTGTTTTAGAAGTTAAACATACTCATTTTTGCTTACTTTCTCAAGAAAACATGAAATTGGGGTTATTACTCCAATGATGAGTATTTGTTCATCATTGTTTCACCAATATCAATGTATGCTTTCTTTCCATGCATTCTGTGTACACAGTAACTTTTGGGTATAATTCTGAATCATTGTATAATCTTTTTGAAGACATTTAAAATAGAGGCTAAACGTATCAATGAAAGTAATTCAATTTGAATGGCAATGATAGGAATAACGCCAATACAAGTTTGCCTAGCAACAGCAATGGTACAGTACCACAGGTTGTAAGGAACATCCAGAGATGCTAAAATGTAAATAAATTTTTGAAATCAATGTTTTTTTTTTTTTTTTTTGAGACGGAGTTTCGCTCTTTGTTGCCCACGCTGGAGTGCAATGGCGCGATCTTGGCTCACCACAACCTCCGCCTCCCGGGTTCAAGTGATTCTCCTGCCTCAGCCTCCCGAGTAGCTGGGATTACAGGCATGCACCACCAGGCCTGGCTAATTTTGTATTTTTAGTAGAGACAGGGTTTCTCCACGTTGGTCAGGCTGGTCGCGAACTTCCAACCTCAGCTGATCCACCCACCTCAGCCTCCCAAAGTGCTGGGTTTACAGACGTCAGCCACTGTGCCCGGACTTGAAATCAATTTCTTATGGCAAATACTCTATATCTAGTAAACGGTTGACTCTTTTTTTGGTCTTTTCCGTCTTTTCAGTTGATGTGGCTTTTCTGCTAGGCATCCATTACATTACTGGTTTTACCACCGGCTGATTTTAATTCCATTTCAGGCAAGGTTTCTCCAGATGGGTGAGTTAGCAATTTAAAAGCCAATTTACAAAAAATAACAGATGCTGGAGAGGTTGTGGAGAAAAGGAAATGCTTCTACACTGCTAGTGGGAATGTAAATTAGTGCAGCCATTACGGAAAGCAGTTTGGTGATTTCTCAAAGAACTTAAACTTAGACCTACCATCTGACCCACCAATCTCATTATTGGGTATTATACTCAAAGGAACGTATATCATTCTACCATAAAGACACATGCATGCATATGTTCATTGCAGCACTATTCACAATAGCAAAGACATGGAATCAACTTACATGCCCATCAGTGTTAGACTGGATAAAGAAAATTTGGTACACATATACCATGGAATACTATGCAGCCATAAAAAATATGAGATTATGTCCTTTGAAGAAACATGGATGGAGCTGGAAGCCATTATCCTAAGCAGACTAACTCAGGAATAGAAAATCAAATACTGCGTATTTTCAATTATAAGTGGGAGCTAAATATTGAGTACACAGGGATGCAAAGAAAGGAACAACAGACACTGGGGCCTACTTGAGGGTTGGGGGTGGGAGAAGGGTGAGGATCAAAACACTACTTATTGGGTACTATGCTTATCACCTGGTGATGAAATAATCTGTACGACAAACCCCTGTATATCTAACAGACCTGCACATGTATCCCTGAACCTGAAAGTTTTTTTAAAAGCTGACTTTATAAAAAAAGGCAAAACAAATTATCAAATGCTGTAGACATAAGATAAGCAGATATATTAACATGTTTTAGGAAAACATTTTGAATGTTTATACGATTCTATTGATTGTTTATTGCACTTAACATTTTTGTATTATGAGATAACTTTCACAGAATATGGTTCTATTAAGATGAAATTTTACTTATTATATAGGTGATTGGGAGCACTGGAATAAGAAACTTCAGCCTTATTATTATCCAACTGACAGTATTCCGGAATATTCATCAATTTTGGTTCCAAATGTTGACAATATTAGAACAAATTTTTTGATAGACACCATTGCAAAACAACATAAAGTAAGTTTAATAGATAGTTCCTTAAATGATCACAAACCATCCATGGCCACGGGAATATGCACCCATATTTTCTTCCAGCACTTTTATAGTACACATTTTACATTTAAATCTGTAATACAACTGGGACTTATTTTGATGGTAGATGCAATTCTAAAAAGTTATTAAAAATTAGTTGTATTAATTTATAGAAGACTAGCCCATAGAATCATAAGATATTTGAAACTAAATAAGTTGTAACACATTTCAACACTATTATCCTATGATTGCAGGCTGTTTTGCTCACAGGAGAGCAGGGAACTGCAAAAACTGTCATGGTTAAGGCCTATTTGAAAAAATATGATCCTGAAGTACAGCTATCCAAAAGTCTAAACTTTTCATCTGCCACAGAACCAATGATGTTTCAGGTGAAATCCATCATTTGCTGTAATATTATAAACATAATACATTTTAAATTAGTGGTTACAATAAAATGTGTACGCATATAAAATGTGAAAATATTATATATTCAAAAGAAATCATGCTGCACTTGGCATTCAGCTGTTTAGCTTTCCTAAGGCTAAGGTTGAAGGCAAATCCAAATAGCATACTTTGACCTAATATTGAGACTGCAGCTGAACTTTGGAGCATATCTACTGTAATGTAAATGAAGGATAAAACTCCAATGCCTTATTTTTAAAAATTTAACAACATATATTTTAATAATTATATGTATACTTATTAAATGCGTAAGTAAATTATATTCTACTCTGACAAGAATGCTCATTATTTTTAGAAGTATGGATTAAAATCTAATGCATAAGACAAAACGTTTCCTTCTCTCTAGAGAACAATTGAAAGCTACGTGGATAAGCGAATTGGAAGCACATATGGGCCACCAGGAGGGAGAAAAATGACTGTATTTATTGATGATATTAATATGCCTGTGATTAATGAGTGGGGAGATCAGGTATGGCTGAAATATCTCATATAGATGATCCTGAATTTGTATTTTTATGTATATATATTATATATATGTAAATGTTAATAACTTTGTTAAAAACTTTATGTTTTTAAGTCTACTGCCAATCCTCAGTCTTTTTCTGACTTCTCTGTTATAGCTGAGTTTCTCCTTTCTTAAATCCCTATGTGTTTTTTTGTTTTTGTTTTTTTATTAAACTTTAAGTTTTAGGGTACATGTGCACAACATGCAGGTTTGTTACATATGTATACATGTGCCATGTTGGTGTGCTGCACCCATTAACTCGTCATTTAACATTTTGAGACGGAGTCTTGCTCTCTCACCCAAGCTCGAGTGCAGTGGCATGATCTCAGCTCACTGCAAGCTCCACCTCCCGGGCTCAAGCAATTCTCCCTTCCTCAGCCACCTGAGTAGCTGGGATAACATGTGCCCGCCACCACGCCTGGCTAATTTTTGTATTTTTAGTAGAGACACGGTTTCACCATGTTGGCCAGGCTGGTCTTGAACTCCTGACCTCAGATGATCCGCCCACCTCGGCCTCCCAAAGTGCTGGGATTACAGGCATGAGCCATCACACCTGTCTCCTACGTGGTTTTCTACAGCAAATGCCTCCTCTCTCTTTGGCTACTTGACTTCAGTGTCCTTTCTTAGCTCCTCTCTTCTGCCTTTCTGCAGGGTTACATCCTTGCTCTAACCTCTTATTGTGCATAATTTCTGAGGAGTACGTGATGTTCAAAAAAACAAAAACAAAAAATGAAAAACCAAACAACTATTTATTTATTTATTTAACTGTGCCACACACCGTGGTTCTAGTTGTGGTCATCTATCCACCCAGGTCATTCCCCATTAGAAGACTTCACCGGTGTTGCCAGAAGTCCGCATGCTCCTGGTGGGATCCCCAACACTTTCCTCCCACCGACCTACACTGCTTCATTGACACCATCTACTTTGGCTCTACCAGGACAAGTCCCATTTTGCTCTTTATCCCTATTCGCCTCAGACACCACTAGAAGCTCAGTACTCATCCTGTGGCGAAAAACCAAACAGTTCTGTATGGCCTGCGTCTGCTCCAAGGCAGATAGACCTCAGCAGTTCCTGGAAGGAGAGGAGGGTGAAGGCATGTTTAGATCAGGTTCATGCTTATCTTCCATAAGCTGAAGCGCTCCTGAATTCCGAACTCACGTATCCAACTAGGGATGTCTGGTTGGATCGCAAACTTAACACCTCCAACACCTGCTCCTCCAACAGTCTTCTCTCTCTCAGCAAATAGCACCTCCACAGTCACTCTGTCAGAAAATCAAGTTGGCTCTATCTTCACACTGTATCTGAAATTTGACCACTACTCATCACCTCCACTGCTACCACCTGGCGCCACCCACCACCAGCTCTCTTCTTGATCATTACAAATGCCTCCTCACTGCCTCCTGTCTCCCTTACCCTTCTCAGCTTGTTCTCACATCATCAACAAATGAAAACAAGAGTTAGATCACGACACACTCTTCTGGTCAACATCCTCCAAAGAGACTTGTAGAATATAAATACCAAAATCCTTACCATGATCCAAGACTCTACACATTTTGACCGCCTCTCCCTCTTCCCGTGACTCTTTGCTTCCACCACATTTACTGATCTTTGTATACGCTGGATATGGTGTTCACTCAGTACCTCTGCATTTGCAGTTTCCTCTGCCTAGAGTGCTCTTCCCCTAGGTATCGAACTGGCTTACTTTCTCACCTTCTTCAGGTCTTGGCTTATATATCATGTCAGGTGAAGCCTCCCCTGCTCTCCTTGAGTCACACCCTTGAGCCCCTCCTATATTCTACAAAAGTCTTAGAGTATACCATTTTATTTACATATCAACATGCATCTGTACATCTTGTCTCTCACCACTAGAATGTGTGCTTCATGAGGACAGAAAATTTTGTCTATGCTACAAGAGAGGCTGGCACACAGTAGTCATTCATGAAATGTTGGTTAATTGAAAGACGGTTATATTTGAGGTGCTTGTGTGATATGCACTAAGAGATGCTCAATAGAGACTTGAATATACAGGTGTAGAGCTTAGAAGAGAATTTG
This sequence comes from Homo sapiens, assembly GCF_000001405.40. Lineage (NCBI taxonomy): Eukaryota > Metazoa > Chordata > Mammalia > Primates > Hominidae > Homo > Homo sapiens. The sequence continues at coordinate 38,886,087 of NC_000006.12, forward strand.
AAGCTAGAGTTATAGATATGAGATTCTTTAGAATATAGGGTTGAGATAGCATTTCCTGGAACAATGAGAAGAGGAAAGAGCCCAGGATGGAACCCTGGAGAACAGTTACATGTGAGGGATGAGTGGACAATGAGTGGCTTAGGAAGTGATCCCAGAGCCCTGAGATGGACCTGGAAAAAAAACAAGCCTCTGAAACCAAGAGAGGTAACATTTCCAAGGAGGGGGGTTGGCAGTGTTGGAGGATGCAGAGAAGATAAGATGAGAACATAAAACCAACAACCAAAACAGTTAGTAATATAATATTGAAAACTCAGGACAGAAACCATCCTACATTCTGATCTAAAGGTTTTTAAGTGTTGAATATTGAGTATGAAAGATGTCTACAGTAAAACTTGTTGTAACTTGGAGTATTAATGTAATTTAACCAAATATCTTATAACTCACATATCTAAATTTATTTGGAAATTAGTTTGATCAATGTGGTGAAAGGCACCTTGGACTTGGACCATGCATGTGTTATGATCTAGAGTTCATGGGTGACATCATTTAAGTCAAATTACCTTGAAGGTGATCATCGACATTCACAAACACTTCATTGATAAGAGTTTAATGTTTTCTTCTAATCTCATTTGTACTATTTTATTGAAGTTATGGAGGAATATGATAGTGATATGTTACAAAAATATTGCTGTGTGAAATTTCAGATAACTAATGAGATTGTGCGACAGATGATGGAAATGGAAGGAATGTACAGCTTGGACAAGCCTGGAGACTTCACTACTATTGTTGATGTGCAGCTCATAGCAGCAATGATCCACCCTGGAGGTGGTCGAAATGATATTCCACAACGTTTAAAAAGACAATTTACTGTGTTTAATTGTACATTGCCTTCAAATGCTTCAATAGACAAAATTTTTGGTATGAATATTCTTAGCGTTTATTTTATTGCATTACATAATGGACATAAACCACACAAAATTTCATTTAAGAGACAAAAAGGCTCTGTCTAAAGTGGGGTTAGGTATGTGAAATGGAGAGCTAAACACTAGGAAAGAGGGACTAAATACTAAGGTGACCTATGCTTATAGCCTATTCTCAGACTCAGAGATATTTAAAAATAGGCTTGTTGAAAGTTAACATTAGACGTAAAGGAACCTTGGTGTTTTGGTTTTCAGGACATGGTTAATCAGAGAAATTTGGGCCAATAAATGATAGCACAAAGATCACAGATTAACGATATATTATACAAAGTCAAATGTAGCACTTCAATATGTTAATGAAAATGAGATTCTTGACATCAAATGTAACATCGAATCACATAAATTATGCCATCAAAACTTATGTGTAGGTCAGCCCATGCCTATAATCTTAGCACTTTGGAAGACCAAGGTGAGAGAATTGCTGGAGGCCAGGAGATCAAGAGCAGCCTGGGCTCATAGAGAGACCCCATTTCTACAAAAAATTTAAAACATTAGCTGGGCATGGTGGCACACGTCTGTAGTCCTAGCTGCGTGGAAGGCTGAGGCCAGAGGATTGCTTGAGCCTAGGAGGTCAAGGCTGCAGTGAGCTATGATCACATTGCTGCATTCGAGCCTGGGTAACAGAGTAAGAACCTGTCTAAAAAACCAAAAAACAAACCCCCAATCCACCCCAAAACCTCTTACATACACGAGAAACAGACCCTTGCATATAAGAACATTAATTATTTGATATAGCAAGTACTGTAGTCAGAAGGGAAAGGGCAGACTTTTTTTTTTTTTTTTTTTTGAGATGGAGTGTCACTCTTGTCACCCAGGCTGGAGTGCAGTGGCGCGATCTCAGCTCACTGCAACCGCTGACTCCTGGGTTCAAGCGATTCTCCTGCCTCAGCCTCCCAATTAGCTGGGATTACAGGCGCCTGCCACCACACCCGGCTAATTTTTTTGTATTTTTAGTAGAGACGGGGTTTCACCACATTGACAGGGTTGGTCTCGAACTCCTGACCTCAGGTGATCTGCCTGCCTCGGGCTCCCAAAGTGCTGGGATTACAGGCATGAGCCACCGTGCCCATCCGGGAAAGGGCAGACTTTTAATAAGTAGTTCTGGGATACTTAGTAATTCTTATAGGAAAATAATTAAATTTGGACAGCTACCTCATGCCAATGACATGATCAACTACAGATGAGATAAGGACCTAAATATGGAAGGCAAGGCTGTAAAACATTTGGAAGAAAATGTAGAGAAATAGTTGAGTGACCTCTGAGTAGGAAAGGATTTCATAAATGAGACTCAGAAAGCACAAAAATAAAGAAAAAAAATACCAATTTGACTAGATTGAAATGTAAAATTTCTCTTCATTAAAAAATAACATTAAGAGAGTGAAAAGCCTCAAAGTGGAAGAAAAAATTTTAACACATATAATAACAACAAAAATGTCATATTCTGAATATTTAGAGAAATCCTATAAATCAGTCAGTCAAGAAAAGGAAACAACCTGATATAAAAATGGGCAAACAACTAAGGCACTTTAAAAAGAGGAAGCTAAATAGCCAATAAACAAAGTAAAGATGGTAAACATCATCAGTATTCTGGAAAATACAAATGAGAAACACCAAGCGATACCATTTCATACCCACTAGATTTGCAAAAATAAAAAATTCTGACAAAAATCAAGCATTAGTGAGAATGTGAAGCAACTGAGACTCTCATTGCCTGCTGGCCGTAGTGTCAGTTGCTACAAACCCTTTGGATAACAATTTTGCATCCCTGCTGGTAAAGTAGGGCGTGTGCCCATCCCTAGCAGTACCACTTCTAGGTTTATGCCAAATTGTCATTTTTTTCCTTTATGGTTTGGGTTTTCTGAGTCTCAAGAAGTCCTTTTCTATCCGGACATCATACAAGTATTCTTTTATGTTTTCTTCCAGACATTGTATAGTTTTGCCTTCCATATCTGGGGCCTCAATCCATCTGTAGTTGATTTTGCACATGCATGCCAGCAGACTTATACAAAAATGCTCATAGTGCAGCGTACACAATGGCAAAAACGTGAAATAATCCAGATATTTATCACTAGTAAAACTGGATAAATACATCCTGTCACAGGCACACAGTGGCCTGCTGTGCAGCAGTGAAAATGAATGAATATAGCTACATGCTTTCACCATGGATGAAGCCCAGAAATACAATGCTGAATTGAAAGAAGCAAATCACAGGAAAAATATAATTCCATTAAACTGAATTTCAAAAATTTTTTTTTTTTACCAGTTCAGAAGTTCAAAAACCTAAGTGGTGAAGCTATAAAGAAAAGCAAGTTACTGATTATATTAAAGAGAGGTGGCGACCTCTGGAGAAGGGAGGAATTGTGAACAAGGATGAACGTACAAGGGCTTCTAATGTGCTGGGCAAGGTTGTAGTTTTCAATCTGGTGGTCTGTACATGAGCGTTTGTTATTTGTTAAGCTATTTGACATACTCTTCAGTATGACTGACACATTTAAACAAATACGGAAAACAAACCAACCAGAAACTGAGCCTCAGAGAAGTGAGATAACTGCCCAATCAAGGCCTTTTAGCTAGTGCTTGGCAGATGGGTGTTGCTAATCCCTATCTCATGCTTCTTATAACATGGTTGTCCCACAGGAAGGTGGAAATCTAGAATATAGGATTTCAGGAAGCAAACGGACTTTACAGGCACTTAGCACAACCAACCATGATTTGGAGGAAAATTTCATGTTTCCCCAGGGCAATTCTTCAATTAGTGTGAACAAACTCCAGTTTCTTTAGTCTCCACTCTTCATCAACCTGTTCTGCATCTCTGAGCAGATATTCATATTCCTCTGAGAATACCATGCTCAGAACTGAACACACTCTGCAGTGTGTAGTCTCACTGGAGTGAAGCAGAGTAAATCTTTCTTCGGTCTAAATCAAAGACATTCTGAGACTTTGAGAACAGTCTCTAAACCTACACCCCAGTCTTTCTGAGAGTCATAATGATGGTCAGACCATCACTTTGCTGGGTGTTCCCTAGGAATGTTGCATGTCTAGCCCAGGCCAGAGTGGTGACTGACTGTAGGCTGGAAAAAGTGGTCCTGATTCCAGTTCTGCCAATACCAGTCCATGTGACCTTGAACAATCGGCTTCACCTGTCTGGGCCTGGTCTCCTTCTCTGTAAGATGAGGGAGTACTCTCTAAGCTCACATATGCTTCAGGGTGAATGCTGATGTACAGACTCTAGGGCCAGGTTGCTTGGGTTCACATCTCAGATTTGTCTGCATGCAAGCTGTGTAACTTTGAGCAAGTTACTAAGCTCATGTTAAAATGGGACTAGTAATAATAATACCTACCTTGTATTTTTTTCTTGTAGGGTGCTGGGTGGGGGATTAAATGAGTCAATACATATAAAACACTTATCACTGCGTACTAAGCTTGGCTGGATCCACTACTGACTCCCAGTCTTAGCTGATCCCTTGAGAGAAATTCTGAACAACACCCAGCTTAGTCAGCCTTGTAATGATTTGTTTACTGGGATAAACATATACTTGGAAATCTTTTGGTAAGCTTATACCTTCAATCTTGCTTATCTTTCAGGAATTATTGGATGTGGATACTTTGATCCTTGTAGAAGTTTCAAGCCTCAAATATGTGAGATGATTGTGAATTTAGTCTCAGTGGGTAGAGTGCTGTGGCAATGGACTAAGGTACAGAATGGTTTGTCAATAATTTTTAAAAAGGCAACTATTATTCAGCCCTAGATCACACCTCGTGGCTCATTAAGTTATCATAATATCATATATAGTGGTGTTTTTTGGAAAAGACAAATTACGTGCTCAAATAGATTTACAACACCTTTTCCTTCCAGGGAGCAAATGATCTGACTAAATGATGCTTTCCGTATGTATGAGATGTTACTGTAAACCAGACATGACATCCAAGACAAAGTAGAATTTTGCTGAAATGAGAACACTGCATTTCCACTTGTTACTCTGATTTGTAAATCTTTATTTGTATTATCTGTCTCCTTCTACCAAACTATGTCAGACACTCAGATGCTTATTGACTGACTTAATACATGGATTTCCAGATATTCTCAGCCAACTAGGACTTGAAGTCTAACTTGTGTATTTCTCTGAGCAGGAGCGTGAGTTAGTAAATGGATGGAAATGTTCTTAACAAAAATTGGCTAGATTTGCATACACAAGTCAGTGTCCTAAGTAAAGCTCAGCAAACCTGCAGCTGTCCCCAGATGACTTAGGGCAGTACTCATGAAAAGGCAATTAAGTGTAGGTATGAGATAAAAATGAGGTTGATATATTTGACAAAAAGCCATGAAGGAGATAAGGATTAGTTGTCGTAATTCACTACACATCCATTAGGCCAATTATACACATGTGGGCACGCACTTGTCTCCTGGGAAACCTGAGTGTGCCAGCCTTTCAGATTCCTGGGTAGACTGGGGGATTTCTAGATACACAATTATTGGAAGAGGAATTTGGGGGTTTCTTATGAGATGCTCTTCCATGTGGCCACCTTCAGTGATGAGTGTGGGGCCCTGTTCCTTGCCAACACAGGGCCTTTGCACATGCCATTGCACCTCTTTTAAAGAAACTCAGAAATGAGTTGCAAGGACTGAGCGTCTGAGATAGTTTTCCGTGGTAAGATACATGTGGTTTCCAATAGGATTATTGCTCAATTTACTGTGCTTATATACATAGTTCTCTGAAAAGCTTTGCCCTTGCAGCTGTCTTCCATCAGTTTCTTTTGGTATTTGGATGTTTCCTGGCTCCATTTCCTCAGTGTCTTTTCTTTACCTCTTTAATCCATTCTGCACAAGCTTTCATTCCCACTGTTCATGTCAAGGCCACCAAAGACCTTGATCTTGCCACATCTCAAGGTTAATTTTCCTCTCCCTCTTACTTGACTTTTTAGCAGCATTTGACCTAAATGATCCTTTAGCAGCATTTGACCTAAATGATCCCTCTAAATATTTTCTTCACTTGGCTTCAGAGGGTCCCCATAGTCTTGATTTTCTTCCTAGTGCACTGGCTACCTCATTAAAGTCCCCCTTCTTCTTTCCCTCCTCTAAACACTGAAATGCACCTGGTCTCGATGCCAGGCCCTCTTCTCTATCTACATTCTTTCCCTAGGTGGCCTCATCAAGCTTCAAGGCTCTAAACATCATCCCTGTGCTGATGACTTCAAAATGGATATCTCCATCCCAGGCCTCTCTACCTGGCTCCAGGCCGATTGCTAACTACTTAATAGACATCAGTGTTTGATGTCTGATACTCATCTCAAAGTTACCATGTCCAAACAGAACTCCTAAATGTCTTTAAATACAATCCTCTCTCAGACTTCTGCATCTTAGTAGCAGCACCAGTTATCCTGCTTCTTAGGTTAAAATTACTGGGCACCATCCTTGATTTATGTCTTCCTCATGGCCTACATCGAGTCCATCAGTGAATCTCAGTGACCTCCCCTTCAAAATCTACCCCAAAGCTGAACCTTCCTCACCATCCCCCCGTGACCACCCTGATAAGTGGTCCGATCACCTGTCCCCTGGACCATGCAGTAACTTCCTAACCAATCTCCTTGCTTTCTTCTTGCTCTCTTGGAGTCTGTTCTTTTCACAGTCCTAGATGATATTTTTTAAAAAGTAAAGCAGAAATCTTTACTCCTTCTTAAAACCACCAGTAGACTCCCAGTTCCACTTACAATGTCAGCAGACTCCGCTTACTTCCCTTGCCTGCCACCAACCTGCTCCAGCCGATGGCCCTGCTCACCATTCCTTGAGTACCCCAGGTTTATTGCGTTGCTGGGCCACCATACGTTGGCTCATTCTCATCACTCTTACCTTCAGAGCGACTGTTCCAATCATCCTCTAAAGTGACTGCACTTGTCCCTATCCTAGTCATTATCTGTCTCCTGGCCCTGGTTTTTTTTAAACCATGGCTTCTATCATTATTTGCATATTTACATATATATTTGTTCCCTGTTCATTCTCAGGCTCTCCCCACTGGAATAAAAGCCCGCTTGATGGCAGCAGAGTTAGCTGTCCTCTGTTTACCACTGTGTCTTCTTAAGAACCAAGGAGGTGCTCAGTCATTGAAAAATGAATGAATCTTCCTCCTCTGCCCACCTCTACATAAGCAGCCTTCTTTGTATCTTTTCTTCAAATCTCCCATCTTCACAAAGCACTCTTTTGATCCATTCATGCCTTGTCTATCAGCCCACCTTTGTATTACTTTATATAGCTTTAAGGCAGAAGCAGTTCAGAAAAGAAAGAAGGTGATGAAAAGTAGAGGGAAATATTAGAAGAGAAGGAAAGAAGCAGGTTAACAAATAATGAGAAGAAGAAGGAAAGAAAGGAATTTTTTTTTACAGAATTCTCTTTAATGACTGCCTCAGTTACCAATGGCTGCCGTCATGGCTGGAGTGTTATACTATAAAAAAAGCAATATTCACATAACCTTACCGCTTTGAGTATTTTTACATACTTGTAATATAACTATATGTTTTACATTTTAGTGGGTAGGATGAACATTTTAGTTTGCAATGGAACTGAGCAAAGAGGGAAGTTGATAGGTGATTGATAAAATACACTTCTTTTATTTTCATCTCCCCATGCTACTTGCTGTTTTAAATAGCACTGTGAATTAGCCTGTAAAAATTACAAACTCAATAGGGTAATTTTTCAGTATAGAAAGGGCTTAATTTATGAACAGATGCTAAAGAAAGCATCTGCTTTGCTGAAATAGGCGTATGGGGTGTTTGTATCACCAGAATTATCATTATTTTCACTTTCAAAAATGATGCTAATGATATCAATTATGATCTTTATACATGACCATCAATGCTTTCCATATCTAGAGTACCTCGAGGTTATCTCTTAACGGGTATCTCTCTGGGTAAGAATGTGGTATTGTTACAGCTTTGCCTTTTTATATCCTAGAAGTTGGTAGAAATAGTAAATTAGCATATAATACAGTCTTTGTGCTCAAACAGAAAAAACATCTATTACTATACGTATAGCTGCATGTCAGACTTGCCTGTCCACTTATTATGGATATACAGATACATGAAAGACTGTTGACTGAGTTTGGATCCACACAGTAAAATCCAGGTTATGATATGCAGATATATTTATGGAAATCCTAACACATTAAGGACCCTAATCAAAGCAATTTATAGAAGATAGCCATTATTAACTTTAAAGGTGAACATTCGTTGTTCTTACCTGCATGACAACCAACTCACGTTCAGTTTTTGTTATGACATATTTCCACATATACTACCAATAATTAGGGATGATTATTCCCACAGTTCATATAGTCCTTAAGAATTCAGGGGAGGTGACTTGTTCAAAGCCAACTGATGGTAGTAGAACAAGGTGTTGGAATCTGCATCCAGTGCCTTGGTCTTGAATCCATCCTATCCAAGAGATTATGGTCTTTTAAATCCTAAGTTGGTTTATTTATGATTTTTTTCTGTCCGTGTTGTCACAAAATGTGAACTTAATCTTGATTTATTTACTCAGCAGATTTTATCTAAAATAGGATTTGTGAGACAGTTGTAAAAGTAATTCTACTTTTAGTTGTATCTGAAAACTAACTGAGAGTATTACATTTTTTCATCTCTAGGTGAAGATGCTGCCAACTCCTTCTAAATTTCATTACATCTTCAATCTTCGAGATCTTTCCAGAATTTGGCAAGGAATGTTGACCATAAAAGCTGAGGAGTGCGCTTCAATCCCTACTCTCCTGTCCCTTTTCAAACACGAGTGCAGCAGAGTAATTGCAGACAGGTGCGTGTTGCGGCACTAGAGTTTAAATGTATGACCTGAGAAGTTTATACTACTTGGTTAATTTTTTTTATTTTTATTTTTGAGATGGAGTTTTGCTCTTGTTGCCCAGGCTGGAGTGCAATGGTGCGATCTCAGCTGACCACAACCTCTGCCTCCCGGGTTCAAGTGATTCTCCAACTTCAGCCTCCCCCGTAGCTGGGATCACAGGCATGCACCACCATGGCCGGCTATTTTGTTGTTGTTGTTGTATTTTTAGTAGAGATGGGGTTTCTCCATGTTGATCAGGCTGGTCTTGAACTCCTGACCTCAGGAGATCCTCCTGTCTCAGTCTCCCAAAGTGCTGGGATTACAGGCATGAGCCACCCTGCCCAGCCGGTTACTTCTTGCATTACCTACTAGGATAAGTAGAGTAAGGAGCATTGTCATCATTTGCTGTGGGGCTTGTGAAGCATTGATGGCATCTCTCACCTGCCCACTGTCTTAAAAAAATGCTCTGCCGATTTATTCCAGTATGACTTCAACAATACATCTTTATAAATCACCAGATCATCAGAGGTGATAACATTCGGAGGCACATTTTCATTGTATATATTTTCTACAAATTTTGTGAGCTCTTTGTAGGTTTTCTGTGGGGAAATCTGGTTTCATCCCTTTAAAGTTAAACAATCCCATTAAAGTTAAATTCAGTCATCTTTTGGAGCCTCCATTCCCTCATCTATAAATCATAGATGATAATGCCAGTTTCACAAAGTTGTAAAGTGTCTACCATGTCTCACACAAGGGTGATACTTGTCAAATGTTACTCCCCTTTGTCCTCTCTTCCCTCTGTTATATTGTCAATCTGAAAAGGTCCTTTGTGTACTGAATCCACCAACCCAGAAAGAGGACGCTCGTCCACTACCGACCATCACTTCTGCTCTCCTATCGCAAGTTTTAGGGACCTTTGATCTCACCTAAGTGATTCATCTGTGTTTTCTATAAGTAGTGCTGTTAATGTTATAACTTTCTTGGATGGGGTTATGCCCTTCTTATCAAAAGGCAGAACATATTGTTTCCCTGTCCTGAATTGAGAAGGTCCAGGGTGGGGCTGAGAAGAGGCGAAGGGACATGTTCAGTTAGAAAAGATGCTTTCATATTTAACATTCTTACTACTACATTTTCCTTTCAGATTTATAACTCCTGAAGATGAGCAGTGGTTTAATGCACATCTTACTCGTGCAGTTGAAGAAAATATTGGCTCTGATGCAGCGTCGTGTATTCTTCCTGAACCATACTTTGTGGATTTTCTTCGTGAGATGCCAGAACCAACTGGTGATGAACCTGAAGACTCTGTGTTTGAAGTACCCAAAATATATGAATTGGTATTTATTTTCATCTCTTAAAAGAGGTTTTCAGATTGCTCACCTGACTAGATCTTTCTCTCTGCACCAGAGTCCTACCATGGAGTTGCTATAATTCCAGCACTTTGGGAGGCTGAGGTGGGAGGATTGCTTGAGCCTGGGAGTTTGAGACCAGCCTGAGCAACATAATGAGACCCTGTCTCTATAAAAAATAAGAAAAATTAGTCGGGTGTGGTGGCATGCTGCTGTACTCCCAATTACTCAGCAGGTGGAGGTGGGAGGATTACTTGAGCCCAGGAGTTTGAGACTGCAGTGAGCTGTGATTGTGTCACTGCACTCTAGCCTGGGTGACAGAATGAGACCCTGTCTCAAAAAAACAAACAAACAAACAAACAAACAAACAAAAAAACAAAAAAGAGAGAGAGAGAGTTCAGTAAGATGACCAAGCATTATATAAATGTGAAATAACTATCCTCTATACCTATACCAAGGGTTGGCAAATTATAGTTTCTGGGCCAGATCCAGCCAGCCCACTGCCTGTTTTTATTAGACTTACTAGCTAAGAAGGATATTTATTTGTTTATTTATTTATTTATTTTGAGATGGAGTCTCTCTCTGTCACCCCAGGCTGGAGCACAGTGGCACGATCTCGGCTCACTGCAACCTCCGCCTCCCAGTTCAAGCAATTCTCCTGCCTCAGCCTCCCGAGTAGCTGGGATTACAGGTGCCCCCCACCATGCCTGGCTAATTTTTTGTATTTTTAGTAGAGACGAGGTTTCACCGTGTTGGTCCTGTGATTACAGGTGCTCGCTACCATGCCTGGCTAATTTTTTGTATTTTTAGTAGAGATGAGGTTTTATCATGTTGGTCAGGCTGGTTTTGAACTTCTGACCTCAAGTGATCCACCCATCTCGGCCTCCCAAATTCTGGAGTGACAGGCGTGAGCCACCATGCCCGGCTGATTTTTCATTTTTAAATAGTTACCAAAAAATAAAAATAAGCAAAAGAATAATATTGTGTGACATGTAAAAATAATATAGAATTCAAATTTCATTGTTCATAAATAAGGTTTTATTGAAACACCCATTGGTTTAAATATTGGCCATAGCTGCTTTTGCACTACAATGGCAGGGGTGAGTAGAGACTGAATGGGCCTTAAAGCCTGAAATATTTACTATCTTGCCCTTTACAGAAAAAATTTACCAACACTTGCCAACAATCACAAGACAGAAAATATAACATAAAAGTATTTCATTTAACAGCAACAACAATATTAACATGTAGGAATTAACATGATAAAACTTTACTTAAACAGCAACATGTCATTCTTTCTAAATTAATATATAGGTTTAATGAAATTTGAAACAAGATTTCAAAGGGACTTTTAAAAACAGGGTTATATAACAAAGTAATTCTAAAGTTATATAGAGCCGGGCGAGGTGGTTTATGCCTGTAATACCCGCGACTTGGGGGAGTTGAGGTAGGAGGAGCCATAGAGCCAAGGAAGTCGAGGCTGCAGTGAGCTATGATTGGACCACTGCACTCCAGTCCGGGTGACAGAGTACCTTGACTCTAAAAAATAAAAATAAAAATAAAGTGTATGCAGATCAAAGAATTAGATGGGGAGGAACAATTTGCAAAACAAAGAAAGTGGGTGTGGATTTATTTCAGAACAACAAAGACTTGTGGATTTAACTCCATAAATAATGTAAAACCTTTTTATATTTTTGAAAGCTGCAAACAATATTAAAAAGTAAGTAAAAACCAAGAAAAATATTTCCTATATTAATGTGTTAATTACTATGGATAGGAGTTGGTAGGGAAAGGTCAGAAATGATTTTGCACTAGAAACCAACTAATACAGTTAAGTTTCAGGCCTTAGAAAATGGAAATAACTAAAAGTAGACTAATACGTGAGAAACCTCTGGAAATCCATAACGTTTAAAAAAAGATATGTATATTTTAAAATTACTTTTGAGTGTCTTTACAATTGCTACTTTAATACATACTTGGATCTTAAATATTATTTTTTTATCTTTCTCTCCACCCATAGATGCCATCCTTTGACTTTCTGGCTGAAAAACTCCAGTTTTACCAGAGACAGTTCAATGAAATCATTAGAGGAACATCTCTTGATCTGGTGTTTTTTAAAGATGCAATGACTCATCTTATTAAGGTCCTAACTATTGCCTATTTACTGATATAAATAGATGATTTAAAAGCTTCGTATATTTCATAGATAAATTTTTTGAGAGAATAACTATATACTATCAGGTACCGTATAGAAGACTGTACATAGGTTGGGTCAATTCACTGTCCCAGAAAATAAAGGCTTAATAGGAAACCCTTTATTTGAATCCATCTACATGGCAGCAAATGTCTTTCAAGGGCAAATAGATGGTTTTCTGTTCAGAGCTTTTGGCACACTGAGTCAACAAGAAAGTATGGAGAACCTTTAGAAAGTATGGAGAACCCTGTGAAAAAATATACTTCCCTCAAATTATATTTTGATATTATGGGAATTCTGTTGCCCATGGAGGAAAAGATGTTGCTTTTAAAAGTGTCAATGTTATGATTGACTTACAGGTGATGGGACAGGGGTAAGGTTGATATATAGGACTGGTGAGAGAATAGAAGCCAGTTAGAGGTAACACGAAAAAGGGGTGTTTTCACACTAATCTATTCAACAAGTAATTATTGACCATTCACCGTGGCTAGATCTTGAGGTTCTGAGATCCTATTCTGAGTGCAAAGCCATAAGTGATTAATATATTTTAAAATATACTGATAGAATTTACACATACCAGGGTGTCATTATTGATCCACCATCTGCAAAACTTGTATTTTTTTAAAAATTATTTTTAGTGGTGATAGTGAATTTACTGATCCATCTAGACTTTCTCCCTAATTGGTGACAATAATATAAAAGACAGCTTTTTAGCAATGTCTTCAATTGGCCTGCATGAGATTTGACCCACAATTTGAGTCTTATCTTCACTGAGGAAATCAACCATAGAAAAGCAACACAACATGAAAGGCTGTCTCTCCAAGTTGGCTTCTAGAAACATCCTCCTACCCCACTGTAAATAGAATTATGGTACTTAAAAAAATTTGTTGGCAGAGATATGATAGAGTTAGTGTTCATTGTTGAGTTAGGTGTCTACATGATTCAGTGTGTCAGGCTGATGAATAATAAAAAAACAATTGTAAACATTTCTTATATCTTCTGCAGATTGGGAAGAGCAGCTCCACTATCCATTGGGTCTAAAAATAATAAAATTCTACATGCGTGCACACGCATGAACACACACACAGAATAGTTTTAAAATAGAAGGGAGTAAATCCAGTTTGTTCTGTTCTTCATGATGTAAACATAGATGGTCAAGGAAAGATTCGAGCTGAACAAATCAGTATTAAACTTTAATTTTAAAAATTCTGTCATAGACCATTAACGAGGAAAAAGTCTAATATCATCTAGAAACATATGATCAAAACTTGGGCTCATTTAGTGCAAGAAAATGTAAACATTGCATTCTTTTTTCAAATAAGCACGTTTTAAATCTCAAAACAGATTTCACGAATAATTCGAACGTCGTGTGGAAATGCATTGCTGGTGGGTGTTGGTGGTTCCGGAAAACAAAGTCTTTCAAGATTGGCCTCTTTTATTGCTGGCTATCAAATATTCCAGATAACATTAACCAGGTAGGATGAAATAAAACACAATATGTTTTTCTATAGTTAATTTCTCTATAGTTAAATGTTTAGAAAAAAAGGAAGCACAACAGTTTCCTGTATTTCTTTTTAAGGTAAACTTTAAGTATTATATATATAAGGATATTTACGCAAGTGTCACAAAGTAAATACATCTATGTAGCCAGTCTACAGATGAAGAAATAAAACACTTCTTGTATCCCAGAAGTGCCTCCATGTTACGTTGCAGTCATTACCCTCCCAAGGGTAACCATATTCAAAGGGTAAGCCCATTGATTAGTTTTGCCCAGTTTTGAATTTTGTATCAATTGAACTATACAGGATTTGCTCTTTGCATCCTATTTCTATTACTGCATTGTTTGTGAGATTCATCCATGATGCTACATGTAGCAAGAATTGTTCATTCTTTTTGCTGCATGATCTTCAACTTAATCAGATACTACCACAGTCTATTTATCCATTGTACTCTTGATAAACATTTGGTTTGGGGCAAATAGAGCTACTGTAAATATTCTTGTACATGTCTGAGTACACATCTAGAGTTAAAATTGCTGGATGTAGGTTATCTGTATATTTAGCTTTAGTTGATCTGCTTAGTAGTTTTCCATGTGGTTGTACCAATTTACACTTCCACCAACATGTCATGAGAGTTGCTCCGCATCCTTGCTCCCACTTGGCATTGTGTGTCTTTTTCATTTTAGCAAATCTTTTTTTTTTTTTGAAATGTAGTCTTGCTCTGTCGCCCAGGCTGGAGTGCAATGGCATGATCTCTGCTCACTGCAAACTCCACCTCCCAGGTTCAAGCGATTCTCTTGCCTCAGCTCACGAGTAGCTGGGATCACAGGAGTGTGCCACCATGCCCAGCCAATTTTTGTATTTTTAGTAGAGACGGGGTTTCACCATGTTGGCCAGGCTTCTCTTGAACTCCTGACCTCAAGTGATCAACCCGCGTCGGCCTCCCAAAATTATAGGCGTGAGCCACCGCGCCTGGCCGATTTTAGCAATTCTGTGTGTGGAGTGGTAGCTCACTGTGTTTCAGTTTGCGTTTCCCAGATGGCTAATGATGTTGAGCACCTTTTTATCTCTCATTGGCCATTTGGATAGGCTCTTTTGTGAATTATAAAAGCCCTTTCTCCATTTTTTTTTCAATTTGTTTGCGATTCTTTCTTATTGATTGTTAGGAATTCTATATGTGTTTTGGATATAAAGGGTGTATATTGCAAATACCTTTGCTCAGTTATTGATTTGCCTTTTCATTCTCTTAGCGGATCTTAATTTTAATGAAACATTCATTTTTTTCTATTTAGTCCTTTTTTGTATTATATTTTAAAATCTTTGTTTACCCTAAGGGCACATAGATATTTTCCTATGATTTTCTTCACATTTACACATAAAATTTACTACTTTCTCATTTAGTACTATAACTGACCTAGAATTCATTTTCTTATAATGTCTGACATAGGAGTTGTGATTATTATTTTCAATATTGATATCCAGTTGATCCAGCTCCATTTATTAAAAAAGTCATCTTTTCCCTGCCACATCACAGTGCCATTTTTTGTCTTAAGTCATCTGATCATATATGTGACTATATAGTCTCCTCCACTGGTTTCCTTATCTATCTTTGTATCATTACCTACTATATTAATTGCTGTAGCTTCTTTAGTATATATATTTAAATTTAACATATGTATATTTGGTAGTGTCAGATCTCTAACTTTGTTGTTCTTCAAAACGTCTTGTCCATTTGGCCTTTTATTTCCGTATAAAATTTAGATCACTTTGCCAATTTATAAACAAACACACAAATCATTCTGCTGCCAAACAAAAGAAAAATAAAAATTGAACAAAATACAATTTATAGAAGTATTTTAAAAACATAAAATATCAAATAAGTAGGTATTAATTTAATTTTACTTCAAAAAATTAAATTAGTTGTCAGCATTTAAAAATCGGGAGGTTTCATGTTTTAGAAAAGCGTATTTCTGACTTTTTGAAATAATTGGAAGATCTGGCAACCTAGGGCCTACACTCCCAGGTGGCAGAGCTCAGTAGCAGCTGCCTCCTTGGATGGGACATGCAATCCTCCAATCCACAGGCCCCAACAGCACTGCTTCACTCACTGGCATTATCTGTCTGATTCCTGTAGGCATCTAAATTTGGGATCCTGAGATAGGTGGTGTTGCACTGATTGTAGTTAGGAATGACGGAGGCTTAAATTAAGGCAAATTTATTCACTATATTTTCTTAATTTCTGTATTCTTGATACCCTGGCATCTGAGACTCTGCTGACTGGGGAGAGACTGACCCTTCTAGGTTAGCCAATTCTTAGAGATTCAAACAGCTCCTCCAGGAGAGTACCTTTCATATGCAAACCAACCAATCCAGAGTCCTTACTCCCAACCACCACCTCTATCTGGTGGGTGTGTGGTGGCATCTCATGGTGGATTAGAATATTCCTCTGCCCTAATCACCCCAGGGCCACATACCAGTCAACAAGGGACCACTCCTATGCCCCAGAGGCTGCTGAAATTATTCAAACTAGCAAATCCTAATTCTGCTTACCTGCCTTGCCTTTCTCATGGAAACCACAATAAAGACTCTTGCCCGTGTTTTCCCATCACTCCTTTTGCCTCCTGATTGACTCTGGTGTTTCCCCATGTCACCCTACCTAGCATGTCAAGCCCCCTTCTGTTTCTGGGGATCCTTGAGTATAAACATCTTGCTTCATGACAGTCGTTCCTGTGTCATTGTGTCTTACCACACTTGATTACAACAAATTCTGGATACATTTTATAACAGCAGATGAAGTGGGAATAGAGAGGAAGACTCAGCAGGGACAGTTTAAAGTATGCAGGATTGATAGGACTTAGTAACTGACCCAATATTCAGGAAGAGGAGGAAAGAACAGGAAGGCTAGGATGACACTCTAATTTCTCTAGTGGTACAGTTGTGTGCCCCATAAGGACATTTTGGTCAACAACAGACAACATATATGATGGTGGTCACATGAGATTATAATGGAGCTGCCCTATACACGAGTAGCATTTTAAAAATCTTTTATACTGTATTTTTACTGTACCTTTTCTATGGTTAGGTAGATACACAAATATGGACCATTGCATTAGAATTGCCTATGGTATTCATTCAGTGCAGTAACATGTTGTTCAGGTTTGTAGCTTAGGAGCAATAGGCCATTCCATATAGCCTAGGTATGTGTAGGCATACTCTACGCTGTTCTGTATTAGTCAGTTTTTGCATTGCTATGAATACCTGAGGCTGTGTAATTTATTTAAAAACAGGTTTGTTTTGGCTCAAGGTTCTGCAGGCTGTACAGGAAGTGTGATGCTGGCACCTGCTTCTGGTGAGGGTCTCAGGAAGCTTTCAATCATGGCAGGAGGCAAAGGGGCAGCAGGTGGTCATATTGTGAGAGCTGGAGTGAGAGAGTGAGGGTGCAGGTCCCAGACTCCTTTAAACAACCAGATCTTATATGAACTCAGAGTTAGAACTCACTCATTACCAAGGGGATAGTGCTAAGCCATTCATGAGGGATCTGCCTCCATGACCCAGACACCTCCCACCAAGCCCCGCCTCCAACATTGGTGGTTACATTTCAACACGAGATTTGGAGGGGACAAACATCCAAACTATATTATGCTCCCACAGTTACAATGTTTTCTTTTTCTTTCTTTCTTCCTTTTTTTTTTTTTTTTTTGAGAAGGAGTCTCACTCTGTCACACAGGCTGGAGTGCAGTGGTGCAATCTCTGCTCACTGCAACCTCCACCTCCCGGGTTCAAGCAGTTATCTGCCTCAGCCTCCCGAGTAGCTGGGATTACAGGCGAGCACCACCACGCCTGGCTCATTTTTGTATTTTTAGTAGAGGCAGGGTTTCACCATGCTGGCCAGGCTGGTCTTGAACTCCTGACCTTGTGATCCACCTGCCTCAGCCTCCCAAAGTGCTGGGATTACAAGCATGAGCCACCGCGCCCAGCCACAGTGACAATATTTTCTAAGGATGCATTTATCAAAATGTAACCCCATTGTTAAGCAATGCATGACTGTACTTACCACACTGCATTAAAAAAAAGTGCTTGTTCACATACATTTCTATCTCCTTCACTAAGCTGTAAGCTCCCTGAGAATGGGCCACTGTAATCTTTGTCTTTTTTACTTTTATTATTAAATGCTTACTTTTAACCAATTCTGTAAAAGGATGTGTTGAATAAATAAAAAAATGACCAGCTTTGAAGGGTAAAGTGAGAATTTAGTTCAGTACATTTGAGTCTGAGGTGTCTGCAGAACACAGTGTCCATAGATAATAAGACTCATGGATGTGGAGTTCAGGAGAGGGGTTCTGGTTCTGGAGATAGCAATATAGAAGTCTCAGTAGAGAGGAACCTTTTGTGGTCATGGGGAGTACGAATAGGGTGCGTCATGGAAAGAAAAGATGGCTGTGGAAAGAATTCTGGGGTCTCCCAACATAGAGAAAGGGGGCTTGCGATGGAGAGTGAGAAGAAGAGGCAAGACAGAGAGGAGGAAATCCAGAGTGGTTTCCAGAAACTAAGCAGGTAGATAATTAATCTGAAAATGCTGGCCGGGCGCCCTGGCTCACGCCTGTAATCCCAGCACTTTGGGAGGCCGAGGTGGGCGGATCACCTGAGGTGAGGAGTTCGAGACTGGCTGGCCAACATGGTGAAACCCCATCTGTACTAAAAATACAAAAAAATTAGCTGGGCATAGTGACAGGCGCCTGTAATCCCAGCTACTCAAGAGGCTGAGGCAGGAGAATCGCTTGTACCCTGATGGTGGAGGTTGCAGTGAGCCGAGATCATGCCATTGCACTCCAGCCTGGGCAAGAAGAGTGAAACTCCGTCTCAAAAAAAAAAAAAAAAAAAAGAAAGAATCTGAAAATGTTAAGACATGAAAAGTGGCAACTGATATGCATGACGACACTTTCAGTGAAGTGGATGGGTGCACAAGCCACATTGCATTAGGAAGAGAAGAAGCACAGAGAATACTTTTGGAAAACTTGAAAGAAAGAAACAAGAGAGGTCAGGATCTGGACAAGGGGTGTGTTGTGACTGTCTCTATGTATTGCAAAAGCAATACATCACAGTCAGTCTAATTCTTTAAAAAATCAGCCAAATTGACCTCTTTGGCTGATTAGTTCAGAGACTGGCCAGTCAGTGAGAGGATTACTCTGACAGCATCAGGCCACTAGATCTTTCTGGTTCCAGGGCTCATAGTCTTTCTGTGAGACCCCATGGCCTACTGCCCATTACTTGCATTGTAACACCTCCTTCCAGTGAGGATTACCTTTTAGTCCTTGTCATTAGCTTACCCATGAGGATTTACATACAACATTTCAGATAATGTCTGCTTTATTTTTACACATCTCATCACCTCTGGTAGCACATACATTTAACCGGAAACAGAGTGAACCAAAAAACAAAGACCAAGATCTTTTCATTCCATAATTTGTAGCCATCTAACATTTCTATTATTTATACCTTATTGCACAATGCATCTTTTTCTGTGGGTTTTCTTTGTATCTAGCCACTTAATGAGCTGTGCAAATTGCCACTATATACAATTTATGACTAATTTTATTCATAACGTATTTTGAATTTTTCACCAAATCAAACTCATCCAAATTTCAGATGAGTTTTAGATATTATATATATATTTACTCGGACAAAATCTGTTGCTGAGGACTGTCAGATTGCAGGGACTAAAAGTTCATTTCTCTATTCCCACTTATGCTTTGTGGATCACTTTTGGTAAGTTCCCTGTTTCTCAGTTCTCAGCTTAAACGAAATATTTGTTTTGAATGGTAACATATCACTCTTTAGCTCTAATCTCTGTGTTTTCTAGCAGGCACCATTACTTAGTATCTATTGGAGCAGGTACAGATTATGCTCTAATAATCACAGGCTATTATTATGTTTTGGGATAAATTATGACTATGGTTTTTTTTGTTGTTGTTGTTTGTTTGTTTATTTGTTTTAAGAAGGAGTCTCACTCTGTCGCCCAGGCTGGAGTGCAGTGGCATGATCTCGGCTCACTGCAACCTCTGCCTCCCGGGTTCAAGCGATTCTCCTGCCTCAGCCTCCCAAGTAGCTGGGATTATAGGCACACACCACACACTTGGCTTTTTTTTTTGTATTTTTTTAGTAGAGATGGGGTTTCACCATGTTGGTCAGGATGGTCTCGATCTCCTGACCTCGTGATCCACCCGCCTTGGCCTCCCAAAGTGCTGGGATTACAGGTGTGAGCCACCGCGCCCAGCCGACTATATATTTTTTAATCTAAAACTTTCTATCATTTTTCTTCTTAGGTCTTACAATGTGACTAATCTAACAGATGATTTAAAAGCTTTGTACAAAGTTGCTGGTGCTGATGGAAAAGGCATCACTTTCATCTTTACTGACAGTGAAATAAAAGATGAGGCATTTCTAGAATACCTTAACAACTTGCTATCTTCAGGGGAGGTAAGTCTCAAAAGTAGAGAAAAAGCCCATATTGTAAAAATATAAATTATATTGGAATAGAAAAAGCAGCAACCTTTCAAAAATGAGGCTATTTAGTACATTTTTTATTTTAGACATGGTTAATGTACGAGATTTAGCAGATTTTCTGAAGTTCCTGTGAAATGAATGCTGCCCATCTCCAGATGCTTTGTTTAATTTTGAACATGGTTCCTTACTTGTCTCTTCAGTCTTCACTTTGGTCTTATAATTTATTTTAGGAGAAGCAAAGTATCTGTCCATCTATCTGCATACTAGTGAGGAGTATAGAATGGTTGAAAGAGTTCTGTTAGTTGTAAATGGATGTCTGTACTGCCACTTCTGAAACCGCTTGTATCAGCACTTCCGTGAGCACTCACATCTTTAGTACTTCATCAGAAAGACTCACCAGACTCAGCATATACAGGTCGAGCTTCTCAAATCCAAAACTCTGGAATCCAAAATGCTCCAAAATCTGAAACTTTTTGAGCACGGACATGATGCTCAAAGGACATGCTCATTATTGGAGCATTTTAGATTTCAGATTTTTTGATTTGGGGGTGCTCAACCAGTAAGTGAAATGCAAACATTCCAAAATCTGAAAAAAATCTGAAATCTGAAACATTGTGGTCCCAAGCATTTTGAATAAGGGATGTTCAACTTATAGTTATACTCATGGCTGAGATTTATTGTGGCAACACAGTAAGGATACAGAGCCAGATCAGTAGAGAAAAAGACTCATCTTGTGGAGTCATCGATGTTCCAGGAACATGGAATTGATGTTCCAGCTTCCTATGCTTTTGCCAAGGGGCCATGCAGAACGTCCTCTCCATCCAGTATGAAGGGCAGTAACATATGCACTGTTTCCATTCAGGGAAGCCCACTTGAGATTCAGAGTCCAGTGGTTTTTTTTTAGGTTTGGTCACTTCCTGCCTAGCTACAACTACCAAAGTTCCAGATTCCTAGAAGGAAAGCAGATAGATGTTTGCCATGTATCACAAGGTTTGTGTAAACAGTCTAGTTGGCACTGCAAAACAACCTTATCAATTACTAATGGAGGAGACATTCCAAAAGCCAAGTTCCCTGATAACAGACAAGGGTCAGCTCTGCAAGCATACCCTTTTCAAGATTAGGCCTGCTGTGTTAACTCTTCCCTACACCATGGTATACAGATGCTTAATGGTGCAAAAATTAGTTAAGTATTTTGGAGCCAGAGTTGATTAGACTGACTCTGAGTCAAAGTACAGAGGGCACCCCTGGACATTTTAAAGAGATGATTGAGTGGTGGTGGAGATAGCTTTTTGGTGATAGCTATTGGAGCACAGGAGAACACAATTAGTTCTTGATTGAGCTGCTCAATAAAAAGTTGCAGTCTTGATCATCTCTGGCAAATCAGGGATTTGACTGTGGAGATGCTGAAAGAAAATATGAAACAAGATGACATGCAAATTAAAAAAGGGACTGGACTTTGGCAGTGAATTGACTGTGGAGAACTCTTAAAACACAGAACACTTCCTTGTCCATTCCTTAAAGATCTCCAACTTGTTTGCACGAGATGAGATGGATGAAATCACCCAAGGTCTGATTTCAGTGATGAAGAGGGAGCTACCTCGCCATCCTCCTACCTTTGATAATTTGTATGAATACTTCATTTCAAGATCAAGGAAGAACTTACATGTTGTTCTCTGCTTTTCTCCAGTAAGTTTTTATTTTTATTTATATCTACGTAGAAAGAGTTCCTTATTTAAAGGTGCTTAGTTTGCCTTCTCTGATTAGAAAATGATCTTAGAAATTAATATTTTTACATTGAATTAAAATTAACACTTTTGTACCACACAATCTCCATTGACCAAATTCTCATTTCCAGTGTAATTTAAAATATTCATATTATTAAAAAATACTGCATAACCTGCAATTTTCATTAATTACCTAGAGACATGGGTTGTTTGAATTGTAAGGGACTTGGTGATGTAACCTCGTCCAGCTCCACCTCCCATGTAGACATATTAGCTTTACTATAATGTCTCTGATGTAGGTTTGAAAATCTCTATCTCATTGTGCTTCCCAATATAGTAGCCATTAGGCATATATGGCTACTTAAGTTTTGATTAATTAGCCTCATTTCTACTTACTATTTGGTTTATTTTTGGTACAGGGTCTTGCTCTGTTGCCTAGGCTGAAGTGCAGTGGCATGATCATGGCTCACTGCAGCATCAACCTCCCAGGCTCAAGCCATCCTCTCACCTTAGACTCCCAAGTAGCTGAGACTACAAGCATGTGCCACCATGCCCAGTTAATTTTTGTATTTTTTGTAGAGACAAGGTTTTGCCATGTTGTCCAGGCTGGTCTGGAACTCCTGAACTCAAGCGATTCACCTGCCTGGGCCTCGCAAAGTGCTGGGATTACAGGCATGAGCTACCGTGCCTGGCTTAGCTCCATTCCTGGTGCTTAGTAGTCATGTGTGGCTAATAGCTACCACACTGGAAAGCATATATATAAAGCATTTTTATTATCACTTAAAGTTCTATTGACAGCTCTGCTCTAGGGAGTCTCACTAATTTATAAGGCAGCCTGCTTCATTCTTGGATAGTCTAATTGCCAAAAAGCTCTTATTTATAATCAATAGAATTTTGTCTCTGTACTTTTCTGATTCTAACTCTGCCCTATACAAGGAACTCAATCCCTCTTCCGTGTAAAGTTTTTCAGATATTTGGAGAAGGTTTTTGCAAGGCTGTCTAAGTTGATTCCTTTTTAGACCAAACAACTGTTCCTGCAGCTGTTCTCACTTGTCCCAGTGTCCAGGCCTTTTGCTGTCCTGGCCCTCTCTCTAAAAGAGTACTAGTTTATCAGTTTCCTCTTAAAAGAAAGTTCCTAGAATTGAACGCAATAATGTAGATGTAGTCCCAGGACAGGGAAGAGTGTGGAGTATATTTCCTCCCTTCATCACAACATTAAATTTATATATGACTGCAGCCCAAGAAGATTCATTTTCAAATCTGTGATGTCACACTCTTGGGTCAGATTGCGTAAATCTCTCTCTGGCTGACTTATAACCCCTCTGTGTTTCTAATGTTTGTTGACTTTGCTATCAATAGGTTGGTGAGAAGTTCCGTGCCCGTTCTTTGAAATTTCCTGGCTTGATATCAGGTTGCACTATGGACTGGTTCAGCCGCTGGCCAAGGGAGGCTCTGATTGCTGTGGCCTCCTACTTCCTTTCAGACTATAATATTGTCTGCTCTAGTGAAATTAAAAGACAAGTTGTAGAAACAATGGGCCTGTTTCATGACATGGTTTCAGAGAGCTGTGAAAGTTATTTCCAAAGGTAAGTGATATTACATAAGCACCATCGCTATGGAACCACAGCATGTATTCCCAAGAGGAATGCATTGTAACATCCAGCAGAAGACTCTTTCTATTCATTGAGCACGAGCTGTATTTTTAGATCTTTCTTGCTTTGATTTTCTAGTGACTATGTAT
This sequence comes from Homo sapiens, assembly GCF_000001405.40. Classification (NCBI taxonomy): domain Eukaryota; kingdom Metazoa; phylum Chordata; class Mammalia; order Primates; family Hominidae; genus Homo; species Homo sapiens. The sequence continues at coordinate 38,909,900 of NC_000006.12, forward strand.
GAAGAGATGGCAAGTAAACAAGATTTAAAAACGAACTAGTGTCCACACTTAAATACCTTTTTATCCTCCAAGCCTCAGAGTAACAGATGCTTAATGAATTACTTTATTTCATCTGCTTAATTTTGTTTTGAAAATGACTTAACTAATTCATCACCAACTGTTTAAAATTAGTTTCTTATTCAAATGTATTATTTATTTTGATTAAAGTACACTGCTTCTAATGTTTCTTTATTGCCTTATGTTAAAGGAGTATTTAGAATTTGTATTTGCATTACTTAGTCTTACCAATGTTTCTATGCCAGACAACTATGAAACAAAATATCAATTGACTATGGGAAAACCACTCACTAAAAGCAGCAATGGCATGTTCATTATGTGAAAGCTGGTGTCAACCATGCAAAAACACAGCTTTTTTCCCCAAAGCATGACAGTCACTGTGTAAGATTGACAAATGGGCCAACGTGGATCCCCAGAAAAGCTATGCCTGTTTTTCTGCATAGAGAGTTTGCGTAACACTTTCATTGATTTTCAGTGAGGTTCCTACTTCACAAAAGTTTATTTATTCCATACCTTTTCCTTTACTTAAAACCATTCCCAGACCACCCTTTTAGATAAGATCTCCCAAATTCTCTTGGTGAATCAGTGTATACTAATTCTTACTGTTAAGAAGATTTTCTTTCTATTTGAACGCCTGCTAATGTCATCCATGGAGATAAATTTTTACCTTTGTGCAGCTACAAAAATCTGTTTCTTTACTTTGAAAATTTGGGTATATTTTTCAAAATTTTTTATATGTTCTTAGGTTGTTGAAGTTTATTCTGAATGTAATATTTTTACAACACTTTAATGATAGTCACATATATGCCCAAGATCTTAAAAAAAACTCAAAAGCATTAAAAATCTTCAAAACTACAAAAGTTTAAATTAATATAAAAGGTTAAATAATTTTATAGTACGTGAAGAACTCTTTTTTCACTTGAGCTTCTTCTGTATAAAATTATGCCTTTTGTAATAAAGCCACAATAAAGTGGACATTTGAATCGAGTGTGGTTGCCTTGATTTCAAGGCCAATCCAGTGAACTTGGGAGACATTGGTTTTTGCTTCTGTAAACCCACCCAGCTGGTATCCAGCAGTGAAGAGGTTGTAACAAATATCACTTGAATGAAAATGGATCACAGCACAAATTCATTTCAACCACTTATCCCTAATATTTGTCCAGAACCTTAAAGTTTTGCACTGTTGACACCAGCTTTCACATAGATTCATATATGCGATTTTATTTGATCTTCACAAAATTCTGGGAGGGGTAGAGCAGATATTCTTTTCTCTATTTTCCAGATGAGGAAACAGAGTTGGAGTTAAGGGTGAAGTCAAAGACCCCTCAGGGTTGAAACATCAGACAGATTTAGTCCTTTTTCCACCTCACCTCTGAGAAACCTTGCTCAAGTCCTGTCTTCCTGCTAGTGAATCACTCTACATGATCACACTGATTTCACCTTGGGAAAGGTGTCGTTTTATGGGAGTACGCACAATGATTGAAATGGTCCTTTTAATGTTCTGCTTTCAGATACCGCCGAAGAGCACATGTGACTCCCAAATCTTACCTCTCATTTATAAATGGTTATAAAAACATTTATGCTGAAAAGGTGAAGTTCATTAATGAACAGGCTGAACGTATGAATATTGGTAAGAGGAATGGAATGGAATGGGATGGAATAGAAATAGGGTTTATTTGATAGGGATCTCAATATTTTGTTTGGTGGACATTTTGTCTGAAAATGAAATACTCACTTTGTTAGTAGTAGATAATTTTAAAGGATGGCCTTGAGGGTATTTTGACCTGTCGAGAAACTCTGAACAGAAGAAAATCTAAACAGAAGTGGCCTATTTTCTCTGCAGAACCATTTCTCCTGGCTCTTTCAACTCTGGGTCCCCTGTGCTGAGTCACTGAGCCATTGCTGGCAGATGGGGACAAGCCAGCTTTTGGGAATGGACAACAATTTCAGTTTTTGGTTTCATTTTGATTTGCCTTGATTTGTATAAACTTTGCCATGTTAATTTTCCCTACATTTCTAATAAAGAAAAAGGCAAAATAGAAGCAAAAACAAATAAAAACAAAAAGAGATTGTGTACCTAAGCAAGAGTTTTCCAAGTGTCTGCTATATGTAGTATAACTAGCAAAAGTAAACATTGGAAGAGATTATATGTCCAGAAAGCATGTGGCCCAAACAATCTAAAACACCTTAGTTCTTATTTTTCAAGTTCTAAATAAAACTTGAGGGGCTGAGTATGGTGGCTGATGCCTGTAATTCCACACTTTGAGAGGCCAACGCAAGCGGATCACTTGAGCCCAGGAGTTCAAGAGCAGCCTGGGCAACATGGTGAAACCCTGTCTCTACAAAAATATAAAAATTAGTCAGGCATTGTGGTGGTGCATGCCTGTAGACCAAGCTACTTGGGAGGCTGAGGTGGGAGGATCACTTGAGCCCTGGAGGTCAAGGCTGCAGTGAACTGAGATTGCACCACTACACTCCAGCCTAGGTGACAGAGTGGGACCCTGTCTCAAGAAAAAATCAAAACAAAAACCACTTGGTCACATAGCATAACAGCGCCAAGGTCTGTGAAGTCATAGTTATGAGAGAAGACTGTGAAAGAAGGCTTCTTCTGCGGTTTTCTCATGATTCAGCTTCTTGCAGCTTTCCTATATGATGCTTTAGATCAGTAGTGTGCTGAAGCCAACTCATAGTGGCTTTTGAGAACACAATGTTAAATTTTTAGGAATTTTGTGATCTCCTTGTTAAACAGAACTTTTATTAAAAATTAACTCATGTATACTTACAATTAAACAAATTGGATTTAAAATAAAGGCAATAAATGCTCAAACTCATCCCTTCTTAGTTTTACTCTTTTTTTTTTTCTTTTTCTTTGAGACAGAGTTTTGCTCTGTTGCCCAGGTTGGAGTGCAATGGCGTGATCTCTGTTCACTGCAACCTCTGCCTCCCAGGTTCAAGGAATTCTCCTGCCTCAGCCTCCCAAGTAACTGGGATTACAGGCATGCGCCACCATGCCCAGCTTGTTTTGTATTTTTAGTAGAGACAGGGTTTTGCCATGTTGGCCAGGCTGGTTTCGAACTGACCTCAGGTGATCCACCCGCCTTGGCCTCCCAAAGTTCTGGGATTACAGGGGTGAGCCACCGTACCCGGCCTACTCTATTTTCTTATATCAATGTTCTTGAGGTTATTTACTTCTGTCTGTATGGTAGGAATATTACATAACAGTGTGGTACTGAGAATCTTTTGGTAGCCTGAAATCAGCCATGGTGGGAGTGTTTACACTACAGAAATTGGACAATATACAGATGAGGGCTTCCCCTTTTCCCAGTGACCCAGATTTAAATATTTACCAACATCCCACTACCTAGAACCCGTTGGAATGTGAGCAATTCAGTTAACCAGTTCTTTTTCTCTACGGTGCTAAAAGTTGCAAAGTCCATTACATAAGTTTTCACAGTTATTTTCATTTTTATAACAAAGAGAACCACAAAAATGTTAATATATTTTCTATTTCATTTGCCACCTCAGCTGCAATATGATTCAAAGGCAAAAAATGATAGCTACAAACTGTTTACAAAGCCACAGAGAGCATAAATTTGTCAAATAAGTTTCTTGGCCAAACTAATCTTATTCAATAGGACATTGTGACTTTCCCTTAAATGTAGCTACGTGATATTCTTCGGTCAGAGCTATTTTCTTTGCCTTCCTGTTGAAACTCAGAAATATGGTCAATATTGTTGCTTTTAAGACATGTATATTTTTAAAGCTTTTGTCTACAATTTTGTGTTTGTTATATTACATGTACAGTGCCTAATAAATAGTAAACATTGAATAAATATTTGATGAAGGCATATACCTGTACTCAGTAAAGGTATATATGTGTGTATTTGTAAAGGTCTTGATAAACTAATGGAGGCAAGTGAATCTGTTGCTAAACTCTCTCAGGATCTTGCAGTCAAGGAGAAGGAGTTGGCAGTGGCTTCCATAAAAGCAGACGAAGTGAGTTTGCATTTATTTTATCACTGATGAGGAATATTTTTCCATATTAAAATGCATTGTTTTAAAATGGTACTAAAGAACAAGCAGGGTATAAACCCATGGACAATTCCTGATAAGATAGTGTTCACAAAGACCATTAGACATTTTTGTTTAACTTATACCAGCGTATACCTGAACTATTAATTTTGCTACTTGGCCTAAGACTATTATTTCTTCTCTCACTCTGTCTGTCTCTCTTGTTCTTTTTCATCTGTTTATGAAATTTCTGCTTGACTATGAGTTATATTTGGTCTTCTGTTTAAGGTCCCTGTATGTTCCAGGTTTCTGGGATGGCCCAAATCGAGGAAGAGTTGGTAGAGTTTTTTTTTTTAAAAGAAAGAAAGAGGAAAAATCCATACTCCTCTCAAGGAGATAGGTATATATGTGTGCTGCTTTTTCTCTTTTTTTTTTTTTTTTTTTTTTTTTTGAGACAGAGTCTTGCTCTGTTGCCCAGGCTGGAGTGCAGTGGCGTGATCTCGGCTCACTGCAACCTCCACCTCCTGGGTTCAAGCGATTCTCCTGCCTAATTTTTGTATTTTTAGTAGAGACGGGGTTTCACCATGTTGGCCAGGATGGTCTCAATCTCTTGACTTTGTGATCCGCCTGCCTCGGCCTCCCAAAGTGCTGGGATTACAGGCATGAGCCATGGTGCCCGGCCTATGTGCTGCTTTTTTATCTATTATACAGCCTTCTAGTCTCAGACTTTCAGCTTCCAGTCACCAAGAGTCAGTTAAGAATAGATACTTCAGTCTTGATCCTTAGCCAGTTGCTGAAATGAGTGAACTAACATAGGGGAGGCACTTAAGCATAGTCCTGGCATATATGGTAAGCACTCAATAAACATTAGCTTCTTTTATTGTTATTATACAAGGCTTAAAATGGTTTTTTGCCCTTATTCTATGATACTTACTTGAATTGTTTTAATTTTCTAGAAATTTGTAGAGTGAAAATACTATTTCTTCTGAAAGCTTTAAATATTTATTTATATATATATTCTAAGCCTAAGAAAAGCTTAGAAAATGGAAGACTGCGAGGAACTGCTCAAAGGAATTTACTTTAATATACCTTAAAATATAGACAACTTAGGAAATAAGTTTGTTCTTATTCGTGTTTTATATTATGTTGAATAAATATTTGCTCACTATTCAGATCTATAAATTTTGCTTGAAAGGTTTCTATTGGCTTTCATGTGTTTCCTCAACTTAACAGGTATTAGCAGAAGTCACAGTAAGCGCTCAGGCTTCAGCCAAAATTAAAAATGAAGTACAGGAGGTAAAGGACAAAGCCCAAAAAATTGTGGATGAAATTGATAGTGAAAAAGTGAAAGCTGAAAGCAAGCTTGAGGCAGCTAAACCTGCACTGGAAGAAGCAGAAGCAGCCCTGAATGTGAGCAGTGCATTGTTACCCCTTCCAACACAAGTCCTAGAAGGCTTCATGTTTCATTACATGAAATTAACTCATCAGAAAACTGAATTGAATTCTTAATGTGATTGATAATCTCTGAGTCTGGAAACAAATGTGTCAATTAATTCAGTTTTCTAAGTTCTAATTTTTTTAAAGTCTTCCCCTCTTATATTATTTTCATCCCACAAATTGGTCTTCCATGAGAACTGAGAAATAATGCTAGTGGTTAGTGGCCTAAACTGTGAGAAATTCAGATTACGCAGAGAGCCTGCTCAGTTTCTCCAGCATCCCTTCCAGATTATGTCATGCTCCCTTTTAAAATCTTCCTGTGGTTCCCACTGCTCTTAGGATAAAGTCCTGAGCTAGACATCCACAGCTGTGAGGCAAAAGGGGCACAGCTTTGGAGGCAGGCAGACCTGCATTCAACCTCTATATATAATACACACACACACACACATACACACACACACACATACATACACATATATGTGCATGTATATATATGTGGATATATACACACATATATACACACGTGTATATACTTACACACTGCTAATACACACACATATAAGTATGTATGTACATATAGATGATCTGGAGTAAATTTGCTTAACTTTCTTGGGTTTCTATGGGGATTATAATTTCTCATTGATCCTTAAAGAATCAATGTGAGCATTAAAATTAATTAATACAAAATGCTAGGCACATAGAAAGCACTCAATAAATATTAGTGCTTCTGTTCCTGCTGATGACCTGGCTCCTGTCTGTCTCTTCAACTTTATCTCTTGTCATTTTGTCCCTACACACAATGCGATCCAGTCATACAGAAAAATGTATAGGATTCTGGAAGAATGGTCAGGATCTGTTACCTTTAAACGTGCCTCCACCTCTGCTGGGAATGCTTTTCCTAACTTTCATTGCCTAATTAGAGTCATTCTTTAAATCTGGGCCCAGACCTCACTCCTCCCAGGAAGTTTTCAGTTCTTCTTCGAGGCCTTCCTTTGTTTTCCTATCACTCACATGCTTCTGTCATGGCAGAAATCCTTATGTAGGGTAATTGTATTTGCTTTGCCATTTTCAGAGGTTATGAGGACAAGACTATTTTGGTTTGCTTTGTTTTATATGGGAGAATGCCTGCAATTGTTAAATGAATGAATAAATCTATGATAATCATTTAATAAAATTTTCACAATGACCAGGACACATTCTGCACCCCCACTTCCTTTATGGGTCTTACTGTAACGTACAAAAGGAAGAGATCACCGAACCGAAGGAGTCTTAGAACATGTTATTGATCATATGGTCTCCCAGTCCTTGCCTTGATGGTCAGGCAATGTCTTAATCCAAACCCAGCCAATGGATAGAAATTTTCAAAAATGTTTTTATGAGCCATATATTACAGTAATTTTCTTGTCTCCTTCTAATTCCTCTCCCTGCCATAGACAGGGAAGCCCTCACAATGAAGGCTAAAGGTGAGGTTTCTGATATTCAGGGCTTTGTATCCTCTCTTAATATCCACACCTAATATAGACCCTGTGCTTTGAAGATGCAAGTTATCTAAATGTTACATATCAGTGGGACTTATTAACAGAGGTCTATGATGGCAATGCCTGTTAGTGATATTTTAAACCAATTCGTTGGGAGCAACAGGGAAAAGAAGAATACATACAAATAAACACAAATACCAAAATAACAATGAAAGAGCCACTAAGCAAAAATCTTGGAAATGGAGAGAAAATATGTTTTAAAGTTTTCTATCTTAATTATTGAAAAGTATTAGATTTCCATATAACTATTAATACCACTCAACAAACAAAATATTGATCCTTAATCCCAAATATAGACTATCAAGCCAAATGATATTGCCACAGTCAGGAAACTTGCAAAACCACCACATCTTATTATGAGAATCATGGACTGTGTTCTGTTACTATTTCAAAAGAAAATTGACCCTGTTACTATGGATCCAGAAAAATCTTGCTGTAAGCCATCATGGGGAGAGTCATTAAAGGTAAGTAAAATCTATCATTGTCAATCCTATGAGCTGCATCAGGCGTCCTCAGCCCAGGACACTCAATATAGACCAGACAAACTGGCAGACAATAATTGATCATTGCGTATTGAAAAGTTTATCTTAAACTCCATCACCTAAAATGTAAAGAGGGATAGATTTTAAAGCCAAATACCTTCTTTTTATGACATCTGTCCAGAACCGGTGGCTAGTATTGGCACAGCCTTGGTGTCAACCCAGCCCAGTTTTCAAAAAGGGGCTTGTGTGGTTGGTGGCATTCAGATGCACTTACCAGAAAGAAAACTTACATAGCTTTTCTTCTTTACTCTTTCCACATGGAATCCAGAAGACAATTTGTGATTTACAGATTTAGGTTGGCTACTGCCAATAGTCTCAATTTGTGTATTTAGAGCAAATCATCTATTACTTCTTTGAGAAAATTCAATTTAGAAGTACATATTAACTCAGGAAGAAAGTATTTTCTTCCAGAACTTACAGGTTATAATACTATTTTTCAGTTGATGAGTGCAACAGGATTCCTGTGGAGCCTTCAGCAGTTCCCTAAGGACACTATAAATGAAGAGACTGTTGAGTTACTACAGCCATATTTTAATATGGATGATTATACTTTTGAAAGTGCCAAAAAAGTCTGTGGGAATGTGGCTGGTCTCCTGTCTTGGACACTTGCTATGGCAATATTTTATGGCATCAATAGAGAAGTGTTGCCTCTGAAGGTAAAAGTTTCCTTCCTTCTCCCAGTAAATCAATATTTCATAAAATCAGTCATCAGTATTACTGCTATTAAAAGACAATGCGTAGTTTAGACCAATAAAGGTAGATGTCCCTGTTACCAAATTTGTCTTTTTTCTCTATGTCCTCTCAAAGTTTCTCCTTCTTTTTATATCTGTTACATGTTTCTTGACAATGCAGGCAAGTGACTGAAACCAACATGTTAACTTACACAGGAAATGAATTTCTTGGGAATAATAATCAAGCTGTCATAAGAAGAAAAACTTGCCATTTCTTTGAAGTTTGGAGATTAGGTTTGGAGGTTGAATTTGATTACTGTATTTCAAACAAAACTTATAAAATTAGGTTTGACACCTAGAAAGGTTTTAAATTTCAAAGACAGAAGGAGAACCTTAAATGCAATCTAAGAAGCAATCAGACAAAACCTAAAAGGTTGTTTACAAAAGACAAATCAAGATGTTGCAGATTTCCCACAACCCTAAATACTAGAAGATAATGAAAAAACATATGCAGAGTTTTGAGGAGGAAAATGCTGGGGTCCAAGCACTCCATAATGGCCAAAGCTGGTCTTCATGGATGAGGGAACAGAATGAGATTCTTAGGAGGGCAAGGATTCATGAAATGTATCACTCAGATACACACTGCCTCCAGGGCCCCATCCCAATCTCCCACCCCAACAAAGCTAAAAGTATTATAAGTGGTTGCTCTGTGGAATGGATAATGAGGAGTCGGTGGGCAGGGGGTTACTGTTTTTCATAAGCCTTAGAGAAGTGGCTGCCTCCTTTAAAACCTGTGCATGAGGAACTTTGAGAAAAATAGAAAGTCAATTTAAAATAAAAAGTTTTAACAAAGAGAAATGATAGGAAAAATACAAAAAACACACCCCAACAAAAAGATACTAAGGGAGAAATCTTACAATAAATGTAGAATTCAAGAAAAAAAAGAAAACACACACACACATCAGAAAAGAACTATTCTTTGTTGATAAAAATTATGATCCATAGTGAAGACAATTAAAATAATGTGTTATGCAATAAATAAAATAGCATAAAATTGTATAAACCAAATCCATTAGTATTTTCAGTGGAAATTAACAAACATAATACTGTAATTTGAGATTGTGATACATGCTATGAAATTAACAAAAATAATATTGTAATTTGAGATTGTGGCTACCCCTGGTAGGCATAGGGCCAGCTTCTTGGGTGTGCACACAGGGCCTTGTGTTAATGCTCTGCTGTTGCCCTCTTCAGATTCTTAATATTTTTTTTTAACAAGGGGCCCCACATTTTTCATTTTGCACTGGGCCCTGTAAATTAGAGAGGCAGTCCCGAGTAGGCATAAATTAGTAATTATATAGAAATTTTACATGATACTATTTTTCAGGTTGAATAACTACATTGAACTTTCTTCAGTATAAACAAAGAACATGAAATTATTTCTAGAGTACAAGAAACATTTATAAGAATTAATTATATTCAATGGTAAAAGAGGACCTTGATTAAATTCCCGAAAGCAAAAAATCCTGGGGTCTCATTCTCTGAGTATAAGCAATAATACTGGAAACTTTACATTAAAATGAACTCAGTCATTCCTAATTAGGAAATGATGAAAATAAGCGAGTTACCAAAGCTTCTGTGATATGGCCAAAATGGTACATTCTTAGCCCTTACATACATCAAAGAAACTAAACATTCCACTGAAGAGTTAAAGTATATACTCACTCATAAGCATACATACACATGAAATTTAAGGAAATCGGAATAGAGCCAATAAAAATAACATTAAAAATTAGAGAAAAGCAGCAGAATTAATGAGCAAATCTAAGAACCTATGCTTTGCAAAAACAAAACTGTAAGAAATATTCCTGGAAAATCTAATCAAGAAGAAAATGAAAACAAATGAAAATAGAAAGATAAATCCTCATAATTCTAGATGTGAAGATTTAAATAATTATAAAGTAATTGTTTTTTAAGAGACAGGGTTTCATTCTGGCCCCCAGGCTGGAGTGCAGTGGTGCAATCATAGCTTACTGCAGCCTTGAATTCCTGGGCTTAAGCAGTTCTCCTACCTCAGCCTCCCAAACTGCTCCCAGGATTATAGGTGTGAGCCACTGTGCCAGGCTGCAAATATTACCTAGTTATATGTTAATATATTAGAAAATCTAAATGAAATAAAAGTTTTATGGGAAAAGGAGCTAAATTCAAATAAACATTGAGAATGAAAATAAGAAAGGGATCAAAGAACTTCTACCCCAGAAGGCTTTGGGCCTAGATTATTTTACTGATTATTTTAAATTTACAGGAAGCAGATCATTACCACATTGTAGGACTTAGAAAAATATGAAAAACTACTGTTACAGTAATTTCACTTGCAGAATCTTTGAAATTGGATTGTTACCAAAGTAACAATCCTAAATGTGTACATATCCAATAGTATTTATCACAACATTATTTGTAATAACTAAAAATGGGTGGGTGGACAAATGTATATGAGTAGGAAAAAGGTTAATTATGATACATCCAACACGTAGAATATCATGCAGTCACATAACTAACGTTCATGATGGACTTGGGACCTTCATAAAATGAAATGAAATGAAAAAAAATCAAAATGCCAATTACCTACTTCCTAACACAATACTCACAGGTTATGTCTGAGAAATTTCGGGGTAACTTTTGTCCTCCTTTCTATACATTGCTGCATTTTCCATGTTTTCTTATTGAACATTAATAATTAAAAAAATTTTTTTGAGACAGGGTCTCACTCTGTCGCCCAGGCTGGAGTACAGTGTTGCGATCACAGCTCACTGCAGCCTCGACCTCCGGGGCCCAAGTGATCCTCCTGCTTCAGCCTCCAGAGTAGCTTGGACTACAGGTGCATGCCACCATACCTAGCTAATTTTTCTATTTTTCTGTAGAAACAAGATCTCACTATTTTGCCCAGGCTGGTCTTGAACTGGGCTCAAGTGATCCTCAGCCTCTCAAAGTTCTGGGATTACAGGCATGAGCCACCACACCTGGCCAGTAATTAAAAATTTAAAAGTAATGAAATACCCTCCAAGACGCTTTGCTTTCCCAGCTGAAGACACGGAAACAGATGTGCTCGAAAGTCCCGTCTAGTGCAGAAATTATGTGATTTGTGTTATCTACCAGTTACAATCATGACTGTTTCATGCAGCTAATACACTAACCACGTCTTCTTCTTTTCAGGCCAACCTGGCCAAGCAGGAAGGCCGGTTAGCAGTTGCTAATGCTGAGTTAGGGAAGGCACAAGCCCTGCTGGATGAGAAGCAAGCTGAGCTGGATAAAGTACAGGCAAAATTTGATGCAGCAATGAATGAGAAAATGGTGAGATTAAACATAAAAAATCCCCAAAATGGTGTACTGAAACTTTACACAAGAGCATGCTATATTTGGAAATCAGGCAAATGGTTGTGATGAAAAAATATTGGCCAGCATGCCTATCTGCTTTGGATCTTTGGTGCTCAAAATTATTTTTTGTGTTTTCACTGATCAAACTTTACCGTCACTGATTTGAGGGTTAGAAAACTGGGTTTGAGATGCAGCTCAGACACTTGTTAATTGTGTGGTTTGGGGCTTTCACGCGCGTCCATGTGAAGAGACCACCAAACAGGCTTTGTGTGAGCAACAAGGCTGTTTATTTCACCTGGGTGCAGGCGAGCTGAGTCCGAAAAGAGTCAGCGAAGGGAGACAGGGGTGGGGCCGTTTTATAGGATTTAGGTAGGTAAAGGAAAATTACAGTCAAAGGGAGTTGTTCTCTGGCGGGCAGGGGTGGGGGTCACAAGGTGCTCAGTGGGGGAGCTTTTGAGCTAGGATGAGCCAGGAAAAGGAATTTCACAAGGTAATGTCATCAGTTAAGGCAGGAACAGGCCATTTTCACTTCTTTTGTGGTGGAATGTCATCAGTTAAGGCAGGAACCGGCCATCTGGATGTGTACATGCAGGTCACAGGGGATATGATGGCTTAGCTTTGGCTCAGAGACCTGACAGGGGCAATCTACCTAGCTCTGTTTGTAAAATGGGGATCCTAATATAACCTCTTGGGATAGGTTGTAAGCAGTGGTGGTCTGGTAAATGTTAACAATCTAGTGTGCAGTGTGGGGAGAGGAAAGTCCGGATTTGTAATATTTGCTGATTTCTGTGGTGTAAATACTCCCATCACTGGCAATTTTAAACTCCAATGTAACGTCACTGAGCACAGATTTGGGAAAAGGTGCATGGCAGTACCCCATCGCATACTATTTCCACCATCCAGATACAACGGTCTTAACCTCAAAACCATAGATAATATTAACATTTAAATAATTAGGAAGTAAGCTTTTGTTATTTATTACTTTTGCTTTTAATATAATTTTTTAATTGTAAGCTTACATAGTTTAATTTTTAATAAAGGCTGTGTTTAGCACCAGCTCACAAATACTCTAAAAATTTAACAATTGGCTCTTAAGAGTTGATACAAGCCGGCTGCTACATGCTATTGTTGTCTGGGATTTTTCCAGGAGAAAATACTTTGTAAATGACAAAGAACTCGGGATTATTACTGCATCCAAGACATCAAAATGGCAAATCTTATTGATTTGATTCTGTTTTGAAAATATTCAATAGAAATACTATTGTAATTTGTCTGATTAAAAGATAAATTATGTGATTTGGATTCTGTCTTACAAAATTGCTTTCCTTGAAATTTTATAAGGTAAAATCACTATATTATGAATGATCAAAATTTAATATGTGAAGTTTCAATGCACACTGTATTTTTAGGTTATATTATTTTGCAAAGTAAGAAATTCCCCCATGTATTTTTATGTGTGAATATAATGGATGTTTGTGTTAAGCACTTAGAAAAGTTTTTTGAGACATTCTCCCATTATGGCTGCAGGATTTGCTTAATGACGCTGATACGTGCCGGAAAAAGATGCAGGCCGCCTCCACTCTCATCGATGGGCTGAGTGGAGAAAAAATCCGGTGGACCCAGCAAAGTAAAGAATTCAAAGCTCAGATTAATAGGTGGGAATCTGGGTCTTCTTCATAATCACTCTTTCTTTGTGACATTAGAGAACATAAAGTCCATTTCCATGTGTTCATCTCTGAATCCCATCATCTATGACAGTGCTTGCAACTTAAATCATGCACTCTCAGGTGAAATACTATAGAGGGTGAAGAAGATTTTGTGAAATATTTTACATCTCAGCTGTGGTTCAGCACTGTGGGTTTTCAGTATGAGAGTGCTTTTGATATTGTTTGGATTTGCCAGAGCCGTCTCCACTCCAGTTCTCTATGCTTCACCTCAATGATTTTGAAAGTGTGGATCAATGGTTTGTTGTGGATCAATGGTTTGTTGTAAATGCAAGGCTGTCTTCTGCTGGTGTCTGTTGGTGTCCTTAGAAAACTTAAAAGAGAGGGGAATGAGAGAGGAGCAAGAAAATGGCAAAAAAATAAAAATAAAAATAAAAAAATAAAAAAATAAAAAGGGAGGGGAAAGAAAAAATGGTTTAACACAAGACTGAAATCTGAATAAGAGCAAGGGACAGGATGGGGGAAGATACTTTCCTCACAGTATCAAGGCTCACGACCTGTAGGCTTCAGGAGGAAGCCTTCTTTCTTGCTTCCTGACCACCCCACATGTGGCCACTCCTACCCACTTTTGGGTTTGGGGCTCCACTTTGCACGGTCTTTTTCCATGCCTGGCTACCAAGCATTAAGCAGGGGCAAAGAAGGATTTCACCCAGTAACAGAGCAAAACTGTGACCTCTCAAACAACTTAATGTCAGGTGACTCACTTTGGGGAGGGGGCTGTGTGTTTTCTTCACAGACTTGTAGGTGATATTCTGCTGTGCACGGGATTCCTTTCCTACCTTGGTCCTTTCAATCAGATATTTAGGAACTATTTGCTTAAAGATCAATGGGAAATGGAGTTGAGAGCACGGAAAATTCCTTTCACAGAAAACCTGAATCTTATTTCAATGTTGGTGGATCCTCCAACTGTAAGTTTTACTTTCCCAATGTTATTTGAATTTCAGTCTCATTTTATTTCTTACTTACTGAGAAACCCGGCTGGGTGTGGTGGCTCACATCTGTAATCCCAGCACTTTGGGAGGCTGAGGAGGGCAGATCATGAGGTCAGGAGTTCAAGACCAGCCTAACCAACATGGTGAAATCCCCATCTCTACTAAAAATACAAAAGTTAGCCGGGCATGATGGTGCATGCCTGTAATCCTAGCTACTCAGGAGGCTGAGGCAGGAGAATCGCTTCAACCAGGGAGGCAATGGTTCCGAGATCACGCCACTCCACTCCAGACTGGGCAACAAGAGAGAAACTCCATCCCCCCCCCAAAAAAAAGAAACCCAGGTTCATTGAATTTTTTCTTTAACTGGGAAGATTGTTTTGAAAGTGCTTAAGAGTTTTTTTAAAAATAATTTTCTTTATGGTATAAATGTTTCTTTGCGTTTTAAGTAATCTTGCTTCCAAATTAAGACCAATTGCATTGCTATGAACTGAAAGATCATTTGAGAGATATCAGCTTGCTAATACTGGGCCCTTCTTATAACTCTTCATTATTTACACCACTCCTGTGAAGTCATACTCTCTTTCAAACATTTTAGGCAAATGTAGGCATGATCTGTGCTGGTATTAACCTTATTTTCATTATTTGCTATCTTTTTTAGTGTCTAAAAACGTAACAGAATAGCATGTTCTGGTGACCCTAAGTAATAGCAAGTCCTTTCATACTAACCTTCCTTGCTGGGAATTCGATGCCACTGTCAATTTCCGGTATATCTTGCAGAGCTTCTGTTGTAATAAATGCTTTCCAGGCAATTTGTATTCATGAGTTGCTTTTCTGGTTTGCAAATCTGCTCTCCAGTTGCTGTTTCCTTAGGGGATGCCAAGCTATTAATTTCATATTATCTGTATTTAAAAGTTAAAAACTAATCTTTTCCAATTCGAACATTGTTGAATTCACCCTTACAGGGAATAGATTATGTCTTGGAGATGCACTGGGCACTGGTGAAGCAAAGTGGGCCAGAATATTCTTTATTAATTATGGCCTTTGGGGGTCCTGGGATAATTTAACAAAGGTGGAGGCTGGTTGGCTCATTGGATCTCTGATTATTTTATTTTATTTTATTTTATTTTATTTTATTTTATTTTATTTTATTTTATTTTATTTTTTTTAGAGACAAAGTCTTGCTCTGTAGCCCAGACGGAAGTGCAGTGCTGTGATCATGGCTCACAGCAGCCTCAAATTCCTGGGCTCAAGTGACCCTCCCAGACTCCCAAAATGCTGGGATTATAGGCATGAACCACTGCGCCTGGCCCGGTGATTTTATTGATCACATGGTGGGAGGCTGGCAATCCCCTCTAAATTTGGAGAAGGAAATATTCACAAAAGTGTCATTGATGAGCTCCGGCCAATATAATAACTCATCTAATTTATCTCCAGCTATGCAATCACCCATACACCATGTGGGCAGAACCAAAGGGCCGGAAGGGGAAGCTATCAGGGGCTAATTGCCTGGGACTTACCTTGTTCTCTGACATTTCATTATATTCACTATCTCCATTAACCCCAAATCAGGTTTAATATGCAATCAACTTGCTATGATTCCCCTAAGTATGAAAATACAATGCAAAAGGATAAACCTTGTCTTGGGTAATTAAAGAAGGGATTCATTAGATAATAAATTTGTTTTTTTTTAATGTGAATGTTATTTGGTTCACATTTACAAGTTTGCTTTTTTTCGAAGTACAAGTTGCATAGTCTCAAAGGAAAATAATGTCCACATTTTAAATTATTTTACTTTACAGTACTTTTAATTACTAATGAGGGCATTCCTGTTCTCCTTTGAATGGTGATATCCATTTCCTGTTGTTCAGATTGGTGAGTGGGGGCTACAGGGATTACCAGGAGATGATCTCTCAATTCAGAATGGCATTATTGTGACAAAGGCCACCAGATACCCACTCCTCATAGACCCACAAACTCAAGGCAAAACTTGGATTAAATCAAAGGAAAAAGAAAATGATTTACAGGTATGTAGCATTTGGTGCAGGGGAAAGTAATCTTGAAATCATGAAACTCTTTCAAAATTTTGATTGAATCTGCAGTCATAAAGTTGTCATCTCCATGACAAATGTTTGCTAATTCACACTCTTGAGTTTTGTAACAGCAATTTGGGGCAACAGCTCTGATTCTTTTCTCTCTTTTGTACTCTCTTTGGATCCTCCCTCCCCCTCTCTTTGTACATTTCCCTGACTCCATTGCTTTTGCTAATGTCGAATGTGGCTTTTGTTCCGGGCCTTGGGTTTGGGCCTATAGGAAAGTGGCAAATAGAACATTGTGATCCCTCAGTTCAAGACCATTCATGCCAACCTTGCTCAGGCTCTTGGTACTACGTAGCTTACTGAGTCCAGCTTTGGTGCTTGCATCTAATAAGGTGTTAATTTTAAGGTGAGAGTAGACAAGGGCAGGATTCCAACATTCCTGACTCCCTTAGGGATTCTGTTACTATTGATATTTTAATTCAACTACCAATGTGGGATATTCAGTGTTTCCTAGACACTGTTCCCAGTGCTCTAAACCCCCGTCCCCATGTTTTTGCTTATACTGTTTCTACTAACCAAAATGTCTTTCTCTACCTCCACTTATATCCTAGATAAAAATCTCAGATATTCTTCAAAGTCCACATCCACCACTACCTCCATCAAGACTTTTCTGTGTCCCCAGCTCAATATAACCTGTCCTGAATCCTCACAATGTCTTGTTTGCACTCATGTTGTGGACTTAGAATCTGACTTAAATTATTGTTCTTTGCACATTTATCTTTTATTTCTATTGTACCATGAACTCCTTTTTGGCCAAGTTTTATTCATCTTTACATGTTCTGCACTGCTCTTTTTGAGTAGGAATTCTGATATTTATTGAATTTAAGTGAATTAATCAAAGTGTGTCATCATTATAGAAAAAAAGAACCAGGAAAATAATGTGGTCATCTTGATGAATATGAAAAGAAGCACTTGGTAAAATTCAATGCTCATTCATGATCAAATTTCCAGCAAACTGGGAGAGATCTTCCTTAATTAGATAGTTTCTTTTTACAAAAAGCCATAACAAACATCCTATTTAGTGGTGAAATGTTGAAAGATTTCCTCCTGAGATCAGTGCTTCTCATCCAAGTGGATATAGCCCAGTGCTGGGAAGCACACCTAAATACCCCACCTCATCAATACTCCAGAACACGATACATCAGTCTATGTTTACTAAGAAAACCCAGGGAAATCCTAGAATGGACCAGGCAATGTAAATAGAAGAGAAGAGTTAAAAGAAATAGTGTCCATTTCCACGAAGCTTCTTAGGAGCCACATTTTCAGGGGTGCACAAATGTGGTATACCAGAACACTTCTGTTCTTAGTTTCTGCAGCCAGGTCAACTATAACTTGTCCCTGGCCCCATTCCCCTTGGCTCCCCTGGCTTTCAATCTCCCTGCTCATCTTATTCTTGGAACCTTGCCTGGACATCCTTAGCTCAATGCATGCTCCTGTATCACTTGGACATGAATGCTGCTATTTTTTCTGATCTTAGCTTTATCTCTCCATTTCTGGATTAAATTTACTGATAGTCTTCACTGAAGTCCTTTCTGATGCAACCCAGTCCCAGGAACCTTCTTGTGGAAGGAATAGAAATATGCCCGAAACTCTTCCTTATTTTAAAAACCATCCACTGCTGGGATGGAAATAGACTGAATTGTATTCTCCTTACTCAGACAACATTATTTTCTTATGTGGATAAGCACATGTACAAACACATGCAAATGAAAAACAAAGCATAGTTTTTATGCCCAGGGCTGTGGTCAACCTTGGCAGCTTTGCCAAGGCTACCTTCAATGCCATCTCCAGGACCTACAGCTCTGACTTGTGGAAAGAGGATGTATTTACCAAGTCTCCCTATCAGGAATTCACTGGTCACCTTGTAAAGACCCAATACCAGTCTTTGCGCAGGTGAACCAGGCTCTGGGGGTGGCTACCAAATAGTGTTTCACAAGAAAAATCCAGTGAAATAAACCTGAAATTGGGATTCCAAAATACTATTTCAAGTTTCTAAAAGACATTGAAGATGACTGAAGATAATTATCTCCTTACTTGGGAAAGATATCACAAAAATAGAATTTACCCCTTGAGAAATAAAGCAAGATATAAGCAAATTTAGTCTTACTGGTGCTTTTCTTCACCTTGTTTATTAAGTTCATTAAAGTTCTTTGTTTAGATTCTTTTTCCTTATTAACTTACAGGAAGGTCTTTACAGCACATTATTTGTATAAAGAAAGCTATTCATCCAGGGAAACAACTTCCTTCATGTGCAGAATTTTTTTTTAGTTATTTCCTTTTTAATCAAAACAGGACAAAAGTAGGCTGATTTAATTGTTATATTTCATATCTTCTTTTTATCATAGTAATTGAGAGATACATATTTAATTCCATTCTCCTAATCGCCTGTTGTCCCAGTGGATTCTTCCTTGCATCTTATGGTCTGCACCCACAATAGCCTAAGGCATTAGTTGAATTCAGAAGATAGGATACAAAAAGTTGAGAAATGAGCCTTTGGGAATCTTCACAGTTAGGCAGGGGGAGGGATCCTAGGTGAAGTAAGGGTTCAAATCCAATTGGCTCATGCAGAGATGAACCACTACAGTGTGTCTATTTTAACTAATAACAAACGCATTAATCTAAACACGAAGACCCAACCAGGAATTCAGAATTGCAGTTTTAAAAAAATGTAAGCATATATAAAGTGAATGTCTAGTCTTTTAGGTTGACTTTACGGAAAGTGTTAAATTCTTCCCAGTGCCAATAGGAGACAGAATACATGGATAGACCCTCAGTGCGACTCAATATATCATTTCTGACATTCTTATGTTTACTTTTTATCACTTACTCATCTTGTAGGGGTCCTGAGAAAATAAATGAATATCCAGATATGCAAGTTGCTTTGCTTTCTCTGAGCGATTATAGCTATGTAAGTTTGAAAGGATTAATCCTTGACTATTCTCTTCCATCTGTCAGGAGCAGAACTCTGACATTGCATCTGAGCAATGCCCCTTAACCCTCCTCTTTTGATCATAGAGACCCCATTACACATCTAGACCCCATTCAACAAAATCATGACTCACCAAGTTTTAGAAATTAATTTTTGTATGTTACTTTAATTTTTTTAAGTAAGTCTTCTTCTATTGCCCTTAAAATTCTTGATTACCTGTCCAACAAATCTCTCGGTTTCCCTTAGCAATGGGCACATTCTTTGTAACACAGATAGACCAATGAGTTCTTTCTGTTTAGGTGACATCTCTGAACCATAAATATTTTCGCACACACTTGGAGGACAGCCTTTCCTTGGGCCGACCCCTTCTCATTGAGGACATTCATGAAGAGCTGGATCCAGCCTTGGATAATGTATTAGAAAAGAATTTTATTAAATCTGGCACCACTTTCAAGGTGAGCTTTGTAAAAAAAAAAAAAAAGAAAGAAAGAAAGAAAAGAAAAAGAAAAAAAGAAAAAAATTAAGAAAGAGAAAGAAAGAAAAGAACAATGGTGACATCTACTTATCTTATTGAGCATAGCAGCAAATGCAATTTCCTTTAGGCAGTAGTATTTGGTACGTCGGAAATAAACTATTTCCAGACTGATACTTCAGTGTTTCCTTTTATTTTTTATAGCGTATAAAAGTTTCTGAGGTGGGGGCAATATTTTGATAAGAGTAGTCGTTTAGCTAAAACTAAGTAACATTAAGGAAACACATTGTCTGGTCTTAATATGTTAGTGCAACACACAGTATATATATGTTTAAGCAACTCTAGATATTGGTTTTGCAAGCCTTATATATATACATTTTTACAAAATAACCCGGATTTCTTCCCTGGAGAAAATGACATTTTAATAAAGTCATTGATTTGGTAAAGTCATTGATTTAATAAAGTCATTTTAATAAACACATTGATTTGGTCATTTATCTCTTTATTTTCAGTCTAAACTCATTGACTTTGTTGGAAGCTATGGAATATTGTTCTCAATTGTTGGTGATGAATTATTTTCAATTTGTATAAGTGTTTCATGTTTAATTTGTGTCATTCTCTACCTTTAGGCTTCTTAAGTTTTATAACAGCATTTCTGATTGGGTGTTTATTACTTTGGACAACTTAATTTCATGAGTATCAGTGAATAAGTAAAAATGAATATTTTCTCATTAAATAAAGACAGATTTATTCAGAAAAATTTTCTTCATAATGTGAAAATCTTTTATATGCCGCATTTTAAAAAATTCATTCAGCAAAGGTTTATGGAGCATCCAATATATACTTAAGCCTTTATGAGTTTATAGGGAGAAAAATAAATAAAACGCAGTTAGTGTTCTGAAGGTTAGCATCATTCTATAAGATTAGAGGGTAGAATTTCTCTTTTTCATAAAAAGAAGCTAAGAACAAAATTTTGGTGACTGGCTTGGATATTATGGACTCATCCACAATTTTGAACTGCATTTAAAAAGGTTTAATCCACAGGTAAAGATCGTATATATTTAAACTGTACAATGTGATGATTTGGTATACATATACGTTGTATAATGATTACCACAATCAAATTAATTAACACATCCATCACCACACATGCTGTACCTTAGATACCTGAAACTTGTTCATCTTATCACTGAAAGTTTGTACCCTTTGACCAACATCTCCCCATTTCTCCCATCCCCTATCTTGCTGGCAACCACTGTTCTATTCTCTGCTTCTATGAGTTTGACTTTTTTAGATTTCACATGTGAGATCATACAGTGTTTATCTGTGTCTGGCTTATCTTATATGACATATTTAATATGCCAAAGGAGGTTATAGAATCTCTATTCCCGAAGGTCTTTTAAAAGATCCTAGATTTTTATCTGCAATGTGAAGGCATAATGCCTTAGAATGTGATGGTGGCCTTAGTGATGTTTTCGGTCACGGGCAGAATTAAGATTAACCAGAGATTTAAGTCATTTAAAAATTCTATGATTGCCACCTGATTTTTAGATAGCAAAAACCAATTGTTTTTTCAACATGCTGCAAATAGTAGTGTTGAAGATAAATGTTACCTTTTTGAAAAAAGTTGGCGTTTTTCCTTTGAAAATTACATTAACTTTTTCTGTTGTCAAATATGCTTCAGATATACCTATGAAATTCAAAAAACAAAATTTCCTATAAACACATCAAATTTCCACAGTAGGAAACAATTTTCTTAACTGGAGAAAAAATAGCGGCTCCTGTACTACAAACAATTGATGGGAGTGATAAGTACTTGCTAAAATGTTAAAGTCAAATCTTAGATATGTCTAAGTTTTCCTTTATTCACCGTTTGTTTTGGATAACTTTTTCATTTGATTTGCTTGGTATCATTGCTAAAAACATCACCAGGCAGGACTACAATTCTAAATTATTCTAAATTGAATAGGCTTTATTATTTAAGATCAGTGATTAAAATTTTGTAACTTTCCTTCCCAATTTATTGAAGCGTCACAGCACTGACAGGTAAATTCTTTTCTAAATTGAACCCAAGTTCCTTTCCCTGCCCTTTAAGCTGTTTTTAATTTTATATGTGAATTTATGTAGGTGAAAGTCGGTGATAAGGAATGTGATATCATGGATACATTTAAACTTTACATTACTACGAAGTTACCAAATCCTGCCTTTACCCCAGAGATTAATGCTAAAACGTCAGTCATTGATTTCACTGTTACAATGAAAGGACTTGAGAATCAGTTACTAAGGAGAGTCATTCTAACAGAGAAACAGGTAATCTCTCTCTCAAGGTAAAGAATTTCTGCTTATAATACATGCTTAAAATGTATTGAGAAATTGCTAAGTATGTGAAAAAGAAAAAAAAATTTAAAAACCATATTTATCCTTGTTAACATAAGTATTTCTTTTGCAGCCTTAATTCCTGTCAAGAAATCATGTAACTCATCTTCTCATCCAGCCTGAAACACACACACACACACACACACACACACACACACCCGTCTCTTTCTACTTCTGTCTTTAAACTTCTAGGTGTACTGACTCTCTTATGTATAGTCCTTGTCTTGGGGACACCTGAAAACATCAATAAAACAATGATTGAGAGAAAAAGAAATTCCTCTGAATGGCTCTTCTTTCCACTGTAGTAGTTTCAACTACTACAGTCCAATAATCTAATGATATAGGGAGCCATACCTTTATTTTTAATTAAATTTTCCTGCACTAAAGCAGGGAAATTATGTCTAACTGAGGGTTCTAATAAAACAAAGAACAACTTAGGACTGGAAGATTTTAAGAGACTGATACAAGATTAAACTAATTTTTAAGTTGAAGCTCAGAAAACATTGTTTTATGCATAAAATATAATTGCATAAAATATTTTATGTATCTGCATTATAAAGTACATTTGCATAAAATATGATAAAGTAATTAATTTTAGAATTAAAGATTCAAGACAAAGGCAAGGTTAGAAATAATAAGAGCAGCAAGGCATGAAGTGGATGGGTGAGAAAAAGAATGACAAGGGAGGAAAACAGACAGAGGAGGGAAAAGAGGAGATGTGAATCCAGGGTCCCAAACACAGGAGAGACATCCAAGAAGGGAGAGGGAAATGACACAGACACCAAAGAAGTAGACTCAGTGAAAGGCAACATCCTACCTGGCTCATAGACAGTTACCACAGGCACAGGCCCTTGAAAGGTGGCTGGTCTGGTGGAGTGAAAAGGGCACAGTCTCAGCTTTGACTCTCTTAGTTGTTTGATCTTGGTTTCCAACAAACCTGGGGCTTATGCAGTCCAGGAAGGGATCCCGTTCCTCTTCCACAGCCAGGCGGAGATGGCCCTGGCCCGGCAATTCACTGTTTCCATCGCCTCTCAGGATCACATGCTGTTAACTGTTGACAGTTAGTCCCTTGTGGTCTAATTGGTGCTGTGGGTTTATTTTGAGATGATTCCTCGCTGGTCTAGATCCCCCATGCAGGCTGCACTAACCTCCAGAAGTCAAGCAACTCCACTGTCTAAAGGTCCCCAGGGCTCCCCACACCCACTCTTCTTATTCCCTAGCTTCCTCTTCAAGAGATGTGCTAAGATGCTCATAGCAACCTTGCTGGAGAAAAAAATGCACATTTAATATGCAGGAGGGTATTCTAAACATTATATTTAACCCTCCTAACAATCCTACTATTATACCCATATTTTTACAGATGAGCAAATGGAGACCAAAGAAAATAAGGGTCTCGGTCTGTAACAGCACATGGACTTTGCAGCCTGCCAAGCCTCCTAGATAAGGTTTACAGGTCCTGCTATGAAGTTTAGCAAGAGTCCACTGTGCTATGATATCTGTTTTTCCATATCCAGAAAAGGAAGCTAATATGATTTCATTTTGTCCATGTATTCCTATACTGCCACCCAGGGGTGACCATTTTAATGAAAATGACTAACTGGTTATTTCCCTGCAAATACAGCAATGCTCTTTATCGCCCCATCAACTCCTGCCACCCTGTAAGTACAATGGCAATAACACTAGTCTTGGAGTTGGAGGACAAGGGTATTAGGCTGTTTTAACACACAGCTAGTTACTGGCAGAGACCGGCCTAATACCCTTGTTATTCAGAGTTCATATTTCTGGGTCCTTGGCTTTTCCAAATGTAAAATAAAGAAATTGGACTAAATTCAGCACATTTCAGTTTGACAAATATTTATTGGGTTGAGTTTCTTCTTTACAAAGCCACAAGATAAGTACTGTCAATAATACAAAAATGAATAGGAAAGCTTATGTATCTGTTTTCTAGATGCATAAACCGTAGTTGGAGGGAAATAATCTACTGATAGATTGTGATACAAACTATATTAGAGGCCAGGCGTGGTGGCTCACCCCTGTATTCCTAGCACTTTGGAAGGTTGAGGCAGGTGGATTACCTGAGGTCAAGAGTTTGAGACCAGCCTGGCCAACACGGTGAAACCCCGTCTCTACTAAAAATACAAAAATTAGCCAGGCGTGGTGGTGCACGCCTGTAGTCCCAGCTACTCGGGAGTCTGAGGCAGGAGAATTGCTTGAACCTGGGCGGCAGAGGTTGCAGTGAGCCGAGATCACACCACTGTATCCTAGCCTGGGTGTCAGAGGGAGACTCCATCTCAAAAAAACAAAACAAAACAAAACAAAAAACACGCACAGAAAAAAATCACAAAAAAACAAAAAACAAAACAAACTACATTAGATGTACAGATGAAGGCTGTGCCATGGCTTTTGATTGACTGGTTCAGGAAGACTTTTTGAAAATGATGAAATTTCTGAAGCAATTTTCCCAGAAACCTTCCCAAATAAGTTTTAAAACACCTTCTTTTAACGTAATTCTAAGTGCAGCATGTGATTCTGTATAAAATCAGAAGAAAAATGTTGTAAGGAATATTATTGAGATTATTGAGATTTCAATGTAGACTCTGTGTTTAGTGAGAGTATCAGTGATACTGACACATCAGTATCAGTGTTAAATTTCCTGAATTTGAATATTGGGCTACACTTATGTAAAAGAATGACCTGGTTCTTCAGAGATTTGCTAAAGTGTTTAGGGGTAAAAGGACATGACATCCACGAGTGATTCAGCAGTAATAATAATGATAACAACAATAACAATAATGACAACATTATGTATTCTATAGAGATATAGTGATAAAGCAAAATGTGATTTGGTGAATCTAAGTGAAGGCTATATGAAAGTTCCTTGTATTAGGCTTGCAACTTTTTGAATGCTTGAAATTTTTTCAAAATATAATTTTAAAAATATATCATTTTATGTAAGAAGAAAAAAACTCCTGTAAACATTCAAGTTTGCCCTCTGTAGAAGGAGATACAAATAAAATGGAAAATGGGTTTGTATTGGCAATCGGCTGTGCCAAACCAGGTACCTGGTGCTCCCATAGGAACCAGGCCAAGAGCTCACATTTAATCTGGGTAGCCCCTTGGTTTCTTGGTATTATTGCCTTTTTGTTTCTACTTGTTCTGACTGCAAATAAAGATAGCATTTCTTACAGAAGCAGTGTGGGAACAGGGCCAAGAGAATGGGACATGCTATTTATAAACTTAAAGCTGGCAAGAGAGCTTGGGGTAATTGGGCAAAATTATTTAGCAGAATTGTCTGGTGCCTGCCAGTATAAGTGCTGTGGAACCTTAATGACAGTAGGCATAATTTTAAAAAAATTTCCACAGAAACAAAAATATGGATAGATAGATTTGGCTAATGATAGTAATTTCTTCTGCCATTCAAAAGGTACTTTGCTTTAAACTTTTAAAATTGTTAATAAACACTAGTGAGTTGGGTTTACTGTAATAACTGGTAATTATAGTTCCAATGTTATTTTTTGTTTTTTAATGACAGGAGTTAGAGGCTGAGAGGGTTAAACTTTTGGAGGATGTTACTTTTAATAAGCGGAAGATGAAAGAACTTGAAGATAACCTCCTCTATAAATTAAGTGCTACAAAAGGTATTGTGTTATTAAGAAGTAATGAAATAACGGATTCTGAATAAGGATTTCATTTACACTCTTTTCAATGCCCTCATGACTATAGATGTTAGGAAATACTCATGTTATCAATGCAAAAACAAGCAAGGCAATTTCCATCTAGACATTAAAGAGGGACGGCAGAGAATCTGATTTTTGAATTAGCAAATAGAGACTGAGCATCTGAGAATAACACAATTTTCTTGATATAATTGCTTTCTCCTGAGAAAAATTAGGGCTCCTGATAGAGCTAGATAACTCATTATAGGTTAATTTGCTTGCCCCAAAGAAACTAATGTGCTCAATCTATTTTTTTTTTTTTTTTGAGACAGAGTCTTGCTCTGTCTCCCAAGCCAGACGTGGTGGCTCATGCTTCTAATCCCAGCACTTTGGGAGACCAAGGCGGGTGGATCACCTGAGGTCAGGAGTTTGAGAACAGCCTGGCCAACATGGTGAAACTCAATCTATTTTTTTTCAAATTGACTCTTTCATTTGGCATTGAAATGCAGTTATTGCAACGGGTTATGACACATGTAATCCATGTCAGAAGAGCTTGGGTACCAAAGGCCCAGCTTACCCTCTACTTGGCTTGACCTCCCACTTTAGATGGGAAAGACAGGTTCTCCTCTGGGCAGCCAAATCATCATGCCACACCTCAATTTGAGGATGTACTCTCTCTGCAATATATAAAAAGAAAATTTTATCCAAAGAAAATAAAATCAACAAACATATTGTTCTGTAGCAGACAAATCACAGAAACCTGAATTCTACTACCTTATTAGAAGTGAATGAATACTTCACAACTGCACCTTAATCCCGGGATGTTATTTAAACAAGTCTGACCTTCCAGAAGTACTGTACCTTTATGGTGAGCTTAGTGAAAAGTCCTTTTATCTGCCTACTCGCACTGCTCCCGCTAGTGAAGTTGTCTGTTTCTTGGTCCAGTGACTCCTCCCAGCCATTTGGGATACCCCTGGGCATTAAAAATATAGCAAGCAGAGCTGAGGGCTGCTCCCCTAGTCTAGCCAAGAGTGTGCTGGATCAAGACCTCTCTCCTTGAGGTTAATCCCAATTTGGACTTCCACAGTAGACAGCATACCCGTTGGAGTAACACAGCCCTTCCTGCAGCACTTGTCTGCCATCCCGAACTCTAGGGTAGGCCAGAGTGCTGCTGTTCGCAGATATGGGAACTGTTCGCAGATATGGGGACTGTTAGCTCAGTACATCCAAGGTGTCTTTCCTTAGATTTTAATTAAAAACCAAATTCATTGTCATAAACATGCACTATTTCCATTAAAAACAATAATAAAAAAAAAGGATGAGTTCATGTCCTTTGCAGGGACATGGATGAAACTGGAAACCATCATTCTCAGCAAAGTAATATCAGAATAGAAAACCAAACACCGCATGTTCTCACTCATAAGTGGGAGTTGAACAATAAGAACACATGGACACAGGGAGGGGAACATCACACACTGGGGCCTGTCGGTGGGTAGGGGTCTGGGGGGAGGGATAGCGTTAGGAGAAATACCTAATGTAAATGACAAGTTGATGGGTGCAGCAAACAAACATGGCCCATGTATACCTATGTAACAAACCTGCACGTTCTGCATGTGTACCCCAGAACTTAAAGTATAATAAAAAAAAAAATAATGAAAGGCAAAACTAAAAATAAAATTCAAGTTTCTCTTCCTGGTGAGACATTTTCACTATACCCAATTTGCTCTTGTTAGAGACAGAGGGATTAGAGTTTTCTATAGCAACGACTGTTCTACTAAAGCAGTGTGAGGAGTGTACCATTCAACTATCAGCATGACAGTCAGCCCATGTGTGAAGTGTTCAGGTTAGCTACACCCTGAGACAAGCAGCGTGGACAAGCTGTGACACTTTGAGGAGAGCCACCAAGATGACAGTGGGTGTGAAGCCTATCACATGGGGAACAGCAAAGAGCACTGGAGACATGATCATTGTCTTGAGACATGTGAAGACCCAATCAAATGGGTCTTTTGCTTTTTGCAGATGTTTAGGCAGAGCAGGGGATAGTCTGTCAGCAGGAATGTTCAGAAGGCTTCAGGTATTGGGTGGTAGTTGGACTAGAAGCTTTTTGGTGTCTTAAGATTCTACTGTACCAGTAGTCTTCCTGACTTTGGAGACATCAAGTTGAAAGCTAACAGCGTTTTTTTTTTTTCAGAAGAGATGTATCTTGCTTTGCAAGTTTCCCGTCTTGTGTACTACGGTTTTCCTGTTTTGAATTTCAGGCTCATTGGTAGATGACGAATCTCTCATTGGTGTACTTCGAACTACCAAGCAGACAGCAGCTGAGGTAAGTGAAAAGTTGCATGTGGCTGCAGAAACTGAGATCAAGATCAACGCGGCTCAGGAGGAGTTCCGGCCCGCAGCCACCCGCGGAAGCATCCTCTACTTCCTCATCACAGAGATGAGCATGGTCAACATCATGTATCAGACGTCATTGGCCCAGTTCTTGAAGTTATTTGACCAGTCCATGGCCAGGTGAGTCCTCACTACCTTCATCCAAAAGTGGTGACTTAAAAGTTTGCTTGTATTTCTACTCTTTTAGAAATTGCTTTTTCACTATTCACAATAGCAAAGACATGGAATCAACCTAAATGCCCATCAACAGTAGAGTGGATAAAGAAAAGGTGGTACATATACAACGGGGAATACTATGCAGCCATAAAAAAGAATGAACTCATGTCCTTTGCAGAAACATGGATGAAGCTGGAGGCCATTATCCTTAGCAAACTAACACAGGAACGGAAAACCAAATACCGCATAGTCTCATTTATAAGTAGGAACTAAATGATGATACCACATGGACACATAGAGGAGAACAACAGACACTGTGACCTGTCAGAGAGTGGAGGGTGGGAGGAGGGAGAGGATCAAGAAAAATAACTAATGGGTACTAGGCTTAATACCTGGGTGATGAATTAATCTGTGCAACAAACCACCATGACATAGGTTTACCGACGTACAAACCTTCATGTGTACCCCTGAACTTGAAAGTTTTTTAAAAAAAGAAATTGCCCTTTGCTTCTTTGATTCTTAAAATGTGTTTCAGATCTGAAAAGTCACCACTACCTCAAAAGAGAATTACAAATATTATCGAGTACCTGACATATGAAGTTTTTACATACTCTGTCAGAGGCCTATACGAAAACCACAAATTCCTGTTTGTACTCCTCATGACCTTAAAGATTGACCTTCAGAGAGGGACAGTTAAGCACAGAGAGTTTCAAGCTCTCATTAAAGGTAAAGTGTGTGGGATACAGATGTGGTGTGTGGAGGATGTTGCTTTTGATATGCTCTTTGATATACCATAAACCCATTTCTGTGATACAGTAGGGAAATGATGTTCTAACGAAAGTTTAATTAAGTTTTATTTTTAATACCTTTTTTCTGTTTTTCATTCGTTTTGCCCTAGTTACTTAAGATTCAGGCCTGTGCCAACTCACCTGAATATTGGTATTATTGTAGTTATTGATATAACTACATTCAGTTTATTCACTGCTGCCCATGCCAGGAAAAGTGATACTGGTGATGGCTTTCTTTAGCAGGACAGCCATTCCCTCAGCAAGGGAGTATAATGATTTTTCAGACTGCAAGAAAAGGCTCACTTATGTTTCATATTTGAAGTTAATCCTATTCATTGCATATCTCCATGTTAAAGGTATAATTAAGGAGACAAAAGAATGGAATTTTCATTTCAGTTTAGTTACACGAGTATTTACTGAGCACATGTTATGTAAACCCACCACGCTAGCTTTGGGGATGTAAGAATAAACCAGATATTGCTTGAAAAGAAATAATAACCTCAGAATGGGGATAAAGATAATTTAAAAATAACTCCAAAGTAAGGCAGAATCACCTAAGTGCTATAAGAGAGCTAAGAAACAAGTGTTGAGTCTAAAAGGAGGGAAAGATTACATGTGGTTGGTGAAATCAAAAAGTTTCTTAGAAAATATACCTTTGTGGGTTAAGCCATGAATTGGGGAACTATTTGGTACGTGGCAAAATGTTTCAATCTTTTTCTTGTGTTTTTGGCTCTTTATGTATGATTTAACCAATTATTTTCTGGCTCCCCACACCCCATAAAGAAAGTGGCATTTGAGGTGGACCCTGAAGAGGTAGAAATGAGGAAAACATTCCATGCTGAAATGGAACAGCATGAGAAAGGGAACGAGTGGAGAACATCTAAGTTGTAAGAATCAGTCTGGTTTTGTTGAAATGAAAGGTGGATATGGAGGCATACTGAGAAATAGAGCTGGACATGTAAACTGGTGACATACTGTGGAGAGCCTGGGTTCCTGTAGGAAGGATTTTCTTGATCTGGGAAGAAACAGGGAGTTGTGTAAGGTGGTGACGTGATTGATCATTATGGTCATTTAGGGAGGTGAACTTGGCACACGTGTAAGGATCAAAGAAAAGAGGTTCAAGGGAGTCTCTTTCAATCTTCCCAACTGCAGGAATACATTCCTAACCTAGCGTAAAGGCAATGGGAATATACAGGGAGATAAGGGTGTAGAGATTAAGGAAGTAAAATGGCAAAACCGATGCATACAAGAGCCAAGAGAGCATGCAGAAATGAGTCTATGATTTCTGGCCTATGCAGAGATTTCTGGTCTGGTGGTTGGAAGAGGAGTTGGTTTGAGGAGGGTTGGAGTGGGGGATTGCTGGATGTGATTTTAGGACCTGTTTAGTCAGAATCAGAATAGGCCAGGTTTTGCTGCCATAAAAACAATCTCAAAATTTCAGTGACTTAACACAACCAAGGTGTACTTCTCATTCATGTTACCTCTCCAACGTGCTGTTATAGTCACTCAGAAATCCACATTGCTTCCATAACTACTATGGCAGAGGGGCAAGGATGTGGCAGACTGTGCACTGGCTCTTAAAAGTTACCCCACAAGTGACACATGTCACTTACGCTCCTATTTCCTTAGCCAAAGCCAGACACACAGCCACATCTCACTTCAAAAAGAGCAGGGAAATGCAGTTCCCCGTGTGTTTGAAAGGCGGGGAAACAGTTTGTGACCAGCTCTTATGACTACAGACGTGAAATTTGAGCTATCCAGAAAACAATTAGAAAAGATAACCTAGGCCGGGCGCGGTGGCTAATGCCTGTAATCCCAGCACTTTGGGAGGCTGAGGCAGGCGGATCACAAGGTCAGGAGATCGAGACCATCCTGGTCACCGGTTTAGGTGAAACCCTGTCTCTACTAAAAATACAAAAATTAGCTGGGCGTGGTGGCACGTGTCTGTAGTCCCAGCTACTCGGGAAGCTGAAGCAGGAGAATCACTTGAACCAGGGAGTCGGAGGTTGCAGTGAGCAGAGATCATGCCACTGCACTCCAGCCTGGTGACAGAGTGAGACTCTGTCTCAGAAAAAAAAAAAAGGAATCTAGACAGTCCAAGAGAAGAGTCAGGCAGTTACAAAGATGGGGTACAGAAATAACAGCCAAAGCCATGGGAATGAAAGCTAATCTAGGGAAAAAATGTGGAGTATTTCTAACCCACAAGGTGATAGGACCTGCTATACTTTTGTCCTCTGCAGCCTATTTATAATAAACGGGCAGTCACCGATAACTTCTTACTCTTTCTCTACTTCATTTAATTCCTTCCTCAGATTCAGGTTAGATTACCACTGTGGAAACTTCGCAAACTATTTTGCATCATCTCTGAAATCTCTTCTTTGTGCCTTTTTCATGAACACAGGTTTTATTTCTGGTAGTTCCAAGGAAGTTGAAATGTATCATGTGGTTCATATTTTTTTCACAGGTCTAATGCACTTATGGAAGTTGGTTTTTTAAGGCAGTGTGGTGTGGTACAATGAACACTATCTAGGGTGGGGAGGAGGCACTGCAGAGAGTGTCAAGATGTATGAGGTTTTGGTCTTGGGGATGCTTAAGTAAAGTAAGTGAATTTACCCAATCTGGAAACCTATTTTACCTCATTTCAAAAATCTTTAAGCCCTCACTTGGACTTGGGCTGCAGCCCTGGTATTGTATGATGCTGAGCAGGGGGGTAGGGGGCATTGAAGCGTGCTGAAATCCAGGCAGCAGTGGCAGCAAAATGACCCCCACAATCTGGGGAAGCCTCATATCTATGCACCATGGTCTGAATGTTTGTGTCCCCTCAAACTTCATCTGTTGAAATCTTACCCCACCCCCTCCAAGGTGATGGTATTAGCATGTGAGGCCTTTGGAAGGTGATTAGGTCATGAGGGTAGAGCTCTCGTGAATGGGGTTAGTGCCTTTATGAAAGAGGCCTGAGGGAGCTCACTCCCCCTCCCACCATGTCAGGACACCATGAAAGGAGCCATCTATGCACCAGGAAATGGGCCCTCACCAGACGTTGAATTCATCAGGGTCTTGATCTTGGACTCCCCAGCCTCCAGAGCTGTGAGAAATAAAAATTTCTGTTGTTTCTAAGCCACCCAGCGTATGGTATTTGGTGATAGTGGCTGAATGGACAAAGATACCGTGCAATACGAGTGGAGGAGAAGTATACTTTTGAATCTTTCCTTACTGGTGAGCTGGCTTTGCTTCCTCAATGCCATCTGCTAATATGACCCCTGAGAAGGAGGCACATATGACATAGAAAGGAAGAAGTGGGAAACCTGGTGCCTGGGTCCACAGTGGATGGTGGGAAGGAAAAAGGAGGTCAGAGGTAGAAAGAGGAGGTCAGGTGCAAAGATCCTCATCTCTTCCTTGCCTCCTGAGGGAGCTGAGAAGGGGAGAGTGCCGGAGAAACTCCCAGATAGGAGATGCCCCTGCATTCTGCCCAGTGTCACACCCACCATGGAAGCAGGGGAATGGCTGGATGGGTGAGCCTGAGGTTTGGCTGGCACACAGCAGAGACTAGAGGTCAAACCAAAAAGCTGTCAAGAAAGAGAACTTTGTACCTGCAGACAAAGGACCAATGCCAGGAGCTGGGGCAGTGGATTGCAGTCCAGGGCCCCAACAGATAGCATTTGTCGTAGCTCATAGGATACAGTACAGGGACCTAGCCTGCACCTGAGGTGTGGGAAGCCTGGAGGGCAGCCTGCATACCTGAGGCATGCTCGATACTAAGACATAGTCCCACCCCGTCTCACCTCTCCCACCTACCAACCAGGCAGACCAGAGCTACTACCTGAAAGAGACTGGGTTATTTGAAAGAGGGTGGGTAAACCAGAGGAGACTGAGAAACACGGCAACACAGTGGGGAGGGAATTCATCAGGGAGGATTAGATTTGTTACAGAAAAATAAAGAAGGCTGAACACATGGGTTGTGGTGTGAGCACATTTGTGACCCCATTTCATGAAATTGGAGTCAGGGAGAACTATACTGTATAGGGCCAGGAGAGTCAGTGAGAGGAGTTTGGATTTAATTTAGTTGGCAATAGGGAGCCATCGAATGTTTTATGAGCAGGGATGTGGCATGAACAGAACAGTGCTTTAAGAAGATTAATTTGGGATTTTATGATAGGTTGATTGACAGCAGTACAATTGGCTTAGCAATAAAGGAGTTTTTCTTTTTAAACAAAACATAACATTTGTTTTAGTTTTGAACTGGCTTACATTTTGACTGAATTATCTTTAAAAGATGGTATGACTTTGTTTTTAATGTTTCTTTACAAAGTTAACAAATATGATCCTTAGATCACAGATACTTTTAAAAAATCATTTTGAACTCAATACTTAAGGGGGAGAGTGGAAGAGTTATTTATCCTAGCAGAAATGTTTGATTTCCCAAGAGTGACAGGTTTTTTTTGTTTGTTTCAATTACTACTTGCTTTCTGCAATATTTGCAAGGTGCCTTTGACTTTCTTCTTCAACCAAAAATGTCAGAACACTTTGAAAAATGAAATGGATACCAGGCGCAATCCTGCATTATAGAGCAATGGACTTATCTTTCTTCCCTGTCTGGTTATTTTAGAAAGATATTATCTTTCTTTTGTCATAGACTCTGTACAAAAAGACACCTTAGGGGGTCTTTTCTTGCCTTCCAAACTGGACTGAACCTGGGCCTTCCAAGCGGGGAAAGAAAAAGAGAGAGAGAAAGAATGTCAGAACAAGAGCTAATGATTACATAGCTCTTATTATTATTCTATACTGTTCTAGGTACATTAATGTATTTAACCTTCACAGCAGCCAATCTGGTAGATTCTATCAGACATCCACTTGGCAGATGAGGAAACTGAGAGGGATTCATGTTTTTTTGTTCAAGTTTATGCAGCTAACAAGCGGCAGAGCCAGGATATTTTGGGGGAATAGGAAGGGCTGTCATTGTTCTGGGTTAGTTTAGGAAACACAAAGGTAGCTTAGATTTCTTCTCCTGGTGTCTCTAAAGCTCAGGATTACATGAAAACATTTCTTTGGAAACAACCAAGAAGAAAAGGGGTGAGTTTGTCTCTGTGCCAGGCCTGCAGGTGGCTCTCTCTAGTGGCTGCTTCTCGCACCAGTGACTCCTACATTAGCAATACTGTTGCTCCAGTGAGACCTGCTCTGTCTCCAGGTTGCAGAGGGGCCGACAGTAAGAAGAAGGTTTACACATTGTTCTAAAGGTGTTGTTGCACTCAGAGCCACAGATTCCCAAGTCCCCTGTGGTGAAGCAAATGGGTTTACATGAAAAAAGTACTTTCGTTCATACAGCTACTCAGGACGATGCTAGATGGGGAGAGCAAAGACCTGTAGTTCCCCCAAGCCCCTTTTTGGTCCATGAGTTGATTTGTGAACTGGAAGGAATGATGAGTTCTTAAGGAAGATGATAAGATTTAAAAGTTAAAGAATCACTGCTTTGCATGCATCTGAATTAAACAACAGTGGAGCTGGAATTATTATGATACATTACTAAAGACATGCAATAGAGGAATTTTTAAATTGTAAATATCATCATGTATTTCATTGGAAAATGCTGGGTATGCCCATTTGGCCTGAGATATGCTTCAGAATATGATCAATGCTGTAACTCATTCTCCACTGGACTCAAGCTCTGTAAAAGCAAGGGCCTGGTTGGGTTTTCTGTGCTATATCCCCCAGTGTCTGGAACATGTCAAACACCTGGAGGGCGCTCAATAAATATTTGTTCAATCAATGAATGGATAAATGATTTAAATATTACTCATCCACTAAAAAACCCATAGATCTATTATATCATTTCCTCCTTCACTTCCTTCTTTATTCCCCCCCTCTTTTTATCCCTGGCCTATGTTTCTCCCACCCTCCTTCCTTAACCCTAACCCCAACCTTAACCCTAACCCTAACCCTAACCCTAACCCTAACCCTAACCTTAACCCCAACCCTAACCCATCCATGTCTTTATCTATCTGTTTGACCTGGTAACAAGTAGTTTTTAATGGCAAGCTTCTGGAGGAGTAATGACTAAGAAGTGATATTTAAAATCCACACATGGAAAGATCAACATATTCATTGATATCAAAATTATAAGTTTTAGGTTGTTAAAAAATAAAAAGCAAACAAATATAATCACTTGAGAAAAATTCTTTGCAGGGAAAAATGACAGAGTTGTTATTTATACCTTATAAGATGGTATAAATCAGTAAATAAAACACTAAGACTTGAAGGAAATGTACCAAAAAACCCTCACATTTTCTGTAATATTATTATTTTCCAATTTTCCTATATTTTCAGTAATGTGGCTATTTTGCTTTTATTATTTGAAAAGTACATTTCTAGAAGTGAAGTACAGGCTTACCCAATTCACCCTGTCTGACGCTCTTCCCCAGGGGGAGCAGCTCTGGACCTGAAAGCCTGTCCTCCCAAACCCTATCGCTGGATCCTTGACATGACTTGGCTGAATCTTGTGGAGCTGAGTAAACTTCCACAATTTGCAGAAATTATGAACCAGGTAATACAATAAAGGGCTGGTTGAAAGTGCAGATCTGCAAACCCAAACATACCTGGGCCGCTTAAACTGGGGCTTCCTGGCAGCAATTCCTTCACCCAAAAAAGTCAACCCAATAGTTTGGATTTGAGGCTCTGTGGCTGTCTGGGAGAGATCTTGGACAGATGGACCTCAGGGTTAACCTCTTCATAGTTGCAGGCAACTATGTTTTCCTCCTGTGTGGTGGGCATGGGTCATTTTTGTATGCCTGTTAGAGTTGCTGCTGGAATCAGAACCAGTAGATGGACCCTTTTATTGTAGACGACTCATGCTTTTACACTTTAACTTCTGCCTATGATTAAGTGATTTGTACAGATTTGAATGTGAGTCAAATTAAGAGGTTGAGGTCCCTCTAAAAAATTAATTATTTTAGTGGTGAAATATAATGGTGAAAATGGAGAAATAGGTACCGATTTGCTTGTTGTTTTTTTCTTATTTGAAAATGTACATTGATTACTGTGGATTAATTGTTGAGTCAATTGTTACTGGAAAACAATCATGAGACTCAGAATAAAGATAGCTGTTTCTTACTGGGTTCTGTTGGCTGCAACTGCCTGTCACTAATGGAGCCTGCAGTTTCCCAGTGTCAGATGCCAATAATCATCTCTTTTCTATGGCTGCTAGTGACTGACAGATGGGGCCATAGGTAGACTGCAGGTTGTCAGAGCCTCATGCTGTAATCACCAATCCCCTGCCCAACATACTGTGTTAGCTGCCTCTGTTTGTTTAGTGGCATTTCTGAAACATTGTGTAGACTCTACCTATTCAGCCTGGTTGGGTCTGAGTCAATTGGATAAACTCTCTGGGTTCCATCTGTGGATAGACAGTGAGCTTTGTTTTGTAGTACAACCACAGATGAGTCCTCCAAGCCCAAACAAATGCTTGGAAAAAGAAAGTGATCTTGGGCTGGGCCCGATGGTTCACGCCTGTAATCCCAGCACTTTAGGAGGCTGAGCCAGGTGGATCACGAGGTCAGGAGTTTGAGACCAGCCTGACCAACATAGTGAAACCCCGACTCTACTAAAAATACAAAATATTAGCTGGGTGTGGTGGCGGGTGCCTGTAATCCCAGCTACTCGGGAGGCTGAGGCAGGAGAATCGCTTAAAACTGGGAAGCGGGGGTTGCAGTGAGCCGAAATTGCACCGTTGCACTCCAGCCTGGGTGACAGTGTGAGACTCTGTCTTGGGGGAAAAAAAAAGAAAAGAAAGTGATCTCGGTCTGATCAGAGATTGGGTAAGGGAGATAGTCAAGAACCACTGGAAAAATCACTTGAAGCCCACGCCCTCTAATGATGGTTTATATTGATACAAGGATATTTATTATTGTTTGCCTCTGCCAACTAGGTTTTAACTACTCATGAGGTAGAATATAGTAGCTATTACTGCTTACTATGGGATAGGTACTTTGCAACAATAACCCTGCCACAGAAGGGCAGAGTTATTGACCCTAATTTATAGATGAGATAACAGAGATTCAAAGAGTTAGTTAAGTACTTGCCCAAGAGCCCATTGCCAATAAGTGGCAAAGCTCATGCTCTTCCCATGCCATCATGAGTTATTTCTCTCCCACTCCTCTTACACCACCGATTGGGCCAGAAGTGGGGTGAGGGGCAGTTCTCAGGAAGGTTGCAAAAGTTCAGCGGAGACCTGCAGTCAGGTGGCCATCAGTCTGGCCTGCCTGTGGGAAGGAAGGGAGGAAGCAGAAGATCAATCTCCCAGCTGAGTGGATGTCAGGAACTGAAATATAATAGAGCAGCTGCCCTGACCTTGGCATCCCAGGCCAAGGGTCAGGAAAAGGAATGAGAAATGGAGATGGACATCCAGAGGCTGGAAGTCATCTTATCACCTATCATGGCTGCAGCTCACTTTGAAGCTCTACTGTGGTCAAGTCAAAATTAGCAGGTGGAAAGTCAGTAGGTGAAGAATAGTCATCCGCTTTCTTCCTGTGCCTCAGCTGCAGATGTGGAGGAGGCCTGTGGGGGACACTGTGGGCAGGGGCAAGGTAGGGCTCGCAACACCCAGGCCCTGGCATGCAGGCATCTTCTTTGAGGGCAGCCAACCAGAGAGAGCTGCTGCAATCTTCAGGAGATAGATGGCAGTTGTGAAACATTTCAGAAATCCTCTTCTTTTTTTTTTTTCTTGAGATGGAGTCTCACTCTGTTGCCCAGGCTGGAGTGCAATGGCGCAATCTCAGCTCACTGCAACCTCCAGCTCCTGGGTTGAAACAATTCTTCTGTCTCAGTCTCCTGAGTAGCTAGGATTACAGATACACGCTGCCACGCCCAGCTAATTTTTTGTATTTTAGTAGGGACGGAGTTCCACCGTGTTGCCCAAGCTGGTCGCGAACTCCTGAGCTCAGGCACTCTGCCCGCCTCTGCCTCCCAAAGTGCTGGGATTACAGGCATGAGCCACCATGCCAGGCCAGAAATCCCCTTCATCTTTTAGTGCCCCAGGGACAAAGTGGGAGCAACTGAGTTGCAGAATAACTGTTCTGTTATTAATTTATACTCTATCTGTATCCTGTATGATGAATTGTTCACACCACAGATATGAGACTTTGGACAGTTATTTAACCTCTCTATGCCTCAATAAAAAGTAGGGGTCATAGAGGAAAAAGTGTAATCCTCAGGTCTGGCATAGGGCATCTGCTATGTGAGCCTTTGCTATTTGCTATTACTGCTTACTGTGGCTTTTTTATTTTAATTTTAATTTTTTTATTTTTTTGTTTTTGAGGGGGAGTTTCGCTCTTGTTGCCCAGAGCTGGAGTGCAATGGCACAATCTTGGCTCACAGCAACATCTGCCTCCTCGGTTCAAGTGATTCTCCTGCCTCAGCCTCCCGAGTAGCTGGGATTACAGGCATGTGCCACCACGCCCGGCTAATTTTTTTATTTTTAGTAGAGACAGGGTTTCTCCATGTTGGTCAGGCTGGTCTCGAACTCCCGACCTCAGGTGATCTGCCCGCCTCGGCCTCCCAAAGTGCTTACAGGCATGAGCCACTGTGTACTGTGGCTTTTTTAAAAGCACACTTACAAACACCGTCTAAATAACCCAGCCTGATTGTTGCTGAAGAGCAGGGATAGGCTCAATAATCTATAGTTTTCGTACTTAGTCTTGATGGAACTTGGGCGTCAGTGAGCACCTTTTAATGCCTCTGAAAACCTGAAGTCCTTTTCATGCTTCTGAACAATATTTAAGACCAGCTGTTGGAGAGACTCCTTTCGTTATTAGGCTTTAGGTCTCAAGGTGGGGGATCACTAGGAAAATAAAAGTTTTGATTTTGTCATCTATCATTATTTTTAAGTAGAGATCAACATTTAGAGGTTGGGTTATCAGAATGGTCTGTCAGTGGTTCTCAACTGAGGGTAATCTACCCACCCCCAGGGGCATTTGGCTGTGTCTGGAGACATTTTTGATTGTTAGGACCCGGGTGGAGGGTGCTACTGGCATCTAGTGGATAGGGACGCTGCTAAACATCCTACAATGCCCAGGACAGCACCCCCCACAAAAAAAATTCAGATCCAAATGACAGTAATACCAAGCTTGAGAAACCTTGATTTGTGTTTCTTCTGGCCCAATCATTTGGTGCAGTTGACACACGATCCTAATTGTAGCGAATAATGTAGAAAAATAATGGAAGAACTGGAAGGGAATAGTAATATCCAAGTTATTCAAGTCATTGATCCTGAAGAAAGGTTTAAACTGTGCTGTTATGCTTGAAAAATTATCTGCCTGTAAAGAATGACCCTCTCAGGTGATTCAGAATCCTTTGTAATATATTCCACTTACATATAGTTCTGTGGCTTGCTAATTGGCTTGCTTCTTTTAGATATCTCGTAATGAGAAGGGGTGGAAAAGCTGGTTTGATAAAGATGCTCCAGAGGAGGAAATTATCCCTGATGGATATAATGATTCACTAGATACCTGCCATAAACTTTTACTTATCAGGTGAGAACAGGCATTATCAGACCTAGAAGCATCACTCATAATATTGCTAAATTACAGATTTTATCTCAGTGAGTTTACTTCACTATATCACTGTCATTGAAAGTAACGGCAAAAACCGCAATTACTTTTGTGCCAACCTAATATTATAAGAAATGTATGTACTTCCAAATTATGGTTTTGGATAGCAGTTCTTCAGTTCCTTGACAAGCAAAATAAAATGGTGATGGTGACAGGGAATGATGTATTTTGACAACGTATTAATGATAGTGCTTTTAGCAAAAAGCGTGAAAAATATGCTTTTAATATTCACTTTGTTCATGATTTACCATTGAGTGTAAATCAGTTATTGTTGAATTTATTTCTTTAAAAAAACAGACCTCACAAAGTTACAAGACAATTAGCTTATAAGCTAAAGTTAAATTGCATTCGAGAAAAAAACCCAATAATATTGCACTGAATTTGAAATATATAAATGCTACTTTTGGCTATAAAATGGAAACAAAAGTTTGAAATTGATGTTAAAGAAGAAAATCGCCCTCTCTTTTCACTGTTTACATTTTCTCAGTATCCAGTAACTCAGAGACCTTCCACATTGAAAAAAATCAGTGTGTGTGTCTGCGTGTGTGTGTGTGTGTGTGTGTGTGTGTGTGTTTGTATGGTGGATGGGTAAGGCAGAGGAGTAAAGCAGGGGAGATGAGACCCCCACATGAAAAATGAGAGGTAGAGTTATTTTGAAGCAATTTTTTCTTTTCTAATGTTATACACCTAAGTTTCCACTTCTTAGAAAAAGCTGTTTCTTAGATATTGTCAACCTTCAAGAGTGACCAGAACAACGCTAATGTTGACCTCATAGTCCGCAGAGTATGAAAAGGCTTTTTTTTTTTTTTGAGACAGAGTCTCACTCTGTCACCCAGGCTGGAGTGCAGTGGCATGATCTTGGCTCACTGTAAGCTCCGCCTCCCGGGTTCACTCCAGTCTCCTGCCTCAGCCTCCTGAGTAGCTGGGACTACAGGCGCCTGCCACCACGCCCGGCTAATTTTTTGTATTTTTAGTAGAGATGGGGTTTCACTGTGTTAGTCAGGATGGTCTCGATCTCCTAACCTCGTGATCTGCCAGCCTTGGCCTTCCAAAGTGCTGGGATTACAAGCATGAGCCACCGTGCCTGGCCAGGGCTACTTAGTTTTATTGGAACAAATGTGTCTTATTTTTTAATCCGTCACTTAAAAATTAGATCTATGTCAAATAGTGCAATCTAGTAGCACCAAAAAAAAAAAAGTCTGTGGGGCTTGTCTGTGCTTTAC
This sequence comes from Homo sapiens, assembly GCF_000001405.40. Classification (NCBI taxonomy): domain Eukaryota; kingdom Metazoa; phylum Chordata; class Mammalia; order Primates; family Hominidae; genus Homo; species Homo sapiens. The sequence continues at coordinate 38,950,872 of NC_000006.12, forward strand.
CATATCAATATTAAATGACACTTATCCAATGTGTCTGTGTGTGTAGAACTTGCTATGGTGTGCACTACACAAATGGTATGCCACAAATGCTTGCTGACCCACTTACTTTGGGCATCTTTGGCATATTGGTTCCTCCTCTGAAAAGGCTGTGGAGCTTCAGAGTGTGTGGCAGGTCAGCCCCTACCATGTGTTGGAGCTGGTAGAGGACACTGTGTTGTTATGGGCTCTGCCCTACTTCTTGCCAATGCCTGGCTGGTACCAAAACCACACGATTAAGTTTGTGCTCATCTGTGATAGGAAACCTTGCCATTCCTCTTACTTAGATGTGGAAAAGTAGGAATTAACTTGTTGCCCTTTTGCTAATTAAATGTATGTTTTTACTTACTCAGATAGGATAAAAATTGAACACGTTTAGTTTATTTCGCCTAACTTGTATTCATTTTTAGGTCTTGGTGCCCAGACCGTACTGTTTTTCAAGCAAGAAAGTATATTGCAGATTCTTTGGAGGAGAAGTACACAGAACCAGTTATCTTAAATCTGGAGAAAACTTGGGAAGAAAGTGATACCCGGACACCTCTGATATGCTTCCTGTCCATGGGATCTGACCCCACCAATCAAATTGATGCATTGGCCAAGAAACTGAAACTGGGTAAGACTAGCAATCTACAAAATGTAGCAACACTTCCATATTTTTTTGCCCCAAATTTTGCCTTTCGTAATTTTATAACTGATTCTTAGAAATAGATGTAAAACTGAATTCGAAAAATATTAAACTTATTCCTCTTTCATCCTTTCATACCTCCTAAAGTGAGGGTATGATATAGGTATCTTTGTTTAGAGAAGAACATGCTCATCTAGCATATAGTGTTTTTTTTTTGATTGGTTGTGTTTTAAGTTCTAAGGAGATAGCTGTATTGCATGGATAGCTGACTAACAAGAATGAACACACAATAGCCAAAGTTTATGTTATTGCCATGTCTATATAAAATTACAGCAAAGTTTATTTTGTCACAAATTAAAAAACTATAACCATTATTGTAATGCATAGTAGTTAGGGATTAATTATTTCATTGCTTTCACTTAATAACCATTCAGTACAGGCAGTGTGCTAGATCTGGGGAGCACAGAGATGAATACAACACAGCTGGGAAAGACAGACACGTAAACATGTAATTGAAGGCAATGTGACAACTGCAGTAAATGTTTCATAGAAGTGGCTGATCACAGGATTCAGAGCTACTCGGATTGCCTGGGGTATAGGGGAAAACATCACATTGATGATATTTGAGTAGGAAATTAAAAAATAGATAAAATTTACCAGGTGGGGTGGTGGGAGATAGAAAGTTACTCCAGGGAGAGGAGATGGGAAAGAAGTTATAAACACAGAAGTGTTTATAAGTGTGACTGAGTCAGTAGGATTAAAGGACAGGGATGCAGAGCACATCTTGACAGGACTGAGCCATCCTGTAAGAAGGACTTTCTTGACAGGACTGAGCCATCCTGTAAGAAGGACTGTTTATCCCTTGCTTCATTCATACTCTGAAAATCGGAATGCTGTTGACATTGGCATTTGCAATCTTCTAGGGTCAGGTATCTGTAACTATACCTTGTAGGGTTAATCCAATCATGTCTTTTGAGTATTACAGTGATTGATTATGAATCACTAAATCTATCCTGTGAAGTAAAATTACATTAAATTTATTACATAGTCGACATAAGCATGATATAAAATCAATTCAGTCATGTCCACGTACTAGCCACATGTCCCTCTGCATAAAACCAAGCTACGGTAGCATGGTCCATGTTCATGTTCTCTTTTCTCATCTTGACTTCACTCTATTTGTTGTCACCACACTGTTCTATATTCTCAGTGGATCAGTGTTCAAATGGCCACGGTCTTCTGTCTGAACACTGATACCAATGCAAAGAGCTCCCAGGTTCTATTGGCAACTGCTCATGGTTAAGTCTCATTCGCTATCTTCAAAGTAGGCAGTTTTGCTCTAGTATTTACTGCAGCACACCAGCCGTCTGAGTTTATCTCAGAGTGATGCCTCTCGAGTAGCCTTATAGTTTGCAAATCTCTCTCAAATCTGTTGCTCTATGAGTGTTTATCCAGCTGCCTCTAAGCCTCACTTCTCTCTGCACACAGGTATATTTTTTCTCTCTTAACACTTACCATTCTTCTCCACATGGCAGAACATGTGGCTTCTAGTGGCTCATGGGCTTCACTGCTTACGTGCTCAGAATGTTCAGCACCCTCAGGGAAACTCCTCTTATTGTCATGGTTCCAAGTTCCAATATCCAGGGAAGTAACTCATTGTCTTTGCTTTGGTCATGCACTCCTTTCTGGGCCAATCAATGAACTGTCGCTCTGGAGATAGGTTCCTAGTAGAAACCTTATGTACAGAGCTGGAATGGGGGACATTTCTTAGAAGATACAACGCCTAGAAGAAGGAGTATTCAACTAGAGTTACCATTTCAAATGTTGTAATTTGAGAACATAATTAAAAAATTCAAGGTCTCCTTTGGGAGAAATTATAACTGACATTAAATGAATGCAGAAGGGCAGACTTGTGTTATATCCTTTAGTGTTATCATACTGCTTTGCTTGGCAATTTGGTGGTTTCCGTTTCTTGGTCCTACCTTACTTTTTCCAACAACAATCCAGGCTTCTATTGATTACTTTATTAGGGTACTGGAACAACATAGATTTGGCTTTAACACTGAAGGATCAAATGAATTTTATAAACAATTCTACTGCCAAATCATTTGAGCAGTATTAGGAAGTCTCAGGCTGCTTGCTGCTTTGGGTTGAAAGTCCCAAAGATAGCTGTTAAAATGGAACTATTACACATACCGAACAACATGTTAATGTAGTCTCAGCTATTAATATTTTATTTGAAAATCTGGATAATAAATAATCATAGAATGCTTCAGGTGAATGTGACTGGAAATCTTGAAATCCAATTACTTTTTTTTTTTTTTTTAACAGTTGGGGGAAACTATGGTCTGGAGATAAGGCCCCAGACCTAGTCCGTGGCAGATCTGGTTCAGAACTTATCTCAGGAACCCCACTTCAGTGATCTCATTGGTCTTTCTTTTTCATTCCTTCTCATTGTTTTCATTGAATGAATTAACCAGCTACCCGAAAATAACATACGGATGGGACAGAATCAATAAGTTTTTGTAGAAAAAGAGGAGAAGGGAAACTTTGGTTATAGATATTGTCTTGTACTGGTCAAGATCTGTAGTGAGAAATTTGGAGCAGATAAACTCTGCACAGAGTACTGGGTACATGGGCAAAGTGGAGAAAGCAGATGGGTTTAGCACGAGAGCCTTTCTAGGAGCCTGACTACTGGAGGAGGGAGGTCTCAGAGGAAGGATGGGCTTAAAAAGAACACCTAAAAACAAACGAAAGAGAACAAATACATAAAACCCCACAACCACACAAAAGTAGTAGTGGGAAAACTGATATAACAATATGTACAGATGAAACATTTTAACATTTTAAATAATAAGAGAATGGCTCATAATTATAGTAATAAATTACAGGCCGGGCGCGGTGGCTCACGCCTGTAATCCCAGCACTTTGGGAGGCCGAGACGGGCGGATCACGAGGTCAGGAGATCGAGACCATCCTGGCTAACACGGTGAAACCCCGTCTCTACTAAAAATACAAAAATTAGCCGGGCATGGTGGCGCGCGCCTGTAGTCCCAGCTACACGGGAGGCTGAGGCAGGAGAATGGCGTGAACCCGGGAGGCGGAGCTTGCAGTGAGTCGAGATCGCGCCACTGCACTCCAGCCTGGGCGACAGAGCGAAACTCCGTCTCAAAAAAAAAAAAAAAAAAAAAAAAAATAAATTACAGCATCTCATTAAAATTGGCAAATTTATAGAAACATATGAATTTAGAAAATTTCCTCAGAAAAGGTAGAAAACCCTGAATAAACCAATAATCAAGGGGAGAAAAAGTAGAAGTTTTAAAATTATTACATCAGCAAAGGCTCTAGGCTTGGATAATTTTCTGATAAGTCCTTTAAAACTTTCAAGGACTCTCATATGCTATATTCTGTTCCAAAAGATGGAAAAAGAGAATACATTTTCCTTTTTCTTTTGAGACAGGCTCCCACTCTGTCACCCAGGCTGGAGTGCAGTGGTGCAATCATGGCTCACTAAAGCCTTGACCTCCCAGGCTCAAGTGATCCTCCTACCTCAGCCTTCCAAGTAGCTGGGACTACAGGCACACACCACTAATCCTAGCCACATTTTGTTTTCTGTTTTTTTGTAGAGATGAGGTCTCATTATGTTTCCCAGGCTGGTCTTGAACTCCTGAGCTCAAGTGATCCTCCCTCCTTGGCCTCCTAAAGTGTTGGGATTACAGGCATGAACCACTTCATCTGGCCCATTTTCCTCTTTATTTGCATTATTCTGAAACAGTAAACCGACCCAGATAGTAACTGCATAAAAGAAAGAAAACTGGCTGGGCATGGTGGCTCATGCCTGTAATCCCAGCACTTTGGGAGGCCGAGGTGGGTGGATCATCTGAGGTCAGGAGTTTGAGGTCAGCCTGACCAACATGGCAAAACCCCATGTCTACTAAAAATACAAAAATTAGCTGGGTGTGGTGGCGGGCACTTGTAATCCCAGTTACTCGGGAGGCTGAGACATGAGAATAGCTTGAACCTGGGAGGTGGAGGTTGCAGTGAGCCGAGATTGTGCCATTGCACTCCAGCCTGGGTGACAGAGTGAGACTCCATCTCAAAAATAAATAAATAAATAAATGTAAGGATCTTAACTAAATCACAAGCAAGATGAATTTATAGTGATGTCAGCAAGATGTCTCATATCCCTCCACATATCCCTCCCTCATATCCCACCACCACATCAGGAATTCTGTATCCATCTACAGACAAAGTCTCTCTGCAGGAACCTCGGGATATAGGTAGAAGGTTGTGAAACCCTATTAAAATCCAAGACCTAGGAGGGTTGTTTTGAGAGCACAAACTGACACCCAAATGGCAGATCTGCCAATTGTGCTTCCAGGTTCAAGCCTAGAAATGGCCCTGCTCCCCAAGGAGTTTGGCTATAGCCCTTTTTGGCCTTGAGCCTGCAACTAAAACCAACTGCCAAGGGTTGTAGGTGGAATCAGGCACACTAGTGTCTCAGTGCAGAGGCTCGTCTGCCTGCCAACATCGATCTTGGCAGTGAACTTGAAAGTTGCCCTGTGGCTTGTCTCCAACCACCCTCAGCTGAGGTCCCAACTCAGAGCTAACTGTGCAAGAGCCCAGAAGGAGGCTTGCTCATATCTAGCAGACTGGGAGTCTGAGCCTCCATGAAGGGCTCATCAACCTCTGTACCCCAGCAGATACCAAGGGTGCCCACTGTCAGCTCTGGTCCCTCCTGCTGCAGTCAGGGAACTATCCTACCTGTGCAGGGATCTACTGGGAGATACATGCCCTTCTGAGCCAATGAGATGAGCTCTTCAGCCATCATCCTCCAGCAGATCCCAAAAGGGCCCAGTCTCAGCTCCAGTTCCTCCTGCTGTAGTCAGGAAACTAATTTGTGCAGAGACCTGCTGGGAGACACACTCCCATCTGAACCAATGAGGTGGGCTTGCCAGCTCTGCCCCACGTCAAGTCCTGAAGGGCTCCGGTCTCAGCCTTGGCTCCTCCTGCTGCATTTGGAAACTATCCCATCTGTGCAGAGACTTGCTGGAAGACAAACCCATCTGGGCCACTGGGACAGGCTTCTGGGCTTGTGTCCCTGACCAACTGTCTCACACAGTTCAGGCACATTGTCCCTAAAAAACAAAACAAAACAAAACAACAACAACAAAAAACTTGTTATAAATATCAGATTTTTTGGTAAGCCTCATGGTAACCACAAAGCAAAAACCTATATTAGATACACTAAAACTAAAAAGTAAGGAATCAAAACATACTACTAGAGAAAATCACTTAACCCCGACCAAGGGAAGACTGCAAGAGAGGAAGAATGGAAGAAGAAAGGATCTACAAATCAACTAGAAAACAAGTAACAAAATGGCAGTAGTTAGTCCTTACCTACCAACAATTACCTTGAATGTAAATGGATTAAAATCTACGATTAAGAGACACAGAGTGGCTTAATGGATTTTTTAAAAAAGACCCAGCTATATGCTGCCTACAAGAGACTCATTTTACCTGGAAGGATACACACAGACTGAAAATGAAGGATGGAAAAGATATTCTATGCAAATGGGCACCATAAAAAGAACAGGAGTAACTATGCTTATATCAGATAAAATAGACTATAAACCAAATACTGTAAAAGAAGGCCATTATACAGTGATTAAGGGTAAATACAACAAGAGTGCATGTGTGCATACACACAATGCACCCAACATCAGAGCACCTAAGTGTATAAAGATATATAAAAATTAATATATATATTAATTATAATAAAAGATATAATTAATAAAAATGTAAATATTAATAGACCTAAAAGGATAGACTGCAATACAATAATAGTAGGGGGCTTCAACATCCCATTTTCAGCAATGGACAAATCACCCAGATAGAAAATCAATAAAGAAACATTAGAGTTAAACCATACTCTAAATCAAATGGACCTAACAGACATTTACAGAACATTCCATCCAATAGTTGTAAAATATACATGTTTTTAAACAGCACATGGAACATTCTTGAGGATAGATCATATATGAAGCCACAAAACAAGTCTTAACAAATTAAAAAAAACTGGAAACCTACCAAGTATCTTTCTTGACCACAATGGAATGAAACTAGAAATCAGTAACAGTAGGAACTTTGGAAACTGTACAAATACAAGGAAAGTAAACAATATGTTCCTGAATAACCAATGAGTCAAAGAAGAAATTTAAAAGGAGATTTAACAATTTCTTGAGGCAAGTGAAAATGGAAATACAACACACCATAATCTATGGAATACAACAAAAGCACCTCTAAGAAGTTTAGAGCAATAAATGCCTACACCAAAAAAAAAAAAAAAAAAAAACAAGATCACAAATAACCTAATGTTGCATCTCAAGGAACTAGAAAGACAAGAACAAATTCAACTCAAAATTTGAAGGAAAGAAATAATAAAGATCAGAGTAGAAATAAATACAATAGTGTTTTGTTTTGTTTTTTTTTATGAAGTCTTGTTGTCTCCCAGGCTGGAATGCAGTGGTGAGATCTCGGCTCACTGCAAGCTCCGCCTCCTGGGTTCACGCCATTCTCCTGCCTCAGCCTCCCGAGTAGCTGGGACTGCAGGTGCCAGCCACCACGCCTGACTAATTTTTTTTTTGTATTTTTAGTAGAGACGGGGTTTCACCATGTTAGCCAGGATGATATAGATCTCCTGACCTTGTGATCCACCCACCTCAGCCTCCCAAAGTGCTGGGATTACAGGCGTGAGCCACCGCGCCCGGCCGATAGAAATTTTTAAAAGTACAAATGATCAACAAAATGAAGTGATATATTTTTGAAATGATAAAATCAGTACACCTTTGGCCAGACTAAGAAAAAAAGAGATATGACTGGAAAAAAAAAAAAACAGAGATGAAAAAGGAGACATCATAACTGATAACACAGAAATACAAAAGATCATTAAAGATTGTTATGAAAAATTACATGCCAACAAATTGGAAAACTTAGAATAAATGGATAAATTTCTGGACAAATATAACCTACCAAGACTGAATTATGAAGAATTAGAAAACCTGAATAGCCAATAATGAGTAATGAGATTGAATCAGTGATTAAGTCTCCCATCAAAAAAAAAAAAAAAAAAAAAAAGCCCAGGAACTGATGGCTTCATTATGGAATTCTATCAAACATTTAAGGAAGAAATAATACCTATTCTTCTCAAATTATTCCAAACAATTGAAGTGGCTAGGAATTTTTTCAGACTCATTCTATGAGACTAGCATTACTCTAATATCAAAACACAAGGACACAACAAAGAAAGAAAACTACATACAGGCTGATATCCCTGATGAACATAGATGTAAAATCCTCAACAAAATACTAGCAAACCAAATCAAACAGTGCTCCGAAAGATCATTCACATTGATTAAATGGAATGCAGGGATGTTTCAAGGTACATAAATCAGTAAGTGTGATATATGACAGTAATAGAATGAAGGACAAAAACCATATGATCATCTCAATAGACACAGAGAAAGAACTGGATAAGATTCAACATTCCTTTGTGATAAAAACCCTAAACTAATTAGGTATGAAGGAATGTACCTCAACACAATAAAGGTCATGTATGACAAACCCATAGCTAACATCATACTAAACTGGGAAAAGTTGAAAGCTTTTCCTCTAAAATTAGGAACACAACAATGATGCCTACTTTCACCACTTCTGTTCAACATAGTACAGGAAGGTCTAGCTAGAGCAGTTAGGCAAGAGAAAGAAATAAAAAGCATCCAAGTTTGAAAAGAGGAAGTCAAATTGTCCCTATTTGTAGATGACATGTATACAGAAAACCCTACAGATGCCACCAAAGAATTGTTAGGACTGAAAAACAAGTTCAGTAAAGTTGTAGGATACAAAGTCAATCTACACGAATTAGGGTTTCTATATGCCGACATTGAACTATCTGAAAAAGAAATTTAAAAAGCAATCCCATTTAAAATAGCTACAAAAAATAAAATACCTAGGAGTAAATTTAATTAAGGAGGTGAAAAATCTCTACAATGAAAATTATTAAACATTGATGGAAGAAGTTGAAAAGGACACAGATAAATGGAAAGACATCTTGTGTTAATGACTTGAAAGAATTAATATTGTTAAAATGTCCATAGCTACCCAAAGCAATCTGCAGATTCACATGCAATCTTTATCAAAATACCAATGTCATTGTTTATGGATAGAAAAAAATTCTAAAATGTATATGAAACCACACAAAATCCCAAATAGCTAAAGCAGTCTTGAGCATTAAAAAAAAAAGTTTAAGGCACCAAACTACCTGACTTCAAAATGTACTACAAAGCAATAGTAACCAAAACAGGATGGTAGTGGCATAAAACCAGACACTAGGCCAATGGAGCAGAATAGAGAAACCAGAGATAAACCCATGCATTTACAACCAACTTATCTTCAACAAAGTTGCCTAGAACATGTAATGAGGAAAGATCAATCTTTTCAATAAATGGTGTTGGGAAAACTGGGTAATTATATGCAGAATAATGAAACTAGACCCTATCTCTCACCATACACAAAAATCAAATCAAAGTGGATTAAAGACTGAAATGTAAGACCTGAAATTGTGAAACTACTATGAGAAAACACTGAAGGAAATGCTCCAGAACATTAGTCTGGGCAAATATTTTTTTGTGTAAGACCTCAAAAACAGGCAACCAAAGCAAAAATAGACAATTGGGATTACCTCAAGCTACAAAGCTTTTGCATGGCAAAGGAAACAATCAACATAGTAAAGACATAACCTACAGGACAGGAGAAAATATTTGCAAACTATGCATCTGACAAGGTGTTAATATGCAGAATATATAAGTAACACAAACAACTCAATAGCAAAAAAAAAAAAAATAATAATCTGATTATTAAAGTGGACAAGAGATCCAAACAGACATTTCTCAAAATAAGACATATAAATTGCAAAAAGATATATGAAAAAGGCTGAACATAATTGGTCATCAGAGAAATACAAATCAAAACTACAATGAGATATCATCTCACCCCAATTTACATGCCTTGTATGAAAAAAACCAGTAACACATGCTGGCAATGATGTGGAGAAAGAAGAACCTTCATACAGTATTGGTAGAAATGTAAATTAGTACTTTGGAGAATAGTATGCAGGTTCCCCAAAAAACTAAAAATAGAACTGCTCTATGATTCAGCAGTGCTGCTACTAAATACATATCCAAAAGAGGTGCAATCATTAAGAAAACTTTGAAAGGATTTTTTTCATTTTAAATATAAAATTTAAAAAAACGAAGTGAAATCAGTATATTGTAGAGGTATCTATCTGTACTCCCGTGTTTACTGCAGCACTATTCATAAAAGCCAAGATATAGAATCACCCTAAGTACCCATCACCAAATGAATGGATTAAAACATGCGGTACATATACACAATGGAATACTATTCAGCCATAAAAAAAGAATGGCATTATGTCATTTGTGACAACATGGATGAATACGGTGGGCATTATCCTAAATGAAATAAGCTAGGCATAGAATGACAAATACCACATGATCTCACTCTTGAGAATCTAACAAATTTGATCTCTTAGAATTAGAGTAGAATAGTGGCTACCAGAAACTGAGGGAGGGTAGAGGGGAGGAAGAATGATTTCTAGTGTTCTAGTGCACAGTAAAGTGAATAGTTAACCATAATTTATTTTTTAAAAAAATATATAGTCCAAAATATCTAGAAGAGAGAATATTGAATGCTCTGAACACAGGGAAATGAAAATTATGTTGTGACGGATATCTAAATTACCTGATTTGATCATTACACAATGTATACATGTATTGAAACATCACACTGTACCCATAAATATTTACAATCATTATGTGTCAATGAAAAACAAAATATGACTTTGAAAAGGAAGAATTCAATAGAACATCAAGAAATAACTTGCAAATAATAACGTGCCTTCACCAAGTTGGAACACATGGGCAAATATAAGAAAGATGCAGGATTAAGAAATCTCATCACAACAATAAGAGAAAAACTTCTCCTTAAGCTATCATACTGTTATCTTGATGGGTGCTATAAAAGCCATTTTATAAAAATTCAACACTTATATTTGACTTTTGAAAAGTAGGAACAGAAGGATATTTTATTTATATGATAATGATTATGAACCCCAAACATCGTGATACTTATTGGCGAACAACTAGAGACATATCCATTAAAGTCAGATACAGATGTCTGCTATTGCCACTGTTATTTAGCATTGTGTTGTAGAAGATATGGCTAATGTATTGAAAGAATCATAAATAAAAGATGTAACTACCGGAAAGGAGGGACAAAATCAACATTATTCTTAGACAATATAATTGTCTAACAAAAAATACAAATGAATCAACGGAAAAACTATTAGACTTAATAGTCTAATAGTTCAGTGAGGTGACTGTTTACAAGATAAATATATAAAAAATGATGCTTTCTTGTAAAATAAGATGTAAAACTCCTCTTCATTATAGCAATAAAAATAAAACTGAGAAATAATTTTTAAAATACTCATTTAAAGAAAACTATAAAACCTTCTTAGAGACATAAAAGTAGTTAGAATAAATGGAGAGGTAAGCCACATTCCCAGTATAGAGATTCAATGTTGTAAAGATGTCAATATTTCCTAAATTAATCTATAAATTGAAGCCAAGTCTAATTGAAACTCAAGCATCATTGTTTTTCTAGTTGGATAGTAGAGGGATATTAGAGCTTCTAGAATTGCAAATGGACAAGAATAGCTAAGAAAGCTTGAAATGGAAAAAAATAAGAATAATGGGGAACCAGCACCACCAGATTTTTAAAACATTATCAAATGCCAATAATTTTATCATTTACATTACAAACATTGATAAATATGGAGCAAAATGAAAGGGCCAAAATTAGACTCTTGTATGTACAATAGCTTAATATGTGATAAGATTTGCATTTCCAATCAGTGGAGGAAAAGTGGGTTAGACAGTAAACAATGTTGAGATAGCAGGTTAACTTTAGTAAACATAAAAGTTTTACCTCACATTAAACTCTAAATGTTAGGTCGATTAAGGCATTAAGTGCTTTAAAATAAACTATAAAACAAGAAAAAGAATATATTCAATTAGTTATATATTGTTGAGTGGCCAAGATTTTCTTAATCATAATACCTGAGTCTAAAACCAGAGGGACAAGATAGATAATATGACTGGAAGAATTTTAAAACATCTGTATGTTATAAAAAGGAATAAAATAATGGCATTTGCAGCAACCTGGGTGGAATTGGAGACCATTATTCTAAGTGAAGTAAATCAGGAATGGAAAACCAAACATATGTTCTCACTCATAAGTGGGAACTAAGCTATGAGGACACAAAGGCCTAAGAATGATACAATGGACTTTGGGGACTGGGGAGAAAAGGTTTGAGGGTGTGAGGGATAAAATACTACTTATTGGGTAGAGGGTACACTGCTTGGGTGATGGGTACACCAAAATCTCAGAAATCACCACTAAAAATCTTATTCATGCAACCAAACACAACCTGTTCCCCCCAAAACCTGTTGAAATAAAAAAAATCTGTATGTCAAAAGCACCATAAATAAAATAAAAGCACAAACAAAGAAACAAGGATAGGTGTGTAGGCTGGGGACTATAGCATTCCACTTCAGTGGGAGACACTGGGAGTCCTTTTTCTTTTTTTTTTTTTTTTTTTTTTTTTTTGTAAAGGACATATCATATTTATTCATACACATGCTGGAATTATTGGTGCAGACATTTAAATACATTTTCTTTGAGAAAGTCCTTTTTTTTTTTTTTTTTTTTTGATGGAGTTTCCCTCTTGTTGCCCAGGCTGGAGTGCAATGGTGCAATCTCAGCTCACAACAACCTCTGCCTCCTGGGTTCAAGCAATTCTCCTGCCTCAGCCTCCCAAGTAGCTGGGATTACAGGCATGCACCACCACGCCCAGCTAATTTTTTTTATTTTTAGTAGAGACGGGGTTTCTCCGTGTTGGTCAGGCTGGTCTTGAACTCCTGAACTCAGGTGATCTGCCCGCCTTGGCCTGCCACAGTGCTGGGATTACAGTCGTGAGCCACCACAGCTGGCCTGGGAAAGTCCATTCTTTTTTTTTTTTTTTTTTTTTAAATTTATTTTTTTATTGATAATTCTTGGGTGTTTCTCACAGAGGGGGATTTGGCAGGGTCATGGGACAATAGTGGAGGGAAGGTCAGCAGATAAACAAGTGAACAAAGGTCTCTGGTTTTCCTAGGCAGAGGACCCTGCGGCCTTCCGCAGTGTTTGTGTCCCTGATTACTTGAGATTAGGGATTGGTGATGACTCTTAACGAGCATGCTGCCTTCAAGCATCTGTTTAACAAAGCACATCTTGCACCGCCCTTAATCCATTTAACCCTGAGTGGACACAGCACATGTTTCAGAGAGCACAGGGTTGGGGGTAAGGTCACAGATCAACAGGATCCCAAGGCAGAGGAATTTTTCTTAGTGCAGAACAAAATGAAAAGTCTCCCATGTCTACTTCTTTCTACACAGACACGGCAACCATCCGATTTCTCAATCTTTTCCCCACCTTTCCCGCCTTTCTATTCCACAAAGCCGCCATTGTCATCCTGGCCCGTTCTCAATGAGCTGTTGGGCACACCTCCCAGACGGGGTGGTGGCCGGGCAGAGGGGCTCCTCACTTCCCAGTAGGGGCGGCCGGGCAGAGGCGCCCCTCACCTCCCGGACGGGGCGGCTGGCCGGGCAGGGGGGCTGACCCCCCCCACCTCCCTCCCGGGGGGGCTGACCCCCCCACCTCCCTCCCGGACGGGGCGGCTGGCCGGGCAGAGGGGCTCCTCACTTCCCAGTAGGGGCGGCCGGGCAGAGGCGCCCCTCACTGGGAGTCCTTTTTCATATGTTGTGAATTTTAAAAAAATGTTTGAATGCTGTATCCAAACTATTCTCCATGTATGAATTCCTCCTAAGAACATATTGAGAGACATACATCCAGATTTATATACAAGGGTGTTTAATCTAGTGCTATTTATAATACTGAAAAATCAAAAATGTCTTAAATATATAAAAAGGTATTGATTGAATGAACAAGAATGCATATGACATGATGGAACACCGTGCTGCCATTAAAAACTGTTTTCTGATAATATTTGATGACAGTAAAATATTCACAACATACTGTTGAAACGTAGAGATATAAAATAATGTATAGTCCGGGCATGGTGGCTCACACCTGTAATCCCAGCACTTTAGGAGGCTGAGGCAGAAGGATCATTTGAGGTCAGGAGTTTGAGATCAGTCTGGCCAAACATAGCAAAACCCTGTCTCTATTAAAAATACAAAAAATTAGTCGGGCGTGGTGGCACATGCCTGTAATCCTAGCTACTCAGGAAGCTGAGGCATGAGAATCTCTTGAACCCTGGAGGTGGAGGTTGCAGTGAGTCGAGATTGTGCCACTGCACTCCAGCCTGGGCGACAAAGCAAGATTCTGTCTCAAAAAATAAAATAAAATAAAATAAAATAAAATAAAATAAAATAAAATAAAATAATGTATAATACATATATGCATATATACATTTTAATATAGATAGGTCTACAAACCCTTGGAGTCAGATATGTTTCAGAAATCAGAATGTTCTGGTTTTTAGAAGGTGATATTCCATATATTATATAATACACTGCAGCTAAGATATAAATATTCAGGAAGATAGGGATAAATAAAGACTATAAATAGCCTCACATCTGTTTAGGTCAGCTTTTGCCTCCAAAATGATTTACGATTTTCAGAGCTTTCTGAATTTTGAAATGAAGGTAAGGGATTGTGGATTATGCATATTAAAAGGATTAGAATAAAGATCTCTAGGGAGGAATATTGGTGATTTTTATTTCCTTCTTTATATGCTCCTGTATTTTTCAAACCTTTTAATGTGAACATATATTATTTAATTAGAAGTAAATCCAAAAAAATAAGAAAAAGTGGAAGAGACACAAGCCTAATTTTGGAAAGGAATATAAAGGCAGTCAAAATTTTACTAAAGTCTTTCAAATACAAACAATTAAAACAAAACCTAAACCACCAAAGTGTAATTATACTGTATCACCTGCAGCAACACTTCCTCCAATGTTTCCTGCATACACGCTTCTCTTGAGAGTCCCCCTTATGATATCTTGGCAGTCTTTGCCCCCCACCTGTAAAAACTCAGCCTATGCTGTTTCTTGTCTCATTGGCCCCTTTCCTTCCTTGCGTGGGAATGTTTCTCACTTTTTCAATGCCAATCAATCTTTTTCTTCCCCAGGCCACTCAGAAAAGATATAAAATATTTATCACCTTATATTAAATGAAGAAAGATTACAAATTAATAACAACCTTCCACATTAAGAAACTTAGAAAAGAAGAGCAAACTAAACTCAAAGCAGTCAAAAGAAAGGAAATAATAAATATGCGAGCAAAAAAAGCCAGATAATAGAAAAACAACAAAGAATCAAGAAGTCAAAGGTATCTTTTTTGAAAGATCAATAAAACTGACAAATATTTAGCTAAACTAACCAAGAATAAAGAAGAGAAAGTGAAGATTACTAAAATCAGCAATGAAAGAGGGGCGTAACTACTTACCCAAATTTAAAAACTCCTAAGGGAATACTGTGAACAATTATGCCAACAAATTAGATAACCTAGATGAAATGGAAAAAATATTAGAAATAACTATTGAAACTGACTCAAGAAGATGTAGAAAATCTGAATAGAGCCATAAGAAGTATGGAGATTTATTCATTAATCAAAAAATTCACACAAAAGGAATCTTAGTCCCAGATGGCTTCATTGGTGAATTCTAGCAAAATTTTAAAGAATAGCACTAGTTTTTCTCAGCTTTTCTAAAAAATAAAAGAGGAGGGAACACTTTTCAACCCATTCTGAGACCAGTATTACCATGATACCAAATGCAGACAAAGACATCACACATAGAAAAAACTACAGACCATTATCCCTTAGGCACATAGAAACAAAATTCTCAACAAAGTATTATCAAACCAAATGCAGCACCATATAAAAACATTATACACTATGACCAAGTGAATTAATCCCAGGAGTATGAGATTGGTTAAACATATGAATATCAATCAATGTAATATACCATATTAATAGAATAATAGACAACAACCACATGATCATCTCAACAGATGCTGTCTTAGTCTGTTTGAGCTGCTGCAACAAACTACCATAGACTGGGTAGCTTATAAGCATAGAAATTTATTTCTGATAGTTCTGGAGGCTGAGAGTCCAAGATCAAGACCTTGGCCGATTCAGTAGCTGATAAAGGCCGGTTTCCTATTTCATAGATGACTTCTCATTGTGTCTTCACATGGTGGAAGGAGGGCATCTTTTATAAGGTCACTAATCCCACTCTTAATACCTTGTCACTTCCTAGTACCATCACTTTGGGGTTTAGGTTTCAACATATGAATTTTAGGGGTACATAAACATTTAGTCCATTGCAGATGCAGAAAAGCATTGAAAACATTGATAAATATGGACTAGCAAACTAGGAATAGGAGGAAATTTTCTCAACCTGATAAAAGGCACCTACAAAAAACTCACGGTTAATGTCACACTTAATGGTAAAAGACTGAATGCCTTCTCCCAAAGATCAGGAGAAAGACAAGGATGTCTACTCTTACGACTTTTATTCAGCATTGTATTGGTGGTTCTAGATAGGGCAATCAGACCAGGCAAAGAAAAAAAAAAACCATCTACATTGGAAAGGAAGAAGTAAAACTGCCTCTATGATTGTGACATGAATTTGTGCATAAAAAATTATAAGTTGTTTACCAAAAAACAATTAGAGCTAATAGATGAGTTCAGCAAGATTGTAGGATACAAGATCAATATTTAAAAGCTATTGTATTTCTATGCACTAGCAAGAACAATTCAAAAATGAAATCATAAACACATTACAATTCCTTTACAATATTATTAAAAATAAAATACTTAGGAATAAATTCAATAAAAGAAGTGGAAGATTTGTACATTGAAAACTAAAAAACATCATTAAAAAATTAAATACCTAAATAAATGGAAAGACATCCAGTGTTCATGGATCAGGAGACTTTGGTAAAATGCCAGTACTCATCTAATAGATCAAGAGATTTAACTCAATCCCTATAAAAATCCCAACAGCCTTTTTTAAAAATAGAAATTGACAAGACGATCCTAAAATTTGTATGGAAATTCATGGGACCCAAGATAACTAAAACAATCTTGAAAAGAAAGAACAAAGCTATAGGACTTATGCTTCCCAAAATCAAGACTTACTACAAAGCTACAGTAATTAAAACAGTGTGATATGGGCATAAAGATATATATCATTGCAAAGAATATATATCTCAATGCAGAATTGAGAGTCCAGAAATAAACCCAGCCCTCACATATTATGGTGAGTTGGTTCTCAACAAGGGTTCTAAGACCATGCAATGTTGGAAAAGACAATCTTCTTAACAAATGGTGCTGGAAGAACTGATATGCATTTGCAAAGGAATGAAGTGTGGTTTTTACATCACAACATACACAAAAATTAACTCAAAATCAATCAGAGACTTAACTGTAAACACTAAAACCATAACATACTTAGTAAAAAAAATAAGAGTAAATCTTTGAGGCCGTGGATTAGGCAATGGTTTTCTAGATATGAAACCAAAAACATAAGCAATAAAAGGAAATATTGATAAATTGGACTTCATCAAAATGTAAAACTTTGTGCTTCAGAGGGCACCATCAGAGGACAACCTATAAAATAGGAGAAAATATTTGCAAATCATACATCTGTTAAGGGTCTAGTATCCAGAATATATAAAGACCTCTTACAACTCAACAATAGTCAAATTACCCAATTTAAAAATGGGCAAAGGATTTGAATGGATATTTCTACAAGGAAGATGTACAAATGGCCAATAAACACATGAAAAGATACTCAGCTTTGTTAGTTATTAGGGAAATGCAAATTAAAATCACAATGAGATATTTCTTCATTCCCACTAAGATAGCTATAATCAAAGACAGGGACAACAGCAAGTATTGGTAAGGATGTGGAAAAATTAGAACATTCATACATTGCCAACGGAAATGTAAAATGGTGCAGCTGCTTTGGAAAACAGTCTAGCAGTTTCTCAGAAAGTTAAAGATAGGGTTACCACATGACTCAGCAAACTTGCCTCTAAGTATATACCCCCAAAAAACTGAAAATATACATCCACCCAAAAACTTGTATGTGAATGCTCATAGCAGCATTACTCATACTAGCTAAAAAGTGAAAACAACCCAAATGTCTGGGGCTGATGAACAGATAAAGAAATGTGGTATATCCATGCTGTGAACTCTTAGTCAGCCATAAAAAGGAATGAAGTAATACATGCTACAATATGGATGAACCTTGAAAGCATGCTAACTGAAGGAAGACAGACACAAAAGACCATATATTGCATAATTCCATTTAATGAAATGTCTGGAATAGAGACAAAGTAGATTGGTGATTGCTGGGGTGGGAAGGGGGAATGGGAAGTGACTGCTAATGGGTATGGGGTTTCTTTTGGGGTTGATGAAAATGTTCTGGAATTAGATGATTTGATAGTAGTGATAGTTATGCAACTCTAAAAACATATTTTAAAATATTAAAGTATACACTTTATAATGAAGTATATATTTCATAATTTATATGGAAATTATACCTCAATTATAAAGGTTCAGAAATATATATTTATTGAGCATCTACTGAGTGCCAGGCACTATCTAGGTGCTGGGTTGGCCACCATGTCTAAGTCCCTAGCTGATATTCTAGACTGGGGATAAAACAGACAGTTATTGATAAACAAGGTAGTACATAATATCCTAAGAAGAAAAGTATAAAATATGCTAAGAAGCAGGGGAAGGGACAGAGTGATGGGAGAGGTGTGCCGTTTTAGATAGAACAAGGTCCGTCAGGAAAGTCTTGCTGACAGGGTGAGAAAAACCTGAGATGTGAAGGGAGTGAGTCTGGAACTCTGAAGGAGGGAACACCAATGAGGCTGGGGTGGGCCTGGGGAGGAGGCTGTTATGGATGGAGGAAAGTGAATGGATAGGGGGGTGGTGAGATAAGAAAAGGTGTGTGTGGGGGGGAGTGGGGGGTGGTGTGTGGCAGCAGTAGCAGGGACTGATTGTGTAGGGCCTTATAGTCTGTAAATAAGAACTTTGGTTTGGATTTTGGATTTTGCCTTGGATGCAATGGGAAGCCATTGGATGGTTCTGAGCAGAGGATGAACATAATCTGATTTAGGGCTTGAGAGACCCCTCTGGCTGCTGTAGGAAGAATAGCTAGTAGAGGACAAGGGTGGAAGTGAGGTTGTCACCAGTTAGGAGGCCATTCCAAGAATCTAGGCAAGAGGTGGCGGTCACTTACACCAGGAAATAAAAGCAGAGTTGGGAAATGGCCAGATTCTGGATATGAAGGGATGCCTCTAAATCGCCTCTTGACCCAATACCTGGATCAAGCAACAACTGTCCCAGGGCCACCTGAACGAAAACTAGACCTTCCTTGTAGAAGGTGTGTTTCAGAGGAGTTGGAAGAAGACAGAGAGGCTGTGGCTCACACTCATGTGTTAATACTTTTTGAGCCTATCACTTTCCCTCATTGATCTATTGAACATTTGTGTGTTCTTCCGAAATAAGTGGGGCTCGATATCTATCCACGATCCAGAGGCTCCTCCCATTCAAGTCACGCCTCTCCTTTCTTCTGCTTTTATAGGCTGGGTGGGATTCTTTTCAGGTGCCAGATTCCCCTTAGGAGCTGGAAAGATTCATGTGGGCTTTGGTGGGAAAATCCACCTTTGCTTGTTAATACTTGGCCCATTTCAATTCCTGATTCTCCAAGCAGTGAGTGCTCTTCCATCCTCCTTCAGGCTCTCATTGCAAAGTGTCTCCCTGTGACCCTGAGCCCACGAATAATCCCTAATCTTGCACCCTGCAGACCCTCTCAGAATATCTGGCCATTAACCACAGGATGCCATTTAAATGGTGTGTCCTGACAGTGTCTCTGGTTTCTGACATACTTCCCTCCCCACCCCATGAAGTCTCCAGCTTCTTATAGTCTCTACCAGCAGTTACCATAAACACACACTGGTTCACAATGTCTCCATTGATTGCTTTTCCTTGTACAGGGATTATGCCTCTAGAACTCAAGAAAATTTGGGTCCACAAGGGCTTGCTTAAGAGTTAATTTCCAATTGCAGTTGTGCAAACATGATTCTCAGACTTCTTCATTTTAGCTAATTCATGTGGGAGGTCACAAGCATGGTTCTCTGCCTGGGACATCTGGTCCTAAATGGTGTATTATCTCTGGAATTATGACATTTCTCATCGTGGAGTGTTTTCATGTTTAGTTCCAAGGTGGTGATTTAATCTGAGGAGCAGCTGAGAACTAGGTCTTAGACAGTTGCCCCTGAATGTACCCGTCACAGGGCTGAACTGTCTCAAATTTCATCTCAGAAAAATGATCAAACATACAAAGAAAACCAAAACAAGCAGACAGAAAACACTGTGAGCCTGATATCTAAAAGGAATAAACAGAAAATTAAATCTTTACAGAAGCGTCTGCTAAAACGCCGAAAAGGATTCTAACCAAAACTTACAGCAAAACTAAAAAATCCTTTTTCCCTACAAATACCTGTGATAGCATTGTAGTTGCCTCTCCCACCATTGATCTTGTTCCTCATTGTCTCCAAAGAATCTCAAACTCTCTAAAAGCCCACCATACGTGCCTTTTTCTCTCCCTTCCTGACCCCCAACCCACGCTTTTCCGGGTGGTGCCTCCAGGTCTCTGCTCCATGCATTTCTCTGATCCACACAACCAAAGGCCAGGCCTGTTTGAACAGCAAAGATTTTTTTTTTTTTTTAGAAACAATAGAAGGAGGCTATAATCATTCAGAAATTAATTTTTCATTCTAATCCTGCTGTAAGAGTTGTGTTTCATCATAGTGAACTTTCTCCTATGTTACAGAATGTAGAACTATCTCAATGGGGCAAGGACAAGAAGTACATGCTCGAAAGCTGATTCAGATGTCAATGCAGCAGGTATGTGACAAGAGACTGCTCCTGCTGCAACATTATTGCTAGAAACCCCACAATCATGGATGTTACCACATTCTTCTCGTGATGCTCAATCCTGGTTTTTCCATTTTTGTTTATCATTACCTGTGAATTTTAAACCTCAGTCTAGTTTCCTCCTGATATTCGCATGGAAAGCTTATTCCATTTTCTATAGTATATGCTCCATTTTACCTTCACCAATTTTTTGTTCGTTTTATGATTTGGGAGACACACCTTCTGATTTCTAAGAATGCATCTCTAGCAGTCTTGGAATTTCATGATCAATATGAATAGGTAGTACTTAAGGAGTGACAGATTGAGACAGTTAAATTTCCATTTTCAGTTAAAGGCAGACTTTCATTTTTCATTAACGGATCATTTCAGGCAAAGAAGGAATATTTAAGGATGCTATGTTTAAATACTGATAATGGTTTTCACTAATAATTGCAAGCTGAATGGAGTGTTGAGAGAGATTTCCCATCACACCTAATAAATACACAGGACATTAATTTTCTAGAAATGCTCTGTAGATAGCCATTTCAGCTGTAATAAGAAATTATACCATTTATAAAAATAAAATAAGATATTGGTTTATTTTTAAGCTTTTGATCTCAGAATGTCTGTACAAACTTTGGTGCAGCTTTTCCCTGGGAATTAATGACTAGAGAGGGTTAATGGGCTAAAACTCTGTTGGGTCATCAACTTTTCCAGCTAGTCATTAATTCTCAAATGCCCTAAGCCTCAATCTTTATCACTTAATTAAATTCAATAATTTATTTAATTTATACATGTATATCTCAAAGCAATTATACATAATTATTTTTACTCGGATCAAATGTTTCACTCTATTGAGTGATTTGACAGTTTAACTTTGGGCCTTAAATAATTTCTTTAGTTTCTGTGGGTGCAAAACTTTAATTTAAATACGGTGTTCATGTTAACTGTCTTTGGAATACTAGCCTTTATAACTTCCATGGTCTGTTTGTCAAAGTGGGGTAAGTATTGATTATATGGCATAATCAGAAAAGAAAACCAGACATGAGCAGGTGCAGCCATGTTGCCGCCTTGAGGGACACCATGTTTAGCATAAAGCTGGCATTGTGGAACACAGAGTGGGGAACCAGAAAGTAAGTGGGTCCATGATGACACAAACTAATCCTGAATGCTGTTTTCCTCTGAAACCCCAGTTGTATAGACGGCACATCCCCTTTACTAGTTAAGCCGGTGTGAGTTGTATTTTCGCTTACAGTTGAGACATGGTATATATGCCTTGCCATATATTTATCATGCTCACTATTTTGTAGTTTTATGTAGTTCAAGATAGCTGATTCCTGTATAAAGGTATTAAAATGTCTAGTAAAGAAACTATGTTCTCACAGGGCAGTGATGGTTTTGTGACATATTGTTTAAGGTAGTTTGTTTAATCAAGTATTTATTTAGAAAGTGCTTAATAAGTTATGTGGTTTCAGGAAAGTGTGGAGAGTGATGATAAAGAATAAAGCTTAGCATTATGGTAGTAAATGTCACCAAACGTATTGTCTCCAGCTTTCATGAGATCATGTGTATCTTTCTTTGTAACTATGAATAACTGTGAACCAGTCTTCTGGGTTTTGGGGGTGAGTCAGTTCTGATTTACCTTAGGCAGGACAACTTGTTACTGATTCCAAAATACCCGTTCCCACCATTAGATGGTGCACACACTGTACTTACACAAGTCTGCCTTCAAGTTTTAATTTCTGTTCCTTTCTGAACCAGGGGTGGCAGAATACAATCATTTTGAACCCACTTGATTCTAAGTAATTAGCTTGTACCAATTACTTGTACCATAGCAGGAGAAATGATTGTATTGACATATAATTTTTAAAAATGTGTTCAAAACAGAGTATTCACATGGTTTTTAAAAAAAGTGCACATTTTGTTTTATTAAAATCATAGCAAAAAGGTTACAAGAAATAAATATGAACTTATTTTTGGATACAGGGTGGTTGGGTATTACTACAAAATTGCCACCTTGGCCTGGAATTCATGGAAGAATTACTAGAGACGCTAATTACCACTGAAGCCAGTGATGATTCTTTCCGAGTATGGATAACTACGGAGCCCCATGATCGATTTCCAATTACATTGCTTCAGGTTTGTTACTAAACGTCTTTTCATCGAGAGTCATAGTAATAAAGATGACATCATTGACATTGTTGAAAGATGGGAACACAACAGGGCTTTTTGGTCCTGTAGGGTCTGGACTGCAAGATCTTATACTATAATACTATAATCATCAAAATCTTGACATCAAGGTTAGACTGTAGTAAATATTTCCATAGAAGAGCTCTAAGACTTAGTACTAATTTATTGAGTTTCAGCTCTGATCAATGTACTTAGTTTATACAATGCTGAACTTTGCCCCCACTTTATGTACCATAAGCATATTGTTTTCTGATATACAGGTTGAGCATCCTAAATCTGAAAATCGAAACCCGAAATGCTCCAAAATCTGAAACATTCTCAATGCCAATAGAATGCTCAAAGGCAATGCTCATATAACAATTTAATGCTAATATTCCAAAATCTGAAATTCAAAACACTTCCAGTCCCAAGCATTTCAGATAAAGGATATTCAGCCTAATATTGTAATTTCTATTTTATTCTTTATAGTAATTTATAGAAACAAAAGCACTGTTTTCTTTTCATGACAGACCTCTCTCAAATTCACTAATGAGCCACCCCAAGGTGTACGCGCAGGTTTGAAAAGAACATTTGCTGGAATTAATCAAGACCTTCTGGACATCAGTAATTTACCCATGTGGAAGCCGATGCTTTACACAGTAGCATTTTTACACTCCACTGTGCAGGTAACTGCAGAAAGCAGTTTTCACATTTAGGAGATGGCCAGTGGTGTGCTGAGGCCCCATTGGAGAGGCTTCCAGGAGGGTGCTATCCGTTGCCGCTCTGTCTCCTTACTCTCTTTTCCTTCATAGCACTTTCCCCACCTGGTATAGTGTATATTTGTTTATGTATTTTGTGTGTGCCCCCTGCCCCAACCCCCAACCCTGACTATTGGAATGTAAGATTCTCCAGGGTGAAGACTGTCTTTTCGTAACTGCTGACTCTCCTACTGTCACAACAGCACGCAGGGGATTGTCAGAGCTCAATAAATATTTGTAGAATGAGCTAATGGATTATAAAGATAGGAGCTTGGTTTTGAAAGTGCCTGTGCTGGCCAAGAATTTTATGTGCACCATCTCCTGTAATACTAACAACCA
The DNA here is from genome assembly GCF_000001405.40 of Homo sapiens. Lineage (NCBI taxonomy): Eukaryota > Metazoa > Chordata > Mammalia > Primates > Hominidae > Homo > Homo sapiens. The sequence continues at coordinate 38,974,941 of NC_000006.12, forward strand.
CATTTCAAGATAGGATTATCACCATCCCAAAGATGTTAAGTACTCTTCAAATGTGGTTGCTAGGATTGGCTGAACTAGGATTGGCTGGCTCTGATTTATGTATTGTTTTGACTCTATTTATTACCTGATAGTAAAAGTGGTGGTGATGTTGGAGGAGGAGGAGGAACAGCAGCTCCCTGTCTTTCTCAAGTCATTTGCTGTTTGCTTTTACAGTCTTAGTACTGACGCAGTAATTTAATAATTTTATGATTACCAAGCAACTTGTCTGTTACGATTTTTTAAATTATTGTTAGTGTTTTGTTCTGCATCTGAATTTTATATTTTGTTCTGTAATTCAAAAGCTATACATTTTCAATGCACTGGATCCATTCCTTGATTTCACAGAGAATTGAAGAGATTCCTTTAAGCCCTACCTGGAGTTCTTTCTTTCCTGGGGTTGGGGTGAAGGACAAAATAAATCAGTTGGTCTATCCCAGGAGTCAGGCTTTTAGCTGTGTACAGTGATGGGCAGAACTTCACATTACCTCTCCCTGCCCTGTCCAAAGATGGAGGGGAACTTAATGCTCATCCCAGAAAATACTGTGTGTATTTACCCCTAATTCATTATCCCTACCACTTTACTAGGTTCCTGGCTGCCCAGGAGAGGGATGTGGTGTTTGTCTGCCTCCCAACACTGAGAAAGTTAAAATCAGATTAAATGCTTTGCTGGTGGTTATCTTTACTAAGTTCCATTGTGGCCTTTGGATTGTCAATTACAGCTTTCAAGTCACAGAAGCCTATTTCATACATTCTTATCTGGGAATTGTTCGCTTTGCTAGACCTTATCACATCCTAATACAAATATTGCTTTAACTCTGCTATTTCATTCCCAATTCACAAATAATATTTTATGATTGTGTTCCCAGTAGTGATGATTCAACTCTTCCACTGTGCTTATCATGGAGAGCTGGTTGGGGGTATTTGCCATATGGTTAATGTGGCAACCTGTGTTTTTAGTGGCCATTATCCAAGTGCTAAAGGGAAGAAGAGCAACAGGACCATGGTCCAGCCATGGGGCTAAAGTGCCCTTGCACTTAACACCACATGTGTTTGGGTTAAAACGGAGGAAAAATATTTTCACTGCTAGGGCGGTGAAGTTACCAGTGGAGTGTCCAGGAATAAAAGGCTGAATATCTCTTAAAATCAAATAATAGAGGGCTAGAAATAACACTTCACTAAGAGTCAGGAGGCCTGGACTTTCGTGCTTGCTGTGAAATCAGTTAGCTGAAAGCAGTTAGTTGATCAAGTTATGTCTCTCTCAGGGCTTCTGTTTCCCCATCTGTGCAGTTAGAGGCAGAAGTAGGTGATCTTTCAAGGTTTTTTTCAATTTCTAAAATTCCATCGCCCAATTCTGTGACAATACAGTGAGTGTAGGTAATTCTTTTTCATCAATTTCAGAAGTGTTTACTGTGATATTTCCAAAATCTCCTGGGAATTTTAGACATATGTTTCAGAAATATCACAGAAGTGTTTGCTGTGATTTTGTGTAAATATTTTTTTTACTTGGTTAGGATAGGGACAGCTTGATAGAAAAATCCAAAATTCTTCAGAGACTTGTTGTCTTGGGCCAGAAGCATCAACATCACTTGGGAGCTTGTTGGAGGTGCATGTCAGATCTCGCCTCAGACTCTCCTAAATCAGTCTGCATTGTACCAAGATACCTACATGATTTGTATGCACCTGAATGTCTGAGACTCAACTGCTATAGGAAGGAATGTTGTGGATTAGATTGTTTGTGACTTACGTTTCTTTTCTCTCTCTAGTGTTGAGTATAAGAGCCAAACATCTGATTTGTTAATTGATTAATTGAGTCCTCCAAATTAAAACAGGTATCCGTTGCTTTAAACAAACATGTTATATGTACTTTTGTTCTTGCAGAGACAGACTGAAAAAAGAATTAGGCACAGGATCTGAAGCTCCAGAGGGGTTCATGCTGGAGTTCATCCCACATTACAATGCAGAACCCAGGAGTAAAATAGCCAACTCCCTGCCTGCTCTCCAGTAAAAAATGTAAATTCTCCCTTGGAATCCTGGTTTGGGTGGCATTATGCCATCAGCTTACCCCAGTTCATAGGCATGATATGTGGATTCTACTTCAGTTGCAGGGAACAAAATGAGCACCTCTCCTTTTCTGGGAGAAGGGGAAGTAAATTTGGCTGGTCAAGGATAACTTGGGCAGAAGAGTGGTGGAGGGCGTGGTTTGCTTTATTCTTGAGGTGGGAGCAGGCTTTCCCAGGAGGAGGGTGCCCTGGGTGCTGCCATGGGAACATGCATAGATGCACGAGGCAACGCCGCACTAAGCTCTGCTCCCTGCCACTCCCCTTCTCCTCCAGCAACTTACTATCCACACAGAGCAGTAGCAGCTACCCTGAGAGGGGAAGTTACTGCTGAAGCCCCCACCCCTGCTGCAGTCCAGTGATGTCTCTGCTTTTGCCAGTGGCCCTTCTGCCTTCCTTATGGGAGCCTTTTATTCCCAGGACCCTGGTGTGTGCCTGGGCTCGGTTTGGCTGCCACTCCCTGAGAATGTTTCAGCATCCTCTTGAAGATTACTTAGGAGGGAAGCTTCTCTCTGGCCTCGGTATTCTGTCTCTGTGCTTTCCTGGGTGGTGTAGCATCCAGTGTAGCATCGTTCTGGGCTTGAGAGCAAGCCCACATTCACCCTTTGGGATTTTAATTTTAAGCACATTTTCCTCCAAAGTCTTAGTCTTTTGAAACTCAATCATTACATTTTTAGCCACTTCCTAACACCTCCTGCAGAAGATCAGAATAATGTTCTATGGGTTATTTTTTTCCTATTGATTGTCAATGTGCCACTCTTTGAGGTGTGTATTGGACCGAGTAAATGTCTTAAGTGGTCTTCTCAGCCAATTATCTACAATTGTCTTCTCAGCCAATGCCTGGGCCCCAGAACAGGACACTTAAGTCAAAATCCCCAGGAGGCCAAAAGGAAGGAGCTCAGTCTTTTTAAAAACTTCCAAGTGATCCTGATATGTGGCAAGAATTGAAAATAATGGCCAAATGGCCACAACCCTTAAGGGAAGAGTCTTGAACCACTTTTACATCCATTTCATAGTCTGGAGTTTTTCTCCCCATCACCTTGGTTTGTCCACATTGAACTGCGTATTTCTTTATGACTTTTCAAACAGCTTATATATAACTCTGTGAGGTGAGGTGCTCTTTTCTTTTTCATTTTTCTTTTTTAGCTAAAGTTATTGATTAGGATCTCTAAGGGCCTATAGTGGCAGTTGCAAACTTGGAAATTCTATCGTGGCCCTTAAAAATTACTTAGATAGTAAATAAAAGGGGCCCTATCAATAGGGCCCAGGGAATCTCACTATTAACAGTTCTTCATTCGGAAAAGTGTTTGCTTCCCCTACATTTCGTTTTCTTTCTCAAGTTTGAGCCTTGATAAACATTCCTTTCAAATTTAATAGTGCATATAAAGTTCTTGCTTTGGGGAGAGATGGTTATAAAATTCCTCATTTAAATGTCTTTGAATGATTATGGTAATATGATACTGGTTTATCTTTTACACTCTGCCCCATAGTGTTTCCCAGAGGTTCTGGCTGCTTCTGTCAACTATTTTTACCTAGTAAAGTTTCCCTTACATTGTCTAGTGTGGCTTGTATTTTTCTTTGTATATTAGCTCCAGTTATTGGAGTTAGACAGTTAACTCCAGTTGTCTGGTTTTGAAGCTGTGAAATGATTCTGCAGCTCTGTGGGAACTGCTGAGGTAGAACCTAACGTAAAATTGGAAATGGCTCTGACATCATTAAAATGATTGAACAACTTTTCATCAGTGTTCTAAGGAGTTTTTCATGATTCCACATTTTCCATATTTCTCTAGTAGTTCAGAGTTTTGTATATTCTGTGAAATGAAAAGAAGAAACTGTATTAATCAAATTAAGTAGGGAGTGGACTGGTTTTCCTAAAATCATCAGTCACCATCTTAATGATGGACAGTCCTCTCCCTTCTGTCGAATGAAGTTTTAACATTCAAATTTGTCTGCATTCCATGTCTTGAAGCACGTGACCACTGAGTTGCTGCTACTCACCAGAACTAGCCCGCTACTGCAGTAGAACCTTCTGTCTGCAGCCTTTTTCTCCACAAGTCACAGGATTTGTGTTCCTAGTTTTGCTCATGGCCTTTGCCAAGCCTGGAAGTCTCTTCTCTCCTCCTTGTAAAGACCAGCTTCAGTTTTATTCTTCCCAGAAGCCTCTGATTGAACGTCTCCTTCAGGCTTATCATTGTGAAATTTTGACAGTTAATTATATTCACTATCCCATTATTCTTTTTCTTGTCTCCAAGTCTTATTTTTGCAACAGATTAAAACTTCTTGAAAATGCATCCTTTTTGATATTTTTTATTGTATTGCATAGGACTCATCCCATGGTTTCAAAAATGTTAATTAAACTGAAGAAATTCAATATTCCAAATAAGTCCAGCAAAACCCCTTGCTTTGATCTTCCAAATGAGTTCTTAGGTTCTAGTTGTTTGAGTCTATCCTGATAGTATTCCAAGGTAATTTAAAAAAATAGCAAGAAGATGAAATGACTTCATTTGTGAAAGAAAAGGCACCCACTAAGATTTTGGGCTTTTTTTCCCAAGATGAGCTAATCAGTTTATGACTTTAGTGAACCAACTTAAAAAGTAAATGCTTTAGATGAAAATTGGTAGTAAGAAATATAAACATGAAGCAAATCTCAGCATTAGGGCAATTTTCAAAACTCACATTTTAAAGAACAACTAAATTGCAGTTGCTCAGTGCATATAAATAGGAGTGTTTCCATAGAGTCAATTTGAGCAGCTTTAGTAATTGGAGTTATTTTTCATTTGGCCACCCATCTAATTGAACATTAAAATTTAAAAATTAAATCAAACACATAGGTAAAACTAATGGTATAAATTCTGATCCTCTTTTTCAAAAATGGGAAAACATTCACATTTCACTAATAAGTCATTAGCATTCTTCTCTTCAAAGTCCTCAAGATGGAAGAAATTCCAAGAACTAAAACGGTTAGCTGTATGAATTTTCATGTTAATATCCCATAACCCTCTCCACCCACCCTTGCTCCTGGTATAATCTGGAAGAGGCTCACCTCAATGTTTCTGAGTCCACTTCAGAAATTCCAAACACTGGGTGAGCCTCAGCATTGACCTCTTACAGAGAAAGGGTTCCTTTTGCCCTGGTAATAATCGACCAGTGTTTATTAGGCAACCATGATTCTTTCCCCCAAGGTGCAAAAGGGGAGACAAAAATAGAAGACGTGTTTTTCACTGTCAAGACTCAAAATCTGGTTACAGGACCACATATATCAATATGAAACATCTTAAAAAACCCACAAAACAAAAACCAAGGCAACATGAATGCTGGGACTAGGAAGCAGGAAGCTGTCAAGAGAAGCAATGTTAGGGACCAAGGCTCCCACCCTTGCACCTAGGACCACACAGTCTCTCCTCCCTTCCAGGCTATGGCCTCTGCTCCTCCTCACCTCTTCTAAGTACAGGGTGGAAGATGGTTCTTCACAGCTCCTGAGTTTACAAGTTTTCTTAGTCTAAGCCCCAGATAACAATTACAAACCCTAAGTCCAAATTCCTGGGAGAAGGGGTCTGGTCAGTTCTTTTTGGGTTGGCTGTCTACCTTGGATCAAATTAGCTAAGGGATAGGTGTGGGTGTCACATAGCGCAAATCTCTAATGCCTGACAACCTTAACTAAAGAAGTTTAGGTCTAGAGGTAACAGTAGTACTTTACGTTTTTAAGAGCTACTCCTATTATTATTATTATTATTGTTGCTCTTAGTCTGATCTCCCAGGGTCAGAACATCTAGACCCAAATTAATCTTAATGGTTTACTAAATACTTTAAAAGCATACCCTGAAACTCAGTAATTCAAACCTTTGAATTTTCTGAATTCCTTCTCTGACTTGTTCATGAACTTGTCCCAACAAAAATTTATTTAGATTTTTTTTTAAATGGTGGAATTATTCAGGATCGGAATCATGGAACAGCTGCAGCAAGAAGGATTGGAATGGCTTGTGAAAACGGCAGTGTGTGTGTGTGTGTGTGTGTGTGTGTGTGTGTTGAGTTGGGGAAGGCAGAAAAGAAAAAGAAAAGTTAGTATATACTTAGAGGTAAAAGAGTAGAATTAAACATTCCCATAGATGTATAGGGATTCTACTCTCCACATGAGTCCTCACCTTAGGCACTAGAATTAGGGTCTAGGAACTAATCTAATAAATCCCTGGCCCTTCCTTAGAGACTGATTATGTGTTGCGATAGGAAAAGCTGATGCCATAGAAACATCTGGACTCATCTATGTGGGTTGTTGGATCATCAATTCTTGGAGCTATCAGGTCTAATACTTGCCATACCTTTAAAATGCTCTCTGGAATATCAAAACAATTGAATCATTTGCTCTGAGTCCAGTTTGATTATTTATTGGTGATTTGACAATTGTAAACAGTTAGCCACTATTGCACAGGAGTCTCTTAGGCCCTCTTTGATTAAGTAGAGGGAAACAAATGAGGGTCATGTGAAAGTTTCAAGACAGACACGTCATGTATACAACAGAAATTTTTAGTTTTCAAAATCTGAAATGGCAAGATTGCAAAGGGAAGCCATCACAGAATCTAAGTGCTCTTGAGAGAGGTTTAGATAATCCAACTGAAAAAATTCAAACCCTTGCATTTGACATTTCAAACTTTCAAGAGTCCATTGTAGAATAACAGTTCATTCAACAGGTATTTGTTGAGCATCTACTGCATTTTTTGAGTTGTCAGTGGAGACCTAGACTTTTTTTAAAACCCAAGAACTCCAACTTGGCAAATCTTTGGAGATTTCTTTATATAAACCCCTTAGCTATAGAGCCATGAAGTAATATTTCTAATATGGCTATATGCCACATAACGTTTCAGTCAACATGGATTGCATATACGGTGGTGGTCCTGTAAGAGTATAATGTATTTTTACTGTACCTTTTCTGTGTTTAGATGTGTCTAGATACACAAATACCTACCATTGTGTTACAGTTGCCTGCAGTATTCAGTCCCGTAACATGCTGCACAGGTTTGTAGCCTGGGAGCAATAGACTACATCATGTAGCCTAGGTGCGTATAGGCTGTACCATCTAGGTTTGTGTAAGTGCCCTCTAAGATGTTTGCGTGAGGAAATTGCTTAATGATGCATTTCTCAGAAGGTAACCCCATCATTAAGCGACATGAATGTATATCCAAAATTGTATATACTATTCTTTTAAACTAATGTCAATTTATTTTGATAATATAGCCTTAATTTTACTGTATTTTGATAGCAATAAAAATGGAATCAGGTACATGCAATACTTACTTTTCTTTGGTGTTTTTAAGGAGCGACGAAAATTTGGCCCCTTAGGATGGAATATTCCCTACGAATTCAATTCTGCTGACTTTTCAGCCAGTGTTCAGTTTATTCAGAATCACCTTGATGAATGCGATATTAAGAAAGTGAGTGAAATTATGCCTTTTTTCCTGTTTTTATTGCTCTTCTTAAATCAGGGTTCTACAGTCATTTGAAGTCTATGATAAGGTGTGAATTTGCTGAGCCCCATGGAGCCCCCTTTGAAGGGACTTGTTGCTGTAATCAGGCACTTGCTGGGGCAGCCTGTCCCTGCCCCCAACACTCACATACCTCTGAAGCTAACTAACTCAGTGTGTTGCAAAATACCGCAGCCTTCCTCATGTTACACTCAGGGACCACAGTGCACTTCAAGAGAAGGTGTGCTTTAGGTCAAGCTTCTCCTCACTGGTCCTACTCCTGCCTCCTCAGAAGTGAAGATGGTATCTGCCTGCCCATGCGAAAGTTCTTTCTCACCTTAAGTCACTTCTTAACTGCTCAGCTTATGCATATGAATAACAATACTTTCTAGTAATGGTCATTCATCATCATATGACACTTTGCAGTTTTCAAAGTTCTCATGTGTGCAGGATCTCACTTTTATCTTCACAACCCTGTGAGATCAATAAAAAAGGCATTATTATTTATTTATTTATTACCCATTTTACTGATGAGGTAACAGACAGGAGAGACTAAGAGACTTCCTCAAGGTCACAGAGCTGAGAACGTAAAATCTGTTGTCCTTTCACACATATAAAGGGTTGGAAATTTGTTTTTTCTATAATCTTTGGCAAGTTAATGAGCCTTAAAGCCTGTTTCCTCATCTATAAAATGAACATTGTTTCTGTGAGGAACGAATGAGTTAGTATTTGTGAAAGCACAGTACACAGTACCTAATAAGAGCTCATTCAATATGACTCTCTGCAGTCTGGCCCCCTCTTCTTCCACAGAGTAGGGCTTCAAGGTAATTAGAGATTCTGAAGCTTCCGTAATGGGGTGGTAAGCCATGATGAGTGTTTACTCTAGTACCAAACCGTCATTTTTCCTTGAAATGACAAAGGGATATGAAATTAAAAGTAAGGCAGTCTGATGAAAAGTTATATTCTATGTGTTCATATTCTGTGGTCATTTATCATTTTGGTACATACAAATAATAGTTACCTTAAAATAGTTGCTTTGAAAGGCAACCAAGCTGAAAAATAAAATTTTAACCAAGAAAAAGTAAACAAAAAGCAAATATCCTTATTTCTCGTAACTCAAATGTATCAAGGGTTTAAAGAAACTGCTAAACTGCAATATATTGCTAGTATAAAATTGCTATAGAAATTAATAAATATTTTGATGTAGTTTTAGCACATAGAATGAGATGCAGAGGATGGCAGAGGATTGCATTGAGGAAAAATCTTGTGGATAAATAATTTTCTTGTTGTTCTCGTAATGATTCCAGAAAATACATTACTAAGAAAGCGTATTAAAGCAATGATTACTTGATTTTTCTCCTTTTTTCACTAAACACCACTTTCCTCCTCTGTAACAGCTTGGCATTACTACAATGAGTATTATAGGTAATTATATCCCCAGAGTGAAAATTAGTCTTTTTCCCTATTTTAAATAATATACGTGCAATATACTTACCAGTGTTTAGTATTGTAGATTTTTTCTTGGTGAACAAACTGTAGTGGTTCCAGCCATGTAATAGTGAAAGAGTTATTAATATAAGACGATGAATAATTTTAAATGTGAGTCTAGTGAGTGCTTCCTTTTCCAGACCTTTCCTCTAGGGAAAGACCCGAAATGTTTATAATGATGTGTTTGGGTTGACAATTAATAATCCTTTTTTACTTTTAATAAAGGGTGTATCATGGAATACGGTTCGGTACATGATCGGAGAAGTACAATATGGAGGCAGAGTGACAGATGACTTTGACAAACGTCTACTTAATTGCTTTGCCAGAGTAAGTCAATTTAGAAAAATAAAGTTTGGAGACACATTTCACTGTATTTTCCAATTTTTTTGTTTGTAATAGGTCTGCCAAACTCAAGCATACAGCAGAGCTGCTGCAAAGAATTAGCCAAGAAACAAATGCATGTGTGCGCTTACACACACGCACACACATGCACACACACACACACACACACACACAACAACCAGCAATTGGGCCAGGCATGGTGGCTCACGCCTGTAATCCCAGCACTTTGGGAGACTGAGGCGGGCGGATCACGAGGTCAGGAGTTCTAGACCAGCCTGGCCAATATGGTGAAACCCCGTATCTACTAAAAATACAAAAAGTAGCCGGGCGTGGTGGTGAGTTCCTGTAGTCCCAGCTACTTAGGAGGCTGAGGCAGAAGAATCACTTGAACCTGGGAGGCGGAGGTTGCAGTGAACCGGGATCGCACCACTGCACTCCAGCCTGGTGACAGAGTGAGACTCTGTCTCAAAAAAACAAAAACAAAAACAAAAACCAACCAACAATCTACTTGTGGTGCAGAGCAGAGCAGTGGTCAGTTCTCATTGCTCTATAACTCCTTTCCCATGTAGATGAAACTGCTTGTGCCCAGGGCCTCTCCCCCACTGCCCCTCCTCCATCTTCCGCATTCCTGTGCACCTCACTTGTGAGGAAAACACTGGCCATCATTTCTCTGCCTCTTTCTCTGAGTGAAAGTCTTATGGTGATTTCAAGCCCCAAAATAAGTGATTGGGGGATTAATCATAATTTGAGTTTTCTCATCTCTTCTATTAGGATAGACAATTGGAAATTGAGGAAGTGTTCACTTTTTCTCTGTGCCAAATAAAATCCACATATAACATGCTGATAAATATTTTCTAGAGAAAATTGTTTATTAGCAATTGTGGCTTTCACATCAAGGATGAATGTAATAAATAACACCTACCAGACTCAAACTCTTCTTAAAATGTTTTACATTTTAGGGAAGTAATATATAACACCTAAGTGAGAAAAAACCAGATGTCTTTTATGGTTATTAAATTCTTTATATTGGAACCTATACCGGTAATTCTCTACTTAAATGATTCTTTTTTCTTGACAAAATTAAAGCCTCAACAACAAAGCACAAGCTTTGGGAGTATTTTGATAAGCTGGGGGTTGACTAGAAAACGGATTTTTAACCTTTACTTGTTTTAGCAAGTTTTTCTTGAAGCTACATATGGAGAACTGTGAAAAATAATAAGTGTTGGTGAGAATGTGCGGAGGGAGGAGCCCTGCTGCTGGGAGGTCAAATGGACACAGACCTCCTGGAAAGCAGTCCAGTAATACTTACTGAAATTAGGTATCTCAGGTAGACATATCTCAGAACATTTCTAGAAAGAGTCCACAAATGGACATGTACAAAAATATTCATGGCAACATTGTGTGTGGAGCTGAAGGCAAGCATCATAGATGGTTTTCCTGGAAGCAGAGGTGGAGATTTGCATTCAAGTGCCTCCTCCCCAGCCTTCCTGCAAGACATGACCTTGGCTGAAGCAGCTGCCTCCTGCTAGGGCAGTTCCTGGGGAGGGACAATGCTGTGAGTCCACAGTAGCCAACACTCCAGACAGCGGTGGGGAGTGAGTACCTGCTCCTGAAAGAGGATCGAGTGGCACATCATAGCATCCACTACAAAAACCTAAGACTCCTAAGAGAATAGATAAGATGTGGTGGGTGAGCACCATGGCATACTATTGCTCACCCTTGTGGGGTGCAACCTGTTAGTCATAGTCATATCAAGTGTGTGATACGACTACCTTCTGAACCAGAATCCTGCTCCTGAGTATATGTCCCAGAGAAATTCTCAGAATGTACCAAATAGATTATTCATAGCATTGTTGGTGGTAGTGGGAAGTTGAAGGCAACTTAGGAATCCATCATGGGGAAATAGTTAAGTTACCTGTTGTAGAGGCCTATGGTGGCATATAATGCAGCACTTAGAAGCAATGATCTATACGACATCATGCATAGGTCTTACAAACAGTGTTGAGTGCAGAGCTTTAAAAAAAAGTAAAGTGAGATCTATAAAGGAATATATGCATAGTTCACAAGGATAAATACATGTTCTAGGACATATATCAAGTACACTTAAATAGATGCCCTCAGAGGGAAAAGGAGACAGTGAATGGATATCAGGGCAGAATGGGGAAAAATTAAAATAAAAGGGGCCTAGATTCATAAAAATAATAAACTCGGGAGTGTGAGAAACTGACCTCTGTATTTGAGATTCAAAGGAGAAAAAAAAAGATGTCTTAATAAGTATACTTTGTTAGAATAATTGTAAAAGTATCTAAAATTGGAGTTTTAGCAGCAGAGACTAAGATGTGGTTAGCTTCAGAATATAATTCACCAAGAGTAACAGCAGAATGCTGATGGGATCAAGTGCGTGGGTGAAAGAAGAGGGGAGTCAAGGTCATCCCTAGTTTTGACTTAAGCCACTGGACACAGAATGGGGCTATTTACAGACAAGAGGAAGGGCTGCAGCAGGGAAGAGTTTTATTGGCTGGGGCTGGAAATTAAGAGTTTGGTTTTGATCATATAACATTTGAGATGTCTATTAGACATCCAAATCAAGTTGTCTCAGACTGTAACTGCCATGAGGGCAGGGACTTTGTCTTATTACATCAGTGCCAAACTCTGAGCACCAGAAACAGAGCCCAACACATCTAAGTGCTCAGTAAATATTTGTTGAATAGAAGAACGAATGCATGAATGCAGGTGAACAAGGCACCTGGATGTACAGATCCGGAGGTCATGGTGGAGCTCAGGCATGGAGATAAGGATCTGGAATTCTTCAGCATGTAGACAGTGGCAACGGAAAGCTGCTGTGTTGGTCCAGAGCCTCCAGGGAGATGTCTGAGCCGGGAGCACACGGAGGGGGAGGAAGAAGTGTCGCTGTCTCAGCCTGCTCCACCTTCAAGAGCTCAAGCAGGGGGATTCCCCTCTCTGACCCCTCTCCTGCCTTTCTTCCTCTTCTACTTCTTCCCTGTACCCTGACATTTGGCATTTTGGGCCACAGAGGACTAGTGAGCTGACTTCAACCCTCTCCTAGAAACCCAAGATTCTCTGTCCTCTGGGCCTGGGATGTGCAGACTTCCTGATCTAAAAGCACAGGGTTCCATATCCAGGCCCCAGTTCATTGGCTGTTCCCAAGTAACAGCAGCTCCCTCCTCACCTGAGTTATTTTACTCCCTTCTATCATCTGATTCTGGTTTCTCTGGACTCCATTCTCAGCAATTAGTGCCTTAAGTCAAAAGTTCATCTTACTATTTTCCCATTCATTTGCCCCTGAGTGGCTTCTGTGGGCTCATTCCCTCCCCCTCTCTCAGGACTTCCCTAAGAGTGGCACAACCTTCAGTGGCTTCAATTCTCTGACTGTTGGCCACCCCACTTCCTTATCCTACTGAATCTTCTCTTTGCCCTACATCCTCTCCAACCTCCTGTCTTGTTGCTTTCCCTCATTCATTTCTCTGTCTAGCTTGGACCTGTTTCAGATGGTCATCAATAACCAGAGGTGAGTTTGGGTCTCTGGCCCTAAGGGCATGAGCTTACCACATGAACCTGGCAGCAGCAACCCTCTTGAGAAAGGCTGCACAAAAGCCTCACAGCCCCCACACCCTGCCTTCACCTGTTTGATCTCATCCTCAGCCCCAGGCTTGCCTTCTGACCAGCCACCTGCCTGCACTACCTCCACTTTACCCTAACCATGTCATCCAGAGTTGCCCATGGGAGAAGCAGCTCCACTGTAAACTCACGCCTGCACATGGCATCCTCTGTCCCTCTGACTTTCAATCTCGGGCTTGTCTTTGAACCTTGTTTTCTCTGTTCTCAGCATCTTACAGAGTCTCTCTGCTAAAAGCGATTGCAGAACTGTATTGGATGTTCATGGGGTATGACCGCTCACAAAGTAGCTCCATGTAGATTTCATATTTCATATTTTGACTTTGCCCCCAAATAGCCTCCAAATTTGGTGAAACTCAGCTATTTGTATGTGTATAAAGTGCTGGGAAAATAGTAAGAAACTTCATTTTGGTCTTATACATACATGTCATCTGACAACACAGAATTCAGTGTGGTTATTTGTTATCTGTGTGCTGAGGACCCAGGGCCTTTGCCCCCTTAGGGTGTCTTCCTGCAATTTAAGTCATCCACGTCGTGAAAAATCTAATATTTCTAAGTAATGACCATGCTCATAACACTATTCTCTTTAATAACTTTCAACTACTCTCCATTTCTTGAATTAATCACCAGTCCTCACCCTGACATCAATAGTCATCCATGATATGACCTCACCTCACTTTTCCTGTCCTATCTCTTATGACTACATTGTGTCCACCCTATATTCCATTATTCCCTTAACCTGCTTCTCATTTTTGCATCAGTTCTATAACTTTGCTTATGTGGCCTCCCCATTCCAAGTTCTCCGGTCAAACTCCTCTCCTTCAAGGCTTAGCTCCAAAAATCACCTCCTTGAGAAGACCTCAGCTGACATCCACCTGGATGTTTTTTGTTCCTGCTTTAAACCTCTTTAGTACTTTGCTTATTTTTATTTCCTTCTGACTCTTGCCTTAGTGCACTTTGTATTGTGGTTATTAAGTAATTGGCTCATCCCTCCGCTGGGTCACAAGCTCCTTGAAAGAAAGGACTGTGTGTCTCTTATCTTTGCATTCTGTTCTGGTTCTAAACTCAGCCTGCTCATGCATAGGAGTTGAATAGGATAAAACAGAGAGAATCAGTACACAGGGTATTTCAGAGCAATCACTGGATCTAAAAAGAGCTGGAGGAAGGAGATGGAGGGAAGGTACTAGAGAACGTGTGACCAACCAGAGGAAGGCACCGTCCCTCTTTCCTGTCAAGTGCTCCGAGTAATTCAGACGTCGTGCCTGCATTTCCACTCTTCCTGTCTTCCCATTATTTCCTTCCCCACTGGGAAAATTGCTGTGAGACGTAAGTCATTGCCTCAAATCTGGCTCATAGGCATTTAGCATCATTTTTTTTTCCTTTCTGAGAATAAGTCTATTCACACCAACTATATATTTGTTCTCTCACTGTTTTGTTAAAGATAATTCATATGGAATAAGAAAGGGATGTCTTAAGGCAAACAGCAAGGCAGCTGAATACATTTACTTCATGTGGACAGGGACATAATTAGCAAAGGAAGCTCTTCAACTCAAGGTGGGAGGGGAGAGTTTGCATGGAGCTCTCCTGGCCGTGTGCTGGGGCTCATTGCTGTGTGAGTGAAACTGCGCACAAGCACATCCTTCTGGTATGAGCCCCATGTCGGGGAGAAGTGGGGTGATGAAAATGCCCAGATATTCTCTTGTGTGTGGGAGTATGGCCTCACAGACTTTGCAGTATGTTCCTATTCCTAAAATGGAATTGAGGGTTGTCAAATGACTCAATCAGAGAATGGGCATGTAGAGTTGCTCTCTTCCTTACTCTTGGTGAATATCTTCTTTGGTGTTAAATGGAGGCCAGGTCAAATTGTGTTCTGGACTCTCTCTTTTCTCCATATATGTGGTAATTATTCTATCAGTAGTATTGTTAAAGCATTCTCAAAATCAATATTAAAAACTCTGTTAAAATGGAAATAAGGTGGCCCCTCTCCTTTCTTGTAGCAGTTTTCATTTAGATGCTCATCAATTTTATTTCTTTTGTTTTCTCTCACATACAGGTCTGGTTCAGTGAGAAGATGTTTGAACCGTCATTCTGCTTTTATACTGGATATAAAATCCCCTTATGCAAAACCTTAGACCAGTATTTTGAATACATCCAGTCACTGCCATCCCTAGATAACCCTGAAGTCTTTGGGCTTCACCCTAATGCTGATATCACGTAAGTCCCTGGCATTTTTTAATTTGAAGGGGTCATTTGTAACTCAGTCTGGCAAAGATGGTGCATTTCATTTTCTCTCCTAATCTCTCTCCTTTCCCCCTTTTTTTATTTTACTGTGAAAAATAGTGTCGCTTCCTGTCTCCCAATTACAACTTTGTCATATCTTGGCCTGCTCTCCTCTCACTAAATCCTGATGCTCCAGTGTTTATGACAACGTTAAGCTCTAATTTATGCATTGATTATTTCTTCTCTGTCATGTCATAAAACGAGTTGGTGTTAGTGGTAGCAGTGCTCTCCGCCGGCAGAAGAGTGGTCTGCCAGCTCCTCATCTCTTTCTTCAAAAATTCATTAAGAATATAATGCTCATAAATAGAATCTAAAAAGCCAGGTGAGAACAGATGGGAGGGTGAAGAATCGTATTTCTGCCTGGTCCTCTCTTTCATGGCCCCTCTCCCTCACTTGCTCATCTGCATCCTTTTGTCATGCACTGCCTGTGGTGGGTGCAGTGCGGTGAGCACTTGAGTACCCGACACAGATGCACAGCCCCGGGAGGAAAGAGTGGAGGGGCTCAGCTTTGCGTGAGGTCCCTGCTCCACTCATCACCTAGAGAAGAAATGCTCCCCAGTTCCAAGCCCCTTGGCATGAGGTGTCACCCCTTCTCTCTTTAGGATCCCTACCAAACCCAAGCACCTGAACTGGAATCCTTTGGAATGGACCGCATGTCCTCTGCAGCCCCCTGATGAAAAGTCACAAGGTTTACATTCAGGAAAATGGTTTCAGGAAGTGGAAGAAACCAAGACTCCTCTGGCAGATTCTAAGTTGAGAATGCCCTAAGAGTGGGGCATTCCTCTCTCCTAGTCCCTGGCCTACTGTTGTAATTTTAATAATTCTCTGGGTTTGGACATGGACATTTCCCTGGCCTTGCCAGATGTCCCAGGAGTCCCAGTTTGCTGCCAATTTCCTTGTCTTCCCGCCTCTGACCACCCTCCTAGCTCCCTGCATGAGGATGCACTTTTGGCCTCTTTACACCCACCTTGATTCCACCTTCTTCATATCCTCTCATCTCGCCCAGGCTGCTTTTCATCTTCAAAGATGCGGACATGATTGAAAATACCTACAAATGCCAATGCTTCATTCCACCCCCATGATGGAACCACGAAGGTTCGTTAGTGGCAGCTCTTGCTGTTATCTAAGGAGGCTTTCATAAGTTATCTGGGGATGGGAAAGAAGTGAAGAAATAAAAAGGATTCCTCAGGGATTGGATTGACAATCAACTCTTAACGTTTTATGAAAGAGGAGCATAGGAAAGTAGTTTTGCTTTAGCTGAGACTTTAAAAATGTGAGTCAGACCACATCAACCCCTGCTCAGAATCCTCCCAAGGTTCCCGTGACACTCTGAGACAAGGTCAAAGACCGACAGTGACCTACATACAGATGACCTACAAAGTCAAATAGTGCCACTGCCCTCTACCTCCCCACCCTGGCTCTTTCAGTCCTCTCCCACCTTCGTGCCCACTCAGCTCCTGTTACTCAGGCCAGACAGCTTCCTGTTACTCAGACAGGCCAGACAGCACCTGCCACAGGATACTTGCACTCCCTGGAACCTCCCTCCTCCTAGATATCACAGTGGCTCACTTTTACCTCTTCTAGTCTTTGCTTAGATGTAGCCTTTTCAATGATGCCTTCCCTGGCTGTGCTATTTAAAGATTGCAACCCACTCCCCAAACCCTGCCCAAGACCTTGTCCTCCTGACCTGCTCTTCTCTATAGTTTGTATCACCCACTGACATACTCTACACTTTTTTTTTTTTGCCACGGAATTTCGCTCTTGTTGCCCAGGCTGGAGTGCAATGGCACGATCTTGGCTCACCACAATCTCCGCCTCTCAGGTTCAAGCGATTCTCCTGCCTCAGCCTCCCGAGTAGCTGAGATTACAGGCATGCACCACCACGCCTGGCTAATTTTTGTATTTTTTAGTAGAGACAGGGTTTCTCCATATTGGTCAGGCTGGTCTCAAACTCCCTAGCCTCAGGTGATCCGCCCACCTCGGCCTCCCAAAGTGTTGGGATTACAGGTGTGAGCCACCGCACCCAGCCTCATACTTTACACTTTAATTACTGATTTGTTATTGTCCAACAACCACCACTAAACCATAAGTTCCACTACACCTGAAACTTTTGTGTGTGTTTTCACTGCTGCATCCCTTGTGCTATAGCAGTGCCTGGGGCTCAGGAAGTATTTGTTGACTGATCAGTGCTGCTAAATTCTTCTAGAGTGTGAAGGATGTGATCAATGAGGAGATTCCATAGAAAGATCCCACAAGTTCACGTGAGTGGACAGAGAAAGAACTGATAAGTCTTAATGCACTTGCAAATTTGTGACTGAAAATGTTCTCATATGAGGGCTCTGAACTTTAATTCCATCCTTGACAAGAGACTGGGGAGTCACGAGAGCTGGTTCCTGGATAATCCACAGGATCCCAACAAGATGAAACCATTTCACCCTCACCCAGGGTGATGGTGCACCTAGGCCTTGTTCACTGCAGGCTGTTTCACTCACCAGCTCTCAAGAAAGATGAAACAGGGCTAGAAAAGGTCCAGAGAAGTACAACGCAAATGTAAAAGCAATTGGAGACAAAGACAAAGACAAACCATTTTTTCCTTGACTTTTTATTTGGAATGATTACAAACTCTCAGAAAAGTTGCACATACAGTAAACATTCATACGCTCCATCGAGATCCAACAATTGTTCATGTTTTGATCCATTTGCTTTTTCTCCTTCTATATTTATATCTCTGTATGCTTATGTATCTACAGCTATATCTATGTATAATCACATATATTTCTCTGTGTGTGTGTTTGTGTGCCCTCTCAGTGGATAGAGCTAGGAAGCATGTACTTTTAAAAACATCATGAGTTAATACAAATAACTCCAATTCCAGTTGTATACCTCAGGGTTGTTCTTTGTCTTCCCCCATTCCATATTGATATCTCCTTTCTCCCACCGTAAAAACTCTGGTTCCCAGCAACTTCAATATGTGTATTCATTTACTTGCAATTACTATGCCAATACCACTACCAGCAACAAACCTATTAAGTAGAGGTCAAGATTTCTTTGCAGTTCTTTTTGTCCTTAGGATATATTCCACTAGGTATAAAGAGTACTGTGTTCAAAGGTCACTTGGATTAATGATTTTTTTTTCTGTGTGGTTATGCTATCAACTGATATATAGTTATGTTTATTTGTTTCTGTTTGTATTACATTTAAGGGTTTTTTTCCCCCACATATGCTATTGTTTTGAATATGTAAAATATGAACATGGTTCAAAAGTTACAACTTTAAGTTGTTCTTAGAGAAGTCTCAGACCCTTTCAACCCATTTCCCTCTTCTTTTATGGGTAAACAAACACAGTTTCTGGTTTATCTTCTCTGTGTTTCTTTTTGCATGTACATACATATATACATATTGTTATTACCCTTTCTTATACAAAGTTGCCAAACTATATCTATTGTGTTGTGTCTTGCTTTTTTCTCTTAACAATGTATCCTGTAAATCACTTCATATCAGGTCATTATTATCTTCCTCATATTTTTTTTTACAGCTGCATGCTGCTCCATTGTTTATATGGATCATAGTTGTTCAACCATTTGCCTATGTATGGGCATTTAGGTTGCTTCCAATATTTTCCTATCTCAAATAATTCTTCCATTAATAACTTTATGCTTGTGGACTCTCATATTATTAGAGATGTATTTTCAGGGTAAATTGTTATGGGTGGGATTGCTAGATCAAGATTTAGCGAATATTGTCAAATTCCCTTACATAGGGTTATACTGTTTTGTACTTTTACTTGCAGTCTGTGAGTGCCCATTTTTTCAGAATCTCATCAACAGAGCGCTGGTGAGGCATTTGAACCTTCACCAATATGACAGTGAGAAATGTTATCTCAGCATAGTTTTAGTTCACTTCTCTTATTTTGAGTGAAATTGAGAAAATTTTCATATACTTAAGGGCTATTTATATATAGTCTGTCCATTCCTTTCCAATGGAGTTTTTATTCTTTTTATTTAATTTTAGGACTTATTTATATGTTAGGGATAACAACCCTTTGTTTGTGATGTGGATTGCAAATATTTTTCTCAGCTTATTTAGCGTTGCTTGTGATTTTCCCCCATTGATCAGGTAGAAGTGTTATTGTCGTTTCGTTTTATTTTTATGCAGTCAAATTTATGACTACATAAATTCTGTTCTTGCTGTTGTTACATCTGGATTTTTAGTAATAGTAAGAAAGCTTCTTCCCTCATCAGGGTATAAAGGAATCATCTACATTTTTTTTTTTTTTAGTGCTTGTATGGTTTCACGTTTTTACATTTAGTTCTTTTATCCATTAGGAATTTACCTATTAGGTATAAGTATGGATGAAATTCTTTTTCAGAATAGCAATCCAGTTATCCTATCACCAGTGACTTTTTTTTTCTTTTTTTTTTTTTTTTGAGCCGGAGTCATGCTCTGTTGCCCAGGCTGGAGTGCTGTGGCATGATCTCGGCTCACTGCAACCACCTCCTGGGTTCAAGTGATTCTCCTGCCTCAGCCTCCTGAGTAGATGGGATTACAGGTACATGCCACCATGCCTGGCAAATTTTTGTATTTTAGTAGGGAAGGGGTTTCACCATGTTGACCAGGCTGGTCTTGAGCTCTTGACCACACGTGATCCGCCAGCCTTGGCCTCCTGCTTCCTTTAACATAGAATTTCCTTCCATAGGTACTCGGGTCCATTTCTGGGCTTTCTATTCTGTTTTCCTTTCTATTTTGTAGCAGTCTGTTTTAAGTTTAGCTAGTCTCCAGTATGTTTTATTATCTGATAGTTATAGTCTCCCCTCATTGCTCTTTTTTTTTTTTTCTGAGCTTGTCCTAGCTATTGTTGCATGTGTGTTTCTCTATTGTTGTCAGAAATTGGTGTTGAATTTTGTTGAATACCTTTCAACATTTATGGAAAGAATCACATGATTTTCCCCTAAACACCTAAAAAGTTAGTGAATTATATTAATGGATTTCCTAACTCAAATTTTCTACAGATAATCTGAAATTAATACCACTGGGTTCGGAGGTATTATTCTCCTAAGGTAGTGATATACTCTATTAATGGTTCATTGGGGAATTTTGCATTGATATTCATAAATAAGAATGGCCTGGAGTTTTTTGTGGCATCTTTATCAGGTTTAATTACTAATCAATGTTATATTTGCTTTGTAAAAATGTGGAAGTTTTTCTAAGCTCTGGAACAATTTATGTAGTATTGGATGCTTTAAAGTTTGGTAGAATTCTCCTGTGAAACCATCTGGGCTCAGTGCTAGTTCTTTGATATCTTTCGTATTTCTCTGTCACCACTGCAGTCAATATTTTGTCAGTTGTGTTCTCCTAGGAAATTATTTGTTTCATCTAGGTTTTCGTATTTATTTTCACAAAGACATGCAAACTAGTCTTTAATCTGGTCTAATAAGCTGGACTCAGTACAATGTGGTAAAGAATGAAATCACTTCTTCCTTACCCTATACTGAGTCCAACCCATTCAATAAAATTGTTACAGAAGTGTGGACATAACACTAGCTCTGTAGACCTTGGTCTGAAATCTGATGACAACTTGAAGCCACTCTCGTGCCTCTCCTAAAGGAATGTACTAGCCTTCTTAATATAATCTATCGAGGCAGCTCTGTTCAACCACTTCACTATGGTGTTGCCAACACATCCCAGAGAAACCACTGAGAAACAGTGGTTATACTGTTATATGGTGGTTATACTTACTTAATACTAAGAAGGAACTTAGTATTGACACAGATGAACACTTCACCAGAGCCAGAGGCTCCTCTTCACAGGGTTCTCCTGCTGTCCGGCTTAGCAGGTTCTCAGTCCTCAGTGGCAAAATCACACTGTGACAGAGTAACAAAATTTGTTGCAAAATGCAAAAGGCTGCAAAGCATGACTTTAATAGCATCACCCTTCAGTGTATGGTCCAGGTAGCAGTGTGATCTAGTATCTCTCATGCTTTAAAGAGCCTTCCCTTCCCTTCACATGCCTATAAATCTATGGCCTATGTTCTACTCACATTTTAACCTCTTTTATAGTCATGTCCACCTTCCCTCCTGAGTAGAGCTCATCTATGCCAATGGCCTTTAAAACATCAATATGCCACATATATGTTGTCTAGACCTTTCCTCTGTGCTCCACAGTCATTTATACAATTTCTATGTGACATCCACTGGCATGTCTTTCAGACAGCTTGACCTTTAAAAGCCCCAAACTGAATCTCCTCCATCTACTTCTCCTCCATCTAAATGGCTTCCTACAGCAGTTAGAATAAAAGACAAGCTCTCTGCCATGTGACAAGGCTCATCTAGAGCACCCATGATGACTAATCGACACCTCGGGTACCCTGTGGGTAAGTCCAGGTGTGTGAGGATGCAGGCCTAGAATAGGGATGATCATGGGGTGGAGTGAAGCTGCAGGACAGGTCTCAAGGGGGGACTGATAGGACTTAGCGAATGCAGAGCAATGGCTGAGAACCTTCTTCTGTAGCTGTTAATCTGTTTCTTGCTGCAAACTGGTGTGTTAGAGAGGACACGGTGAGCCTTCTGTGTTTTGTCAAGTCTCTCTTCACAGCTTTGTCCAGAAGCCCACATGGTGTTGCTGGCATGCATGCTGTAGGATGCCGTAAGCGAGCTTCTCCCAAAATAGTGTCAGGATCTTGCAACCTTTCACCACACTAGTGAGGTCAGGTAGAAGGCCCTGGACCCCTGCCTAAAATGGGGGAGTATATCCACTAGAGCAACTGGCAGGCCTGTAAGACCTTCGTCCTCCTCTGTTCTCTCTTCATCCTTAACTTCCCATATGGTCTGCCTTGGGGTCTCTCTCACCCACCCCTGATCCCCTTTCCCCAGCATGTCTTAGCCCATTTCTGGTTCCTGCTCAGGTGGTTGGCTCTGTTCTGCAGCTCTGTGTTTGGTAATTTTTTTGGTCTCTGAGTACCTAGGTTTGATTCTTCTTTCCTCTGGCTCTGAAATATCTGGTGGATGGAATCCTGGCAAGTGAGCTTGCCTTCTTCAAGGACTTCTCTACGCCCCTTGCTGTTCCCCCACCGGCCACCAGGAAGCAGTAAGCAATAACAGATGAAGCATCCCAGCTGAAACCCACCTCTGGTCCTCACCCAGCTCCAGCAAGATGTAACTCTCCAAGTTCTGAGTGAAATGAAAGAAGGGGTCAAAGATGCCCTGACATTGCTTGTCTGGGAGCTGGGGTAGTGGAGGAGTTGGGAACAGGAGTATGTTGGAGGAGAAGTTACAGAGTTCTGTTGGGGGCATGTTGAGCTGGGAAAGAACATGGGATATAAATGAATGGGGTGAGAAATATGGACTGGAGCCCAGGTGAAAGATTTGAATGCATGTGTGCAGAGATAACAGCTTCAGCCATGAGAGAAGACTCTCTAAGATATGCTGGCTAAGTCTGTGTGAATGTCCCCAGCCAGAGGAATCATTAATTTATCTGACCATCCATGGTGTTCAACAGCATTCTTGCTTCTTTTTGTTTGTTTGTTGTTTTTTGTTTTGTTTTGAGATAGTCTTACCCTGTTGCCCAAGCTGGAGTGCAGTGGTGCGATCTCAGCTCACTGCAACCTCCGCCTCCCAGGCTCAAGCGGTTCTCATGTCTCAGCCTCCCGAATAGCTGGAACTACAGGCATGTGCCACCAGGCCCGGCTAATATTTGTATTTTTAGTAGAGACAGGGTTTCACCATGTTGGCCAGGCTGGTCTCGAACTCCTGACCTCAAGTGATCCACCCACCTTGGCTTTCCAAAATGCTGGGATTATAGGCATGAGCCACGGTGCCCAGCCATCACTTGATGATAGGCTATAATTGGGCCATGATGGAGAACTCGATGCCCCCTGTTTATTGGAATCTTCACTCTGAAGTTAGCATCCATAAATTTGAGAGAAGAGGGAGATTTGGGCAGGGCGAATCACAAGTCTCTCTCCTCAGTCCTTGCATAAGAATGCAGAATCTCTGAAGTGGAGGGGGAAATCAAGGTGAATAAATGCTTTAAAATAAGTAAAATCTCTCTCAAGAGTTTAGATAGCATAGTGATAAGAACCATGAAAATACACAGTTTATTCACATTTTATTATGTAGATTTATAAGGTACCAAAGACTCTGCAAATTCAACTCTTTCAATGTCAAAAATGGTTGCTTATTTTCACTCTTTTTCTCATCAGTGGTTATGCATGTTTCTTTACTTTCTGAAATTTATCAAATGCCTTATTACAACCTTTATATTCATTTCAATGCAATACAAATTGAAATGTATTCCCTTGAGTATTTGAGGACACTTTTGAGATTTAGATTTTTTGAAAAATTTATGCTCATTGATATTTCATGTGCAAAGACGTATGTAAATCTAGACTGATTTGGATATTATGGTGCACTAATATCTCATTAGGTAGTTGTTTATTTCATAGACAGCTCTGTTTTTCAGTTGTTTTGCATTTCTATTATCCATGACCCTGACTTCCCAGAACCACCAAGCTACAAGGGCAATCTGAGCTTCTTCCCATATTTACTCTAAAGAGAAATTTTCTTCAAGAAATAACTTAGAACCAACCCTCAAGGAATATTATAGCTCTTGTTCTTCATCTCAGAGCATTTATGAGGACTGTTCTCCTGAAAGCCCTTGGGCTTTTGTGGCATATAGAGAGATTTGCAATTCTCTGTTATAGCTAGCTAACTAGGCTTCTGCCTTTCATATCTTTGCAAACATAAAATCACATTGTGGAAAAAGAAATGTGAGTTGTTCAGCCCTGGAATACCAGGGAATGACATTCTGTGCATAGTAAAATGTGTGTTGGGGAGAGCTTGGCTAGCTCTTATTCACAGTGGATCAGCTTTTCAAGGCTTCTTCCCAACATCTATGTTTTGAGGCCCGTGTTCAGATCATCTCATAAAAAATTAAATCACTCATCATGAAAGTGATTTATTAGGTGGGATCTAGCAGCAGCAGCATCTCCATCAGCCTCTCCTTGGAGCACCAGTGAACTTGGCCAGAGTCAGCAGAGAGCAAAATGGTCATCTCTGCAATGGTGTGCACTGTTGGGACCTAGCCCCTGGTGCTGAGCACACTTCCACGGAGGGCTCAAGCTGAAGGTGACTGAGAGAGCACCTGAGAATTTGGATATGGGGGCTGTTTTTTTTTTTTTGTAGCTAGAACAGGTAGGAATCATGAACTCTGCTTTTCTTAGCATGAATGGAAATTTACTGTGGTTTTCTTGTCTTTAATCATTAAAGATCTGCATTGATAAAATAATAAGAAGAATAGTTTTACTTCACTCTCAAATTATATCTTTCTGATTCTCCTGTGTTTTGAGGACTATTTATATATGGCACAAAAGGCATTTGCAACCCATTCCTGAATTTTGAAGTAGGGCATGATCACAGTTTTTAAAAGTCATATAAAGTATAAGAAAAATACAAGTAACTCTGAGAGGGGGAATCCTGTGAAAATATCCTATGAAAACAAATGAACTTATCAATTGTCAAAGACTCAAGAAGAGATAGATAGAAAGATAGATATTTCTAATATCTATAGATGTATTTATTATTATATTGTATTGTCATATTATATAATAGATATATAATAATTAGAAATGAATGTTCCTAATTCATTATTAGAAATGAATACAAAAGTTGTAATAAGGCATTTATACACACACACACACAAACACACACACACACATTCATTGAAAGGTGCCAGGAAATAAAAAAACAATAATAACAATATACTATGTTTTTACCATAAGAAGGAATAAGTAAATTTTCATGTCCTTTAAATATTGAAGAATTGCTGTCCTTTGTATTTGAGGTTTAATAAAATGCAAGCCAATTGGCCTCAATTCAACAAACAAACATTTGTTGAGAACTTACTGTCTGGCTAACCTGGGGATACAAAGATGAGTAAGATGCAGTCCGTGCTCTTGGAGCGCATCATCTGTTGGGGAAGATGATGAATGGCAAATGCTGATGAGGTACAATATGGTAAACTCTAAAATCAGGGTATGTATACATTGCTATGATAACACAGGTGGAGGAGCAATCAATTCCAATTTAGGGATCAAAGAAAGCTAGTGAGACAGGCTCCATTTAAGTTGTGCCTTAAAGCAGGGGTCCACTACCCCTGGGCCACAAGCCAATACCAGTCCGTGGCCTGTTAAAACTGGGCCACACAGCAGGAGGTGAGCAGCAGGTGAGGGAGCACTACCGCCTGAGCTCTGCTTCCCGTCAGATCAGTGGCGGCATTAGATTCTCATAGGAGCGAGAACCCTACCGTGAACTGCGCATGCCAGGGACCTAGGTTACACACTCCTTATGAGAATTTAATGCCTGATGATCTGTCACTGTCTTCCATCACCCCCAGATGGGACCGTCTAGTTTCAGGAAAACAAGCTCAGGGCTCCCACAGATTTTACATGATGGTGAGTTGTATAATTACTTCATTATATATTACAATGTAATAATAGTGGAAATAAAGTGCCCAATAAAAGTAATGTGTTTGAATCATCCCGAAACTTTTCCGCCGCCTCCCCTCCAGTCTATGGAAAAATGTCTTCCACAAAACCAGTCCCTGGTGCCAAAAAGGTTGGGAACCGCTGTCTTAAAGGATGTGCAGGAGTTTCTCAGATTGGAGATGAGGTGGGAAGGAAGTGACTGCAGGACTGGGGTCAAGGACAGAGTACAAAGAAGAGGAACATAATGAGCGGTAAGGACCAAGAACTTAGACTGGGATGCACACACCAAGGAACAATCCAAGGAAGGGAATGCAAACATGAATGTGTGTGGGGAGTTCTGGGAACCAGGTCCAGTATGCCTAAAGCATGAGGGAGGGGGGTGCTTAAAGAGCGGAGTGGCCGATGCAGAGTGTGGCTTTTGAAGGTTTTGCCAAAAGAGTTTGGGGCAATATTTTAAATTGGAATACGGTTATTTAATCATTTATTTAAATCTACTTAACCTACTCTACCTTCTACATGGCCATTTCTGCTTGCATGAGTTGATGGGAATTAGCATTTTGCATACAGAGATTTAAGCCTTTTCCTGCCATCACATAATTCAGGCTGAAGTTGGAATGAAGATAAACAAGCATGTCATCATGTACAGAATGACAAGTACAACAATAAAAGCAAGCACTGAGAGCTATGCGCACACATAGGGAGAAAGTCTAGGGAAGGCTGTCTAGAGGTGAAGACATCTAAGCTGAGCTTAATATTAATAGCTAGTTAGGAATGAGCTATAATCGATGAAAAAATGAGGGCAGAGCATTCCAGGCTGTGGAGGTAACTTGGGAACAGTCAAAGAAATATGAGGGGAGTCATGGAATGCTTGATGAGCTTCAGGTAACTCACAGCACAGGGTAGAGTGTGGGAAGAAGAAAGAAGGAAGCAAGAGCAGAAGCTGGAGATAGAAAAAGGCTTAGTGATGAAAAAGGTTTGTATGCCATGTGAAAGACTTCAGATTTTATCCTGAAGGTTATGGGGAGTCTTCGAATACATTTAATAATCACTTTTCAAATGTCAAAACTTACCTTGGAACAGTGGTTGGAGGCAGGAGGATGTGTTAGGAGGTGATGGCAGTGCCGCACACAGAGGATGATCAGGAAGTTAGGGGGCAGAACTGAAGGCAGTGGGGATGACGGTGGGTCACGGGGAGGGGATGCTGGAAATGATTTGGAACTAGAGCTTGGAAACTAAGAAGGTCTGGGGAGCCACAGCAAGGAGGAAGCCATCTCTGAGGGTTCTCAGTTGGGCAACTGGGCAGACATTGATGTCACTAAAGTAGATGGGGCAAGGAGCAGTCCAGGAGAGGGATAAGGGAGAACTAAAATAATAAGGTTTTGGATTTGTTTGGTACAGGAAACAAAGAGCTCTGGGGCTCCAGGGAAATGTGGATGCACAGAGTTCATGATAAAGTCAGAGGTTCAATGTTACCCAGGCTTACCTGGTGTTTCGTGGCTCTCTGTAAGATGTCAGCCATGGTGACACCCCTCTGTCTTCCCTAACATAGCAGTTCATCCACATATTCTATCTGTAGTGTACCTAATGCTAGAGAGAGCTCATGGAGTAATATGAATCACATACAAATTTAAATTTCTGAAAATGTATATAGTAACATGTGGATCCTTGACTTTTGTTGACTTCATTTTGTTGTCTCATCAGCTATTTTCATTGAACTTTCTTCTCAGACTTATTTGTATTTTTCTTATACGGTACTTTATATGACTTTTTAAAACTGGGGTTGTGCCATATTTCAAAATGTCGGAATGGGTCTCAAATGCCTTTTGTGTCATTTTACTAGAATATTGTGTTCTCTGTTCATGTATTCAACTGCATGCATGTTTCAACTTTTAAGATAAGTGTCTTTTGGGATATTCCAAATCCCCAACATCTGAATAGAGGTTGCTCACAGAAATAGTAAAAGAATTTTAAGTTATATCTAAAATATACTATACAGTCAATTTTTGTTCATTAAAAATCAGGTTTTACTTCATTGATCCTTACTGGGAAAGTCATGTATTTAAAGGTAATATGAAGCTAATATTCCAACTCTGGATGGAGTTACAAACACTTGCTAGATCTGATACTAGGACCCTCGTATCACTGTATCTGACTGAAAGTTCTGTATGTGAAGCATGACACCTTATGCATTTATCATGGCATGACTTTTGGAAAGGATGCAGATAGTTCGGGTATGCATGTTTGGGTCCAGATGTGGCATTCTAGCTGCTAATCAAATAAAAATGCTGAAGACAGAGCATCTCCTCCATTCTTCAGCTTTATTCCTAAATGAATCCAAAGGCTGCTATATAGGATTTCCTCTACTCCCCACCACACGCAGCTTTTTCATAAGCAAAGAAGCCTGGTTAACTTTCCCAGCAGCCTCTTAGGATTCTGCCAATTCGTGTGGCAAATTTCACAAAAGGCTGTGGAACTGACACCAGGGAAGGAGGAGAGAAAAGGATGCAATTCTCTCTTTCCATACACTGCAGAGAAAAGGCAGAAGGGGGCGCTTTCTGGTGGGGCATAAAGAGTAAGGGTTTGTAAGATGCATCTCAGTGAACCTGAAATATTTGTCCCTGATTTATCTCTGTTAACTTCTTGACAACTGTGATGGGCTTTGCCTTATGGGGATTTATTTTTCTCTGTTTTTCAAACTGAAAATGATTTTTAATATTCTTTATTCTAAAAGTCCTACATTCTTATTGAGAAGCATAAACAATAGAGAAAAATAAACAGCAAAAAGAAACTAATAATTACATAAAAAGCTCATCATACAAAAATCCTACTGCAAAAATACCCTTCTAGTTTTTTTCTGTGTCTATAAGCACAATATTAACAACAAAATTAGATCATACCATAACTGGGTTTGATGCCATGTTATTTTATTCTATAATCCCCCAATGACACCTCGCATGATCAATGAATATACAGCTACATCAGCATTTTTATTGGCTATATAGATTTTTATAAAGCTTTACTAGGATTTATTATTACAAATACTGTTATAAAGTCATATAGATTCATCTTTGTACACTTGTCTGATTATTGCTTCTAAAACAGCCTTATTAAACATTGAATAAATACAAAAGAATATATATACTGTATATAAAATGTAAAGGACAAATATACAATGTTGCTTTTTTACGCCACTCTTTCTATGTTTTGCTTCTTTTCTTCTTCTTCCTTTTTGGCTTTTGCTAAATAAGACTTTTCCCATTTCATTTTTTTTCTCTTCTCTAGTTTGGAAATTATGTACTCTGTTTCTGTTCTTTTACCAGTTACCCTAGAAATTTTAACGTCAGTTCTTATTTTGGTCTAAAATTAATATATTTATGCTAGGCATGGTGGTGTGTACCTGTAGTCCCAGCTCCTTGGGAAGCTGAAGTAGGAGAATTGCTTGAGCCCAAGAGTGTTAAGTCCAGCCTGGGCAACAGAGCGAGAACCTGTCTCTTTAAAATAAATAAATAATAAATAAAATGAACATATTTACTTTCCTTTCTCTTAGATAACTTTAGCTACAGTCACTCTCCTCCTGACATTTCAGTATTTTAATTTTATCTTTTATAATCCCACAATTAGACATACAATGATTGTTTTATACTATAATGCTTATTTAGACTTACCTATGCATTGGCCCATTCTTTTCTATACTTCAAACCTTCCAACAGAATAACCTCCCTCCTTTCTAAAGTATACTCCACCATGAGGGGGACATTCTTTTATGGATGATAAACTCTTCTATTTTTGTATGAAAATGCCTTATTTTGCCTTCCTTTTTTGAAAAACAGCTTTTATGAGATGTAATCTGCATATCTTAAATTATCTCATTTCAAGTGGACAATAAATGATTTCTAGTAAGTTTACCACTACAATATAACGTTATAAGATTTCCATCACTCTAAAAAGAAATGTTGGGCCCATTTGTGCCAGGCTGTCATCCCCAGCCTCAGGCAATTGCTAATCTACTTTCTGTTTCTGTAAATTTACCTTTTCTGGACATTTTGCATAAGCAGAATTATACATTATGTGATCTTTTATGTCTGGATTCTTTCACTTAACATAATGTTTTTGAAGTTCATCCATGTTGTAGCGTATATTAATACTTCCTTGGTTTTTATTGCCAAATAGTATTCCAGTGCCACATTTTGTTTATGCATTTACCAGCTGATGAATAGTTGGGCATGTTCTACTTTGGGGCTGTTAAGAACACTGCTATGAACATTCATGTGCAAGTCTTTGTGTGGACATGTCTTTTCATTTCTCTTGTGTAGATAACTAGGAATGTTATGTAGTTATTGGGTCATTGGGTCATAATCTATTCTTAACATCTTAAGAAACTGCCAAACTGCTTTCCAAAGTGACTGCATCAGGCCGGGAGCAGCAGCTCATGCCTGTAATCCCAGCACTTTGGGAGGCCAAGGTGGGTGAATTGCCTGAGCTCAGGAGTTCAAGACCAGCCTTGCCAAAATGGTGAAACCCCCTCTCTACTAAAGTACAAAAAAATTAGCTGGGTGTGGTAGTGCACGCCTATGGTCTCTGCTACTCAGGAGGCTGAGGCACAAGAATTGCTTGAACCCAGGAGATGGAGGTTGCAGCGAGCACCACTGTACTCCAGCCTGGGCGACAGAGTAAGACTCTGTCTCAAAAACAAAACAAAACAAAACAAAGTGACTGCACCATTTTACAATCCCCTCTAGCAATTACGAAGGTTCAGGTTTCTCCACATCCTTGCCAATATTTGTTATTATGTGTCTTGTGATCATAACCATTCTTTGTAAATGTGAAGTGGTAGTATTACATTGTCGTTTTAATTTGCTTTTCCTAATAAATAATGAAACTGAACATATTTTCATGTGCTTATTGACCCATCTGTATTTCTTCTTTGATGAAACGTTTATTCAAATATTTTTTCTTGCCTTCATTCTTGAAAGAGAGTTTTGTTTGGCACACAATTATAGGTATATAGTTATTTTATCCTAGCAATTAGAAGACACTTTTCCATTTTCTTCTGGATTTCATTGCTGCTGTTGAGGAATTGACTGCCAGTGTAATTGTTATTTCTTTCTAGATAATCTGCTCTTTCTCTCTGGCTCCTTTTAAGATGTTCATTTTGTTTTTGGTTTTCTACGGTTTTACTGTGATGTATCTACATGTAGAGTCCAAGGGCGGGAGGGATTTGGCTTGCCATTACTGGCTTTGCAAATATAGAAAGTGGGCCACAAGCCAAGAAGTGCAGGTGGCCTCTAGTAGCTGAGAAGGACCTTCAGCTGACAGCCAGCAAGAAATTGGGTACCTCAGTCCTGCAATCTCGAGGAAGTTAATTCTGCCAACAACCCAAATAAGCAAGGAAATGGATCCTCTCCTACATCCTATGGAAAGGAACCCAGCCTTGCTGATGTGTTGATTTTAGCCCAGTGAGACCTGTGTCATATTTAGCACCTACAGAACTGTAAAATAATAAATATGTCTTGTTTTAAGCTGCTGACTTTGTGGCAATTTGTTATAGCAGCAATAAATAGTATAGGTTTTAAGTTTTAGTTATGTTTTATTTCTAGAACTTCTTTTTAACTCTTTTTCAAATATGCTATTCATGTTTATAGTTTCCTCTTTAATACTTGTATTTTCAGTCTCCTTTTAAAACTCTTCAATATTGCAAATACAGTATTTTGTAGTGTGCATCTGAAAAGTCACTTAAGATCTCCACAGGTCTGATTCTGATTTCTGTTGTTTCTACTGGCTCTTTCTCACAGTTCCTTGTTTCCTTACAACTTTTTAAACTTTTGACTTTGAGCTTATGTCTATTGGAAATTGACTGTTGGATTATTTGAGACCTGAGTCAAAGGTATATTGTTCCAGGAAAGAGTTGTGTTTGCTTCCATCAGGTGCCACCTAGGACTTCCTAGGACCACCTTAAAATAAATTCTTGGCTTGAGCTTTTCCAAATTGCACAGGTAATATGAGTAAATGTTAACTAATGTTACAAACATGGTGAATTCAGAATTTTCAGGAAAGATTTTTCCCCCACTTAGTGCTAAGCTAGGTAGAACAAGTTACCTATCATCTTCTTCTGACAGGTGGAGGTTACTTTCTAGTTTACCCTTATACTGAGGTTGTAGCTGTGTGGGGTCCCAGATTTATGTAGGAATTTCCTATTATGCTTTCCACCTCAGGTATGAGGGCTTCTCTCCTGTCTCATTGCACTATCCAAACAGAAACTCAAAAACACCAGTTAGTTGATGCCCCCAGGGTAAAATCTGGCTTTATCTCTCTGGATTCCAGCATTCACTTTATTTCCAGCATTCATTTTATTTGACCCTGAGGATTTTTTATTGTATTGCCAGTTCAGTGATGTTTTTAAAAGGATGTTTTTCATATCTTCTCCAGAAGTTTTAGTTGTTTCAGAAGGGTGGTTCACAGTAACATTTGCACCATACCGTCAGAAATGTAAATGTCAAATGTCTCTTTCTTTTTAAGGATTAATTCTTAGGTGTAGAATTGCTATATTAAAAGGTATGCAAGTATAATATTTAGATGTATATATTTCCATATTACAATGGCTTGTTTTCTGTTCAAGAAAATAAAACAGAAAAACAAGCCACTAATCTCAAGCATTTGCTGAATCCCTTTTAGATTTGCCTCTCACATCTACAAAAGGAAATATGAATGTGGTTAACATCTGGACAAGAGACAAAATTAGCAAACAAAACAATAATCCTCCAAAATAAAATTATGTGAAGTGTATAGATGGTAAATTAGGAGTTCAGAAAAGGCTGAAAAATTTAAATCTGACCATGTCACACCTGGCTAGGGAAATCTTCAGTGGCTGCCCATTGCCTTTAGGGTGGTGTTCAGAATCCTACAAGTTCCCATATAACCCTGCATGGTCTGGCTCCTGCCTCTTCTCTGTCCTTGTCGCTCCTCCTAGCTCACTAGCTCCAAGCTCACTGGCCTTATCTGTGTTCCTCAAATGCACTGAAACCCTTTTCACCCCAACCCTTACTTCTTATCTGAATGTCCTTTTCTGCCTCCCACCACCCCACCCCACTGCGTGGCTGACCTGTTCATCCTTCTGGTCTCAGCTTACATGTGACTTTTTAACTTTTACTAATCTTCTAGTGTAAATTACCTCTGGCACACAAACACATACACACACACAGGCACATACAGCGCCCCACCCCCCACCCACCCACACACACACACACATTTCTACTCAAATGTCCAGGTAACTGGTCAACCCAGCATCTCAGGGACAGAGACTAAATTCATGCATCTCAGAGTGTCTGGTCGACCTGAAAGAAAGCTAGAGAGTGGGAATGAGAGAATCAAACCTCTCTGAAAGCATCCTGTTCTTTCCCTCCACAGCACTTGTTAGAATGGGATTATCTAATATCTATCTCCTCCACTAGAGAACAGAACTATGTCCTATTCCCTGCCATATTCTAGAACTTAGCTCAGTGCCTGGTACATGGTAAATCTTTATTGAATAAATGGATTTAAAGATGCATGGCTGCATTTGAACAGGTGGAGCCGATGGGCGTCAATAGATTTCCCTGGAAATCATAAAACTAGTGGAAAAATGAGAAAACCAAGCAGAAAAGACGAAAATATTTTAATAGGTTATAACTCAGTGAGGAAATATGAATGTTCCTCTTTGAGCCAACAAGCTGTCCTATAATGATAGACTCTTATGACCAGTCTATAGCAGGGGAGAGTGAAAGGAGGTGTGCCCGCTGTTCAGCATGAGGTGGTCAGGTTAGCTACAACCAAGATGGTGAAGAAGCGATTTGGATTTCCAAGGGTGTTTTTGGGTCTCTTTCCTTGAAGATGGAGAGTGTTTCATTTCAGTGATGTTCTTGATGTCCTATTAGGAGGCAGTAGAATGGATCTCTAGTTTCTTTCATTCCTCTAGGTTGATGGTAGTTAACTTTTCTTCTTTTTTTTTTTTTTGTAGCTTGCTTTGATTTAAGTGATTCTATCAGTTCATTTTAACACTTGACACTTATCTCTTACATGTTTCCCTGTAACATTCTGAACAGCTCACTCTTTTTACTAGGTATCAGAGTAACACTGCTTCTGCTGTTCTTGAAACAATTACCAACATTCAACCCAAAGAGAGTGGAGGTGGTGTGGGAGAGACCCGGGAGGCTATTGTTTATAGATTATCTGAAGATATGCTGAGTAAACTCCCTCCTGATTACATTCCTCATGAGGTAAGTCTTGCTGGTTTCCCACTGGCATACAGGGCTATTTGTATATTTAAACAGTAAGTTTGATTACCTTGAAAAGCAAGAAATCTACCTGTTGGTGACTATGTGGCAGATTACCTGTGTGAAAAATTTTGACTATATTACTAAACTCTGCATCTCTCATTGTTCACATAGTTCTCTCTTCAAAACTTAAAAATATCAGAAGAAAACATTTTCCATGATGCTTTTCTGTTGCATTCTTTTAAAAATTCCTTCACAAGTTAATTCCTCCTCAATCAAAGTTTCCACGGTGACCCATTTATATATCAATTTCTATGATACCTTAAGCTGTGCTAAAAAAAAAAAAAACTCAAAAATCTTTAAGGCCAAAAAGCAATGGTGTTGGTCATTTGGTATTCTATAAGACGTTCCAAGTGTTTTAACTGTAGGTAGATGATCCACCCATCTATTCCATTGATTTTTAATCACTTCTGAAACTCATTGAATAGGGTAGAACAATTAGTGGAGATATTATGAATATAAGCACCCTGTTACCAATCTGAAGTCTTCTAAGAACCACACTTATTCATTGATTAGAATGGGGTGGCATGGGACAGTAGCTGTGTTTTTGAGCACTCATTACAAGCCAGACACTGTCCGAAGTGCTTCATACACATTATGACACTCAGTGCTCAGGACAGCACCAGCAGAAATCAAGCTAAGTGGCAGAGCAAGAATTTGAATACAAAGTGATCTGACTCTAGAACCTGCAGTCTTAACTAGTTTTAGCATGCAATGAGTGTCCCAACAATAAAAAATGTTTTATTGCCTCTTAAAATAATTATTGTTTCCATTGTGTAGATAGGTACCAAGACCTTTGGTTAAGATATTGAAATCAATAGCTTCATGTAGAGATAGTTATAGTAAGGGGAGAAAATATTTTTAAATGGATAAATATTGTAAGTATACACTTTCAATAGTTTTATTGGTGTGATCTTCAAAAAACAAGGCAGCATACTTGCCTTCAAAGATTTTTAATACTGGCATGTGAAAGTGAGATAAAACTTACTCTAAAAGATTACACCACAGGACTGCTATTGCCAGGGGAAAGGTTCAAGACCTTGTGATAATTCGAGCTGTCCAGTCTTAGCTGGGGCCACTTCACCAACAAGACCTTTGTTCTGGTGATTATTCCAGCAGAAACAGCATCAGGGGTGTAACTAAATGGATTCCTATATGGGAAAGAGTTTGTACTAAGAGACATCTAAAACTTGTCCCTGTTCCAAGATCACTTACTTTTTAGTGTCTTATTTTATAGAAGAGATCTTTCTTGAACAGGTGGCTGTAAAGTGAATTTTGTAAATCAAAATATAATTATACCATTGAGTTCTGTAGTAAAAATGAAGCTACATTATTGTAGAGAATACTACCTGGTCCCAGAAACATAATGAAAATGCTATATAAGGCTACAGCAAGTCTTAAATTTTATTAATAAAAAGACAATTTTAGGCTGGAACAATAATTATACTCAAAATCAGGACTAGAATTACATTTTCTAGGGTTTAAGGTTTTTCTAAGCATGTCTCTATCTCAAGTAAAGTTTCCCTTTTAAAACCCTAAGCAGGACAAGGTGATTTGTTTGAAACTGTTAATATACTAGAGATACCTGGGCTATTGATTTGATACTGTAGTCAATACCTGAGCTTTATTTTCCACTCATGGGGTTGCAAAAGTATTTCTATAATTTCCCTTTTCCTTAAGAGTGAATTTCCACTCTTGAGATGGATTGATTTAAAGGGAATTATATATAGATATAATTTATATATATATATATACACACACACGCACGTGTACGCACACACACACACACACACGTATGTATGTATGTATGTATGTATGTATGTATGTATGTATGTATAGCATATACATATGCTGTTCAGCCACTGGAGGTTGAAGGACTTGGGATGGAGATGAGAATGAGGCACTGGAGGCTGCAAAAATGTAGGCTCTAGAACCAAGAATTCTGAAGAGTAGCTGAAGGTTGCTACGTCGGACTGCGTTAGGGACCTCCACTGGCATGCTTGACTGATTTTAATATAGTTTGCTCCACCCGCATAGGTAGTCCTATTCAGGCTGCCTATTTTATATCTGTGCTCAGTGTTATATCTCCTTCCCTTTTTGTGCTTTCCGTCTTCCTCTTTCACTCACTAGAAACAACCCAATTGCAGTAAACAGAGGTGTCCCTTGCTGAAAGGAAACTTCTGCACCATACTAGAGGCCTGTCCTATAAAAGGAGGAGAATGGTTCAGATGACTCTGAAGCCCACCCATCTCTAACATTCCAGGCTTTATGAGGGGGCAGTGGGCATCTCTGGCAGAGAATCCTGCAGTTCCTGGCCTCCTGTGATCCTTTGGATTGATACCTCACTTTGAGTTCTCTCCCACTCCATGTGTCCCTTCCTTGTTCCTTTGATTCTGGCATCTCTTTGATTGTGGCCAGCAGAAAGTTCAAATCCCTTTATGAGTTCCTGCCAGTATTTGTAGTCAATCTTTTGTTGGGCATATGTCACCAAATTGAAATGTGTATATTGCATTGGCTTGTTTTCCAATAATTGTCATATTTTATTGTTCCCACAACCAGAGGCTTTTGTATTGATCTCTTCAAAATAGTCAATAAGTGATACATCAAAAGGAACAAATGACAGATATTTAACTGGCTGTCCCACAAAATCAAATATTTTCATTGATTGGATTAGGAAAGGCTCTCTTTAGCTGTCATAGCTAAGGCAACAATGATCTTTGGAAACTATAGC
Organism: Homo sapiens; assembly: GCF_000001405.40. Taxonomy (NCBI): domain Eukaryota; kingdom Metazoa; phylum Chordata; class Mammalia; order Primates; family Hominidae; genus Homo; species Homo sapiens. The sequence goes on from NC_000006.12 coordinate 39,011,759, forward strand.
TAATCATATTTGTTGGTAACTGCTCTGTAAAGATTTTTGCTGTATTAACTTTCTATGACATTTCTAATAACTCTGCAAACATAATGAAGAAAAAAATTCCACTGTACCCCTATGAAGGTTAGATTGCAAAAAGAATATCTAACTGACACCCAGTACTTAATCATGTGAAAGGAGAAAAAGGTACAATTTTATTTCAGCTCTTTAAGGTACATTTCCAATTATTAGCTAAGTACAATCAGTAAGAAATAAAAATCATTTTAGTTGAACAGTAGTTTTGGAAACGCAGGAAATGGAAAGTTTAATGGCAAGTTTGGTTCTGCAAGACATATTTTAGAATTCATTTGGGCTGGTAGAGATACATCTAGAGGAAGAAAAAGAATTGAGAAAGAAGAGGTTATTGGAAGAGAAATGTCAGATGAGAAAATCTCCTTTATTGCATTGTTTACTTTGTTTTAGGTGAAATCTCGTTTGATAAAGATGGGCCATCTTAATTCAATGAACATATTTCTTAGACAAGAAATTGACAGAATGCAAAGAGTCATTTCAATACTCCGCAGTAGCCTGAGTGATCTAAAATTGGCCATTGAAGGAACAATCATTATGAGTGAGGTGAGCTGTTATTACATCAGTAGGCATTTCCTTCTTTGTTGATGTTTCTTATTCATGTGTTTTAACTTTTTCTTCTCCAGAATCTGAGAGATGCTCTGGACAACATGTATGATGCTCGTATACCTCAGCTCTGGAAAAGAGTGTCTTGGGATTCGTCCACACTGGGCTTCTGGTTCACTGAACTTTTGGAAAGAAATGCTCAGTTTTCTACGTGGATATTTGAAGGGAGGCCTAATGTGTTTTGGATGACTGGTTTCTTTAATCCCCAAGGTATGTGCTCATAGGAGATTTGGCAAGCTTGGAATTTGTGTATTGTTGGATAGTAGCATCGTGTGATAAATATATACCATATAAAACAATATGGAGGCGTAGCTTGCTGGGTGCTGCACATAGCCATTCAAAGGCGAAAGAACACAAATAATTCTTCTGTATTTGTTTTACAAATTCAATCTGAAGCTCTTCCTATCAATTCTTTACAATGTGGTAGCAAAATCCTTCCTTTTTCTTTTCACCAACTTCAGCAAACCATCAGTCTGGGGTTAGGACACATGAAAGAGTAAAAAGAAGTTTCTCTCTAACTTATAGTTTTTAAATGTTTGTGAAATATCAAAAATGAAGCACCAAAAGATGCAAAAATTGTTTCCAGGGTTTAGAAAATTATATTGGTTTCAAAAATGACTGTGACAAAAGTATTCAGAGAACTTCAGGGGGGTCTTCCCCCACTCAGTTTTCTAGTTTTCTTTTTCTTTTTTCCTGAAAGAGTGCTTTATAATTCTGCTTCATTTATTCCTTCCTTCTAGAAATGTTTACTGAGAAAGTTAATGGCTTGATGTCATAGAGTTTGTAAGGTTCAGAAACATGACACATTTTGTCTTACTAAAATATGGATAGTTTTACTTCAAGTAATTCTTGGTGAAAATGAAGAAATGTTGAATTCCTTATGGTTCAGCAGCTTATGGCTCCATTTGTAATAAAATTTTAGAAACATTCACACTTACAGATTTAGGATGAATTATTGTTTCTTGTAGCAATATAGGTGCATCTCATAAAATAATGTTGAGTAAGGGAAACCAAACAGAAAACATTACATGCGGTATGGTTCCATTTATACAAAGAAGAAGAACAGGCACAATGGCTCTATAGTGTTCAAAGTCAGGATAATGACTGTAGAAGGAGGGCAGTGATTAGAAAAAGGCACAAAGGGCCAGGAGCGATGGCTCACGCTTGTAATCCCAGCACTTTGGGAGGTCAAGGTGGGCAAGTTGCTTGAGCCCAAGAGTTTAAGACCAGTGGGGCAACATGGTAAAACCCTGTCTCTACAAAAAATATAAAAATTAGCTGGGTGTGGTGGCATGTGCCTGTAGTCCCAGCTACTTGGGAGGCTGAGGTGGGAGGATCACCTGAGCCTGGAAGATCAAGATTGCAGTGAGCCATAATTGCACCACTGCACTTCAACCTAGGCAACAGAGTGAGACCCTATCTAAAAAAGAGAGAGAGAGAGAGAAAGAGAGAGAGAGAGAGAGAAGGCACAAGGGACTTCTGGGGCCCAGGAATGTTTCACTTCTAGATCTGGATACTGGTTATGTGGCTGAATTCCCTTGGTGAAAATTCCTTGATATTGCTGTATACTGATGATTTGTGCAGGGTTTTTTTTGTGTAAAGCATACTTTGATCAATATTATACATGAAAAATATGTATTTAATTGTCCTTTGTATACATACATTCATTCACTGTATGCATTTTCCAATACCTTAAAAATGTTTAAATTTGAAACACTAACCATGGTGATTTCTATGAACATATCAAATTATACATAGTATTTTATAAAGTCCGTAGCCTTTAGAGTTGTAAAGGGCAGCCCCCAGATTTCACTTATCTATTTTTCTCCCAGAATTTCCATTGAGTTAGGGGAGGAACATTTTTTATTATGGGTCTCAGATTTTGTGTGTCTACTTATGAGTCTCTTTCCTCCGTATGAGCCTCAATTTGAGTAAGTCGTCACCAGGTAATTTCTGGCTGGGGAGCATGAAGTAATAGCATTTAACTTAATAAGGATTGTTTGACCACCTCCCATTTGCCAGCCCCTCTGCTAGGTACTTTCAATGAAGAGAGATTTGAGACTTGGTTCCTGCCCTAAAGGAGCCTATAATCTGGTTGGTAAGACAGACACATCAGCAACCTTAATGTAATGTGATAAGTGCCCCACTGTGTGAGAACTAAGTGCCATGGTAGCCCAGAGGACAGAGAGATTAATTCTGCCAAGAGCTTCACACAGGAAGCAGTGAGTAGGGTTTGCAGAAGCAGGGATGCCAAAAAAAGAGCGGGTGCTTTCCAGGTAGAGGCCTGAGCAAAAACAAGTCTTGTTCAGGGGAACAGGGAGACCAGTGTGGCCAGGGCTCAGGAGCAAGGCTGGGGGTAGTGGGGAATGAGGCTGGAGTATGAAAAATCTTCCGGGGCCTCAGGGGTTGGGGCTGTATATCAGAAGGTAATCCCAAGAGAAGGCAAGTGAGGGACTGGAATATGGAGGCCCAGTGCAATGAGACTCTTGCCAGGTCCAAGGAAGAGGGCCTGGGACCTTAACCAGGTGCCAAGGAGGGAACAGATTTGATGGAGTGATTAAATGGGGGTCTCTGAGAGAGCAAGGAGGGACAATGTAGGCTGGAGGCAAGGTACAAGACAGGGAACATTGGGAGAGGGACAGGTAGGGCAGAGAGACAGGGAGCACTGGAGAGGTATGTTGGCAGACTTGGAGTTGGGAGAGGCGTAAGGACCAATGATTTTCAAAAGTGTGAGGTTATTGAATGTATCTTTGATATTTAGAAACCAAGGGAGTGGAGTTGGTTCATCCCTGGCTTTCCATAGTCACGAATGCACATAATTTTTTTCAGTGATTTTTTTCATTCAAAATATAACTTTAAAAAGCAAAGTGTTAATATGAACTGATCTTTAATTGTTAATATTTGTTAAGAAATGTTACAAAGCCAAACAATACTTAAAGAAATACAAATGTAGATTCACATGATATGGTTTGGCTCTGCGTCCCCACCCAAAACTCATCTCAAATAGTAATCCCAGTGACTGGATCATGGAGGTGGTTTTCCCCATGCTGCTTTCGTGATAGTGAGTGAGTTCTCACGAGATCTGATGGTTTAATAAGTGTTTGGCAGTTCCTCCTTCACTCTCTCTCTCCTGCCTCCATGTAAGACGTGCCTGCTTCCCCTTCTGCCATGATTGTAAGTTTCTTGAGGCATCCCCAGCCATGCAGAACTGAGTCCATTTAAACCTCATTCCTTCATAAATTACCCAGTTTCGGGTATGTCTTTATAGCAGTGTGAAAATGGACTAATACATCACATTTCAGTTAATGCCTTACTTTCCTTCATTTGTTAATAATACTTATCTTTTCCCTTTTCTTCAGTTCTGCTTTCAAGTTAGACTTTGATTCTTTCTCTCAGGTCTCTCCATGTCTTGGAAAGCCCTAACTTATTCAAACATCCTACCCTTTACACACAAGCACACACACACCCTTATCCATGACTGCTTTCTGTTAGTCGCACAGAAGACTGGAAGTCAACTCTTCCTGCACACTAATCACTTCTCTGCTCTCTTTTCATTCTCTTGACATGAGGGACAAATTACTTTCTGTTCCACCTCACTTGGCCAAATCTGGCAAATAAAGATTACAGCTACTCCATACATGTTCCCAGGGAGTGTGCAAACAGATAGAGTCCTTTCCCACTGGAAGCCTCGCTGGACACTATTTGACATCAACAGTTGATCTCCCAACATGAATGTATCTCCTGGGTTTTATGTCCTCTAATTCAGTCCTCTTCAATGAAGTAATTTCTTTCTTTGGTTCAAAACATTTAAGTAAATGGCTTTAAATAAAAAACCCTACATAGGCAGGGCGTGGTGGCTCACGCGTGTAATCCCAGCACTTTGGGAGGCCGAGGCGGGCGGATCACGAGGTCAGGAGATCGAGACCATCCTGGCTAACACGGTGAAACCCCGTCTCTACTAAAAATACAAAAAATTAGCTGGGCTTGGTGGTGGGTGCCTGTAGTCCCAGCTACTCGGGAGGCTGAGGCAGGAGAATGGCGTGAACCTAGGAGGCGGAGCTTGCAGTGGGCCGAGATCGCGCCACTGCATTCCAGCCTGGGCAACAGAGCGAGACTCTGTCTCAAAAAAAAAAAAAAAGAAAAAAGCCCTACATATTTAAGTAAAACACAGTGCAGTTTGTATAAAGGCTGTAGTTTCATCACAAATATATATGCAGTAATCAAAATCACCTGGACCATAAGGAAGACTATAGAACACCTGCAAAGGCTTTATTCACGTGTGATTGCTAATGTTTATAATTGTATAATGCAATGTGGCATCTGATGCTGTTTAGTGTGTTTCCCTCATTGACCCTCTGGTGACTGCTCCACAGGCCTAAGTGACTTTGAGGTCCGTGCTACCTCAAGGACAAGTGACATGCCTTGCTTGCCCCTGGTCAGCACCTGAGCTTCTGCTGTTTGTAGCACTGCTGTTTGCCTTATGGGTGGCCTGATATTTTGTCTGTCATATTTGAAGAGGCTGAGTCAGCCACCGTGGAGCTCATCTGGCATTTTCAGCACCCCTCACAATCATTTCTGTAGCAATTGATGAGCTCAACCATGTGGCAATTAGACTGGATGATTAAAATAGTCAAGCTCTCTATATCTGTGACCCTGTGATAGTTTTTTCAATGTGCAGCTTTTTTCTGTGTGTGGATTTGTCTCCCAGCAGATTACTCAGGCCAGGGGAACCTTTGTGCTCCACTGGGTTTTCCCAGCAGTTGTTGGTGCACATCTTCCCACATTATTTAAGATTGTTTTTCTCGGGTGTCGCAAAGGATGGCCCTGGTCTGTTTTTCCCGAAGGTGCGCCTTTTCAGTGCATCGTGTAACATGATTTAGATTCTGGTGCATGAGCTTGCAAGTGTGTGTACATGTCTGTGCTGTGTGTGGGGATGTGTTTAAACCCAAAGAATATAGTCGTAATGAGCCTGACTTCAGGCCAGGGTATTGACTGCCTTTCAGAACATCTTAATTGATAGCCATGCTTTGCCATTTGATGTTAGCTATGACTCACAGGGGCTGCTAATGAAATGGAGGCAGAGGCTGAGTGTGTTCCCCAGGTCTCACACCTCTATAGTAGATTGAACCATGCAGTCCCGTTATTTTCCGAACGTTTAGCTCAATCTGGAGCTTGATGCCATTTAGATGCCAAATTGTGCCCACTTTTTTCTGTTATTTTTTTCTCAGTGTCTTGACAAGCCATGCCAGTCAGTTGTGTCAGATATCAGTGACAACTTCTTCCGTAATGCAAATCAAGATTTTTCAGTTAGAGGCAATCCTGCTGGATCAAAGAGATGGATCATTTTTGTTCTGTTATCTTGCATTCTGTAAAAATAATCTACAACTTTTTGCCTGTGTGTGTGTTTTCAGGGAAACATCATCAACTAGCTACAATCTCTGAATGCTTGTCTTGAAGAGTTATAAAAGTCTGCCGTTTGTGGAGGTGGGAAAGTGTGCCAAGGACTAATGGACCTTTAAGATTGGAAGGGACTTGGGGATAGCTTCTAATCTAATAGCAATTCTAAGCATGCCCCAGTGCCACTGTTTGATGAATGAGAGCTACCCTTAAACATCTTGGGAAATCTAGGTGAGTGGACCTCAAGTCCTAAACTTCAACGTGAGTGATAGCACTAACCTGCCCTGTCCCCAAATCACAGAACTATAGAAATGCCTCTGAGTGAATAACAACCCATCCTCCTTGACTTTCTGTGTGAGCAGCTTTTACGCACTGGCCTTAGACACAACCACATCTCTTGTAATTCCAGTTTCTGCATGTGTTTACCTTCCTTAGCAACCACCTAGTCCTTTGTAATCTGGCTGGGCTCCATCACTGTGCTGAAGCTGCTCTCTCCACGGCCCTCATATCTAACGACCTCCCTGATGACATCATTGCCCTTGACTAGAGCTAGAATGCTGACTTTGAAAACTCTCATGCCTTGGTTTCCATCCATGCCCCTCCTCTGATCTCTTCCTACCTCAGAGCTCACTTTGTGTGCTCTTCTCGGCAACTTCTGTCCTTGGCCTCGGCCCCCTCGTTGATGACCTCAGCCTATGAGTGGCTCATCTAATGTCCCACTGTAGCATGCTCATTCCTCACTTCCACCTGCCAAGTAGGAATTTCATCCTCCTGCAAAGGTCACCAGAGCCATGATCTGCCCATCTTCCTCCTGAGTCATCTGTGCCAGGATTCTGCTGAATATGCTTGTGCACCATCCTCCAGGTCACCTGGACTCTTGTGAATGGGCTCCTCATGTCAAACAGTGTGGAAGAGGGAAACCAGGACAGCATGGTGTCATGGAAGGCAAGGAGAAGGAGAGTAGTAAGTAAGTAGTGGCAGGTGCTCCAAGAGGGCAAGTAAGATGGGCCAAAAATGGCCAGATGGATTTTTCAACAAGAAGACTGTTGGCAGAAGTCTCAGTGGAATAGGTGGGGAGGTACAGGAGTCTGATTTGGGGGTGTGTGAGTGAAACGAGGAAATGGAGACTAGGTGAGTATGCATAACATGGATAATTCTCTCAAGACATTTGGCTGGGAAGAGGAGAATCAAGTTGGAGGAGTAGGTATAAGAATAAAAAGTTTTCTTTCTTTCTCTTTTAGTGATAGGAGAGGCTTAAACCTGTTCAAATACTGGTGGGAAGGAGAGAGAAAGATAGAAAAGGGGTTGTGGGAGGAATGAAGGAGGGAGAGAGAGCTCAACAATCCCAGGGAGGAGGTAAAAGAGGCAGGAGGAGGTGGACACAGCACTCACAGATGGAGAAATGTGCTCCAGGCAGGCGGCACCTCGCACACTGTAACAAGAGTAATAAGGAAGGAAAGGGCATAGATGCTTATGGTGATGGAGCATAGGTAGGCTTGCTGGCAAGAAGTTAAGGGCATTCCCATTTGATGCTTTCTACTCTCTGTCTGAAGCAGGAGGTGAGGTCCTCTTGAAAGCAAGAAGATGTTGGTGGAGAGATTTTTAAAAGAGTGGTGGAAGTTTGAGAAAGAGGGCAGATGAGGGGGACAGGGAAGGACTGATAAGTGGCCTTGAGAATTCTGTTGAGGCTCTTCATGGTGAACTGTGGTGATGGTGGCTGTGTGATGGTTTCTAGTTTCATTCAGCAGCCTCGTATAGACGTGAGAGAGGGGGGCATTTGGATTCATCTGGGATTGCGGTTTTGCCAGGCAAGAGATGAAAAGGATGGATCTGAACTAAACAGGGAAGTAAATGAAGAAAAGGGATGGAGTTGAGAAGAAGGTCATAAAAAATGATGAGGCCAAAGGTCTGAGAGGTCAGATGCTGAATGGGGTACTGGAGAGACCCAGGTGTTGTCAGAGTGCTTAATGGGTCGCAGCAGATGGGTATATGGCAAGGACAATGAGAGGAGGGACATGTGGCCAGAGGCTGTGGTTGTCAATGCAGCAGAAATTCCCTTAAAGGGTGGAGGAACAGCTGGGAAGGACAAGGTCTTTAGGGTTGAGCCGGGGCAACCTGGCGGAAGGTGGAAAGAACATTCTGTGAAAAGGTGGAAAATATGAGAGTTTGTCAACAGAGGGAACATTGGAAAGGTTTGCGAGAGAGGGGAGAAGTGGGAGGTTGGTTAAAGGGAAAGGAAGCATAAACTAGCTCAAGGAAAAGATAGTTCAGGGCAGAAATTACATTTTTAAATGGGTTTAGCTGATCCCAGCCTTGCTAAGACAGGTAGTCCCAACTCTCCTGTTTATACCGAAGTTTTACTGGAGCCAATTATGTCCTGGATTAGTCATTTCAGAGAAGGTGTGTGTCTCAAGGGGCCCTGGAAAGAGTCAGCTTGTACTAGTGACAGTCTTCTTAATATTGTGCCTGTACTCTTCCCACTTGTCAAACTTGTTCTTAAAACAACTGTGCATCAGTGACTGTCAATGACTTGTCTGCAGAGCTTTTTACGGGGCAGTGGTTCTCACACCTGCCTCCACAGTAAAATCACCCAGGGAGCTTTTAACACATACTACTGCCTGGGGCCCCAGAACAAGTATATCAGAATCTCTAGGGATGAGCCCTCTAGAATCCATACAATCAATTTTCTTTTCTTTTCTTTTTTATTTTACTTTAAGTTCCGGGATACATGTGCAGAACGTGCAGGTTTGTTACATAAGTATACATGTGTCATGGTGGTTTGCTGCACCTATCATCTAGGTTTTAAGCCCCGCATGCATCAGCTATTTGTCTTAATGCTCTCCTTCCCCTTCCCCCACCAATAGGCCTCAGTGTGTGTGTTCCCTTCCCTGTGTCCATGTGTTCTCATTGTTCAACTCTTACTTGTGAGTGAGAACACGCGGTGTTTGGTTTTCTATTCCTGTGTTAGTTTGCCGAGGATGATGGCTTCCAGCTTCATTCATGTCCCTGCAAAGGACATGATCTCATTCCTTTCTATGGCTGCATGGTATTCCATGGTGTATATGTACCACATTTACTTTATCCAGTCTATCATTGATGGACATTTGGGTTGGTTCCATGTCTTTGCTATTATAAGTAGTGCTGCAATAAACATATGTGTGCATGTGTCTTTATAGCAGAATGATTTGTATTTTTTTGGGTATATACCTAGTAATGGGATTGCTGGGTCAAATGGTATTTCTGGTTCTAGATCCTTGAGGAATTGCCACACTGTCTTTCACAATGGCTGCGGAGAAATAGGAATGCTGTCACACTGTTGGTGGCAATAAATTTTCTGAAAAGCTTCCTTGGTCATTCTAATGAGTGAAGAACCTTGACCTTGGACCTTTGCTACCCAGTATGTGGTCCACCAGCCAGCAGCGTCTGTATCACCTGGGAGCTTGATTGAAATGCAGAATTTCAGGCCCCACTCTTGATCTACCTACTGAATCAGAACATGCACTTTTAGTACATCCCCCTCCTCAGGTGATTCCCATGAACATTAAAGTCTGAGAATCCCTGCCTTAAAACAAATCTGGTGCCTGGGTTCCACCTCCAGAGATTCTGATTGTATTTATCTGAGCTGTGACTTGGGAATTGGGAGTTTTAGAAGATTCCTGGGTGTCTCTAATTTTCAGCAGTTTAATGTCCCTGCCTTACAGCAAAGAACCGGGGAAGGTGCTTGGTGCATTTTTATTCAACGGGGTTGACCAACCCTATCTTTGTTTAATGATTTCTGACCTTTGGTTTAATTTACCAATGAACTACATTTGCTTCTCATTTGGGGGAAAAACTGCCTGTCTTAAACTCGTGGCAGGAACATCATTTCTCCTCATCTTCAAAGATGCTGCTGGGAAGCTTAGTAACTGATTAGACAGGAAATACTGCACAGCCTAAGGCCTATTGCATAAGGACCAGTTCATTTATTAAAGAAAAGAAAATGTTGCTTATTTTTAGTGTAAATCATTACAAAATGCCAACCAACTCCTTATAAATTTGAGAAGAGCAATCTTCCTGATTAGTTATTTCTTTCACCTTTTCTAAGACCTTGTATGAAATGATATTTAAAGCACTCTTCAGCTTTCTTTAAGCCAGCTGATTGCACAAGTCAAACAACAGCCGTGAGTGTGTTGAACTGTTGGATTACTACTATTATAGGAATGGACACATAACAAGTGTTACTTTAGACCTGAGTTTCCAAAGTATAATCCTAGCTTAAAAGGGAATTTTTTAAAAGAAAGAAAACAGGAAACTGTATTGTATTGGGAGGAGGCTGGAGGGGAGATGAAAAAAATCATTTGGATTTTGTGTGTGTGGGTAAGTGGGGGGTAGCTGTCTATAACTTTCATTAAGTGTTTTTTTTTCTTCTCTTTATAAAGTAAGCTGCAGGCTTTGGGTTGGCAAACCCCAGGGGGATGCAGAAATCTGAGGCTGCTACCTTTTTATCTGCCTTCACGGTACTGTCCTCTTCCCCCAGCTCCTCCCTGACCCTATGGACCAGGCCTCAGACTTTCCAGCTAACTGCTTCCTGTGAGCCACTACTCTGATATCAGCCTATAACCAAAGGAGCTGGGGGGTCCAGGCTTGGTGACCAACCCTTCTCAGCCCACTCAATCAGGGTGCTTCCCACCTGCAGGCAGGAGGCAACACCCTGTCTGCTACCATCCTCCCCTTCCAGAGCCCACCTGCCTGCCCAGCCCTGCCCTGCCCTGCCCAGTCGAGCCATACCTTGCTTTGTCCCACCTGGGGGTGCCCTGCTCAGGGATGGGCTGGCAGGGCTGCACTCAGCTTCTCTGGTAAGCAGAGATTCAAGAAACCTCTGGGGTCTTGTTTTCTGGTCGTGTGATCCCAGGGGTGCACATGTTCCCCTTGGGTGTCTGAACAGAAGGGCCTGGGAGGGAGGGCCACACCCCTGCAGTCTTGCTGTGCTGGTGTAGTGGGCAGCTGCCTACCCCCATCCCACCCTGCACTGTGGGCTCCAGAATCGGCAGATTAAGCATTTTATAAATTGTATTTTAGATACATATTTCAAACTTGTGAGTTTTTTAAAAAGAACAAGCTTGACAAGTGTTTTAAGAAGTCATTATGCTTTATGGGTTTGAGGGGGAAGAATTTTTTTTAAAGCATCTGATTTAGACCACATGTAACTCAGATGTTTAAATAATCAAATCACCTGTTTTCATGTGGGTGGTTTACTCTCATGAAGAATAGAAGGTTACTATTGTTGAAGATTTTCCCCAACTTTTTGTTTCTCCCTTTGGAGTTAAACATATGAACATAGGAATCATTTTTGCACCACTGATGATTGAAATTTGGTTTAGGAATTATTAAAACTAAATTGTGCCAGCCAGGGGTGCAGTGGCTCACGACTGTAATCCCAGCACTTTGGGAGGCCGAGGCAGGCGGATCACGAGGTCAGGAGATCGAGACCATCCTGGCTAACACAGTGAAACCCCGTCTCTACTAAAAAATACAAAAAATTAGCTGGGCATGGTGGCAGGTGCCTGTAGTCCCAGCTACTTGGGAGGCTGAGGCAGGAGAGTGGTGTGAACCCGGGAGGTGGAGCTTGCAGTGAGCGGAGATCACGCCATTGCACTCCAGCCTGGGCGACAGAGCGAGACACCGTCTAAAAAACAATCAAAACAAAACAAACAAACAAAAAACTAAATTGTGCCAAAACAAAAGTACTGCTTTCAAGCTCTTATAGAGAAAAATATATCAATAGTCTTTAAAAATTATACAGGCTTCAAAAAATCAGCTTTTCATTCCATTAGACTTGCTATCAGTCTACAAGAAAGATGGCCATTCATTTTTTAAATTCAATAATGAACAGTTCATTGGATTTGCTACCCTTTGAGTGCTGCAAGGATCATGCTGTCTTTAGGAAGCAGAGACAAAATGATCAAGACTTGAAAGGACATGTATCTTCTCTACGTTCTCTGAACATGGGAATGGCCCATTAACGTTTCCTATCTCCACTCTCAGACTGCAAATATATTTAACATTTTCCTTTCTTAATAGTACAAGGTAATGTAAGTGTGTTCTAGAGTTCACCTCCTGGCATTGCTAAGCATTAGGAGACTTATGGCTGAAGTCAGCTGCCCAACATCATTCCCATTAGGGAGTGCCTCTCCCCATTAGGGAGAAGATAAGACATGATGTCTCCTTATTTTCACTAGAGTTTTTCAGAGCTCTGATGATGGCTTAAGTCTTTGTAGCAGATGTGCTAAATAAGCGAGAATCCAGCTCTATCCTCCTCTGGCACCTATGACATTGTCTTGGTCATTGTCTAGCCACAAGGAATGAGGTCAAATTTGCAGTTTAGCTGGAACTTTAAATGTTATAGGAAAATTTAATTATTCAACTTGTACAAATGGATGGTTAAGACCAGGATTCATGCCTTGTACATTATGACCTTGTAGATTCATAGATCAGTAATGAATCTTAAAACATCATAAAATAGGGTTGATTTAATTCCAAGTCCACAAAACCCTACTAGGATATACAGTGTCTAATACATGGATGCACGCTGAATGTTGAATGGTGAAAATGACATTTTCATGGAGTGCCTTAGAATGGAGAATTGGGTTTTATTATTTTTGTCATATATACCATTGACTGGAAAACACACCACATGTTTTACTGCTAAAGTATGGGAGCCTGGATGTTTAAAATGGAAGTTGCCTGGCACAGTGGCTCGCATCTGTAAACCCAGCTACTCCAGAGGCTGAGGTGGGAAGATCACTTGAGCCCAAGAGTTTGAGACCAGCCTGAGTAACATAGCAAGACCCTGTCTCTAAAATAATAAAAAAGGAAGTCAACATACTCACATGCTGATCAAATCCCCTGAAGTGACTCCACACAGAGCACAGGCATTGACCAGCCATTGCTACCAGGCAAACTTCCACTACATTTCCTGCCTCCTATACTTAACATTTTGTATCATAAAACCAGTCTCTCCTACTAGGCACTCGGTTTCATGAAACTATAGCTTTATAAGAATCTTCTATAAAAGTCCTTCACTCAGCTGCTTTGGTTGATTGGTCAACTCTTCTTTTGGGTTAATGCAAAGGCCCTTCTTTACCACACCTAATCCTATTTTAGTGGGCACTCCGAGTAAATGTGTCAAGATGCAAATAAAGCCAAACCATTTGAATTTTTATTTAAATTTTCAGTGGCTTCTCTCCATCCACAGACTTAAGTCCAAACTCTGACCTTGAAAAATCACTGCTGTATCTTCGTTCTACCCTTATCTGCTGTCACTGACTCCACACTCTCTCAGCCATCCATGTGTGTGTGTGTGCTGTTCCTTTACCTGGAATTGCCCCATCTGGCAAACTCCTATGTAGCTCTCAAGAGTCATCTTCCACTTCATCTTCTCAATTACGCTTTCCCTGAGTTGTCTTCCCGAGTAGTTAACTTTGTTCACGCCTTTTTTCATAATGACAACGTTGTGTCAATGTCCAGCCTCCCCCACACTCCCTCTGGACTGAGCTCCTTGAATGTGGGGCCCATGGATGGCCTCTTCATCTTTGTGGTCATCCCACATAGTGCAGGGCTTGGTACATGGTGGCCACTTCAGCAAGGTTTGACAGAGCAATGAAAGCATGACCATATGAGTGCCTCTCCAAGTGTCTCATTTAATAATGGGGAGAACTTGACTCAGTAAAGCCAGGCTAGGACCTATTCTTTCTTTCCAACTCCAAGGGATCTCGACTCAGTGCTTATAATTATGCCTTGCAACTCTCCCCTCCCCCAACTCCCATTCAAACCTGATAAAATGTTCACTTTTGTGTTGTTTTGTGCATACATTGGTATGTGCTGGTTTGGTTCTCAGAGCTCACTAATCTAGGAGTAGCGGGAACACACACATTATAAAATTTTACTCATTGGAGAGCTTTATGATTTTTAATATTTACATGGAGGCCAAAATAAAATATGTAGATCATAAATATGTTTTCTTAAGGTTTTGAAGTCCAGTTTGAAGTTTAGGATATTTTTTTCTAACATTGATTGTTACTCTCCAAGAAAGGCTTATCTTATTGAATTGAATGCATGGTTTGCAAATATTAACTTCAAAGAAAAGCCACAGTGTACGTAACTGCATATTGTCTTAAAATCACTGTATTATGCACATTAAAATATGTAGCTTTCCTTTCCAGGGTGATTGCTTTGTTTGGTCAAATTGAAAGTCAGGTTTTCTATTTTGGCATTATGCCTTATTTCCCTAGACTAAATGAAATTGTTCCATTATAGCAAATAGAAGCTTGATAATGGTTTGATTCAAGGCTAATTGGAATGCTATTCTCAGAATATTTCACCATTCCGATCTTATTCCTCAATATTATATTTTCAAATAGAGACTGTGAGCTAGAATTGGGTTACAAGCCTTTAAGACTTGAGCAGCTGAAATCTCAGGAGAGTTTCAAACCAAGGCCCAGTTTGAAGTATAAACAGTACTGCTTTCCTGCTGTCAGCAGGCGAGAAAGATTTAGCTCATTGCAGGTCCCCACAGAAACGAAACACTGAGACAAATGTCTCCCCTGGGGTTTGGCCTCAACTCCTTTTGAGATGGATGTGTAGTTTGGAGATTGATAAGCAAGTAACACTTAACATTGCTTCCTTCTTGTTTTTAAAGCAGATTGCAACAAGGCTTCAACATCTCTTCTTTTTTTCTTTAAGGCTTCCTCACAGCAATGAGGCAAGAAGTGACCCGTGCCCACAAAGGCTGGGCACTGGACACTGTGACCATCCACAATGAAGTTCTGAGACAGACCAAGGAGGAGATCACGTCACCCCCTGGGGTAGGCGTTGCTGGGCAATAGCAGGGACCATTCTGGAGCCAGAGCTGAAATTTCAAGTTCTGCTTAAAACTGAGCTATGAGTGCCTTGGTTAGGTCCATTTGCTTTGCAGTGAGGGTTCCCTCCATCATAGCCAGAAGACATCAGTGCCAAAGCCTCCCCCATCTGCCAGAGTGGAAGATTAATGACAAGGTCTAATGAGCTCTTAGAACTCCGTAGACTACATTTCTACAAAATTACAAGTTACACTTGTGTTTGCTAAAAAGGCTTTTTGGCCAAGTGCGGTGGCTCATGCCTATAATCCTAGCACTTTGGGAGGCTGAGGCAGGAGGATTGCTTGAGCCCAGGAGTTCAAGACCAGCCTAGGCAACACTGGGAGACCCTGTCTCCACCATAAACAAACAAACAAACAAACAAAAACTAGCCAGTCGTGATGGCACACATCTGTAGTCCCAGCTATTTGGGAGGATGAGGTGGGAGGATTGCTTGAGCCCCGGAGGTTGAGGCTGCAATAAGCAGTGATCACACCACCAGACTCCAGCCTGGGTGACAGAGTGAGACCCTGTCTTAATAAATAAATAAATAAATAAGGCTTTTCTACACATCTCCAGCTACTGCTGTGGGCTACTCACAGATTCTACTGTAGGCAGCAGAGCAGTGCTGAGGGCAGCAGAGATGAAGGGGACTAGCAGGTTGGAGCCAGGGGCCAGTTCCAGGGGTGTCCCCTTTGAGTGGAAAGGAACATGGCTGGGGGGAAGAGCCCCCACTTCCTGGACACTGATCTGCTCAATGAATGTGGGAAAATTCTTTAACTTTTTTGAGTCTTCACATCTTCATCTGCAAAATGAGCATGATAATTCAACCTTATTAAAGGAGTTGTGGCCAGGCACGGTGGCTCACGCCTGTAATCCCAGCACTTTGGGAGGCCAAGGCGGGAGGATCACTTGAGGTCAGGAGTGTGAGACCAGCCTGGCCAATATGGTGAAACCCGTCTCTACTAAAAATACAAAACTTAGCCTGGGGTGGTGGCAGGCTGTAATGTCCCAGCTACTTGGGAGGCTGAGGTGGGAAGATTGCTTGAATACAGGAGGCGGAGGTTGCGGTGAACTGAGATCCCGCCACTGCACTCCAGCCTGGGTGACAGAGCGAGACTCTGTCTCAAATAAATAAATAAATAAAATTTTAAAAAAGGTAGTTGTGAAGATTTAAATGTGATCATTTAGGTGTGGTGCTGGACCCCATGTAGACTCTCAGTAAATCAGTCTCCCTTTCCCTTTCTCTGATTTTCATTCCCTCATTTGTCAAGTAAGGGGGCTGGACCAGATGATTTCCAAGTTCTAGCCAAGTTCCCTGCCACCTTATAACGAGGGCCACGTTTCCTTCAGTTTCCAGTATTATCTTCCACATTCCTGTCTGAGGCCTCACCAGAAGCACCTTAACCTCCAGGTTCCCACCAACAATCTCTTTTAGGCAGTTTCAAAATTCCTCCAGCCTCTCCCCATTATGCAATTCCAGAATACCTTCCACATCTGTAGGCATTTGTTACCACAGCATCCTGCTTCCTGGAATCAAAATCTGTGTTCCTTTCCAAAGGCTGTCATAACAAAGTATCATTACCTTGGGTGGCTAAAAACAACAGAGATCTATTCTCTCATTGCTTAGGAGGCCAGAAGTCAAATCAGGGTAGGGTTGGTTTCTACTGGAGGCCCCAAGGGAAAATCTTGTTCTAAGCTTCTCTCTTCGCCTCTGGTGGTTACTGACAATCTTTGGCTTTCCTTCATCATTACAATCTCTGCCTCCATTCTCACATTCATCTGTATAAGTATATATATCTCTGTGTCCTCTCCTCTTCTTATAAAGTTACCAGTCACATTGGATTTAGGACCTACCTTAATTCAGTATGTCCTTATCTAAACAATGTGTGCAAAGTCCCTATTTCCAAATAATTACATTCTAAGGTTCTGGGTGGACATGAAGTTTTGGGTGACACTATTCTATCTACCACACCTTCTCACTGACTTTTTAAAGTTCTGAGGCTGAAAGCACCCTGGAGAGGGATACAATTTACCATATGATGGCTTTTAAGTGGTCCCATTATTCATGTAGTTGATTGTCACCCACTGAGTTAATGATGGTAACCATATGTCCTGATTTTCTGGGACTGCCCATGGTTTTACTGTCAAATCATGTGCCTCCGTTTTTGGTTCAAAAAACACAGTCCTCACACGGTGAGCCCCCACAGGGGGATTCCAGAAACACTTTGCAATGAATCTTACTGTCTTTCGTTCTAATCAGCATTTACTTCCCTGATCCGATCCTCACTGGAGATGGAAAAACGGTCACCATCCTCTACATTTACCTATTTGGTGAGCTGGCATGATTGTTGGAGCCTCCCCTGTGATTCTCCTTCAGCCTTTCTTTTTTTAGTGAATATACTGCCTACAGGATCCAGTTTAAACTCTTCAGCTTAGCACCCAGATCCTTCCACAGTCAACCCCTGACTTCTTTTACAACCATCGAGCCCTCTGATAAAGGAAATACTGGGGCTTTTCCGGCTCGCCCTGCCTTTCTTTGTAGTGTTACTTCTGCCTGTGATGCCTACGCTCTCTCCTCTGTCTTTCCAAACACAGCCCCCTGCTGCAAGCCCATCAAGGCCCATCAAGGCCATCCCCTCTACAGAGGCTCCTGAGCACTCCAGCCACAGGGACCTTGCCTCAGAATTCACCGCCCTCACCCCCAGAACAGTTCACCGGGCACCACCAGTAACAAGTGTGTGCTGCTATTCAATTCTTATCTTTAAAAAATTTTTCTGCACCTATGCATCTTATCTCCCTGATTTAATGATGAGGAACCCCAGGGTAGGGCCTATTGTATGAGAGAGACACTGGGGAGGGTGGCCAGATGCTGCCCTGGCCATGATTCCCCTGGCTCTACCATGCCTGGCCTCTGGGGGCGCTCTGACTCTCCCGCTAGCTGGGCCTGGCTGTGGAAACCTCACTTCATCCTGTGACTGAGATGAAGTTGAGACACAGGTTGGTTGGCCGGGGGCAGGCTGAGATCCCACCTGACAGCAGCTCTAGATCCTGTTCCATGCTCCCACCTTCCACCAACTCAAACCAGACCTCTCAGAGACTTTCACCTCCCTATAGAGGTGATCTGGTGCTACCGGCTAAGCCTGTTGCTCAGGGAGGCCACCCCACACTTAAATAACTAATAACAAACACGAACATCTCTACAGCACTCATAGCCTCAACACAGGCTGCAGGAGAAAACTGGGCTCAGTATTTCACGAATGCAATGTACCCGGTGGTGCTTTCTCCCTTTGGTAGTGTTTTAAGACTGGTGTGTGTTTTATTTCCAAACTGACAGCCTTTATGACTAATTTTGCAGCACCTAGTTTAAAAAATAAATCCTATTACCTTATGCTTGACTCTTCCAGGAAGGTGTGTATATTTATGGGCTCTACATGGATGGAGCAGCCTGGGACAGACGGAATGGGAAGCTCATGGAATCCACCCCCAAGGTACTCTTCACGCAGTTACCCGTGCTCCACATCTTTGCCATTAACTCCACGGCACCCAAGGACCCCAAGCTGTATGTGTGTCCTATTTACAAGAAACCCAGGCGAACTGATTTGACCTTCATCACTGTGGTATATTTACGAACAGTGTTGTCCCCGGATCACTGGATCCTGAGAGGAGTGGCCCTTTTGTGTGACATCAAGTAAGTTCATTTCCATCTGCTCAGGGCACCAGAACCCACATAGACAGCCTGTGCTATTGAGGGACTCAGTGATGTGTGTGTCTTTTCTCCCCAGTAATTCCTTAATTACTCTTTCTACATTAAAAAGTTGATGTTCTAAAATTGCTAGTGCGTGTGTGTTTTCCTCACATATCAATATTCAAAAAGATAACTCTAAATGAATGTTTTTTATTCTGGGAAATCATATTTCACTATAATTACTTTTTAAAGATAAAACCCTGTTTGGATGTTAGAACACTTTGGAAGCTCTGAATTTTAAAAATTTGAAAGTGTTGATATGTGACATCCTAAAAAGAGCCTAGTAGTTGTAAACTTTTCCCTCAAGTAGGTACCAATTTCCCTTGAATAAAATCTAGCCATGTCTATGTCTGTGCTAACGTGTTATCTTTTGTTCTTTTGAGTTTGGTGTTCTGAACTCTGTGCTTCTGAAATGGAAACTGAAGAGACCCAGCCAGTACTCCTCAGTAGTACAGCTGTTCAGTATGAAGTGTTTAAGACAGAAAATCCTCTGGGATGGCCGTTCCTGTGATTTATTTTAATTTTATTTTATGTTGTTTTATTTTAATTTTTACTGCTTTTGAGGCCCAGAGAACTTAGACTCTCCAGCTTTCCCTCCCAACTCCAATTCTGCAGGAGATAATGAAACACATTTCTAGGCAGCAAATGGAGAAGGGAAAAACAAACCCTATCAAATGAAATTAGGTTACATGCTGAATGTCTTAAAAAGCAAAGTCTTTAAAAAGTGAAGCTATTTCTTATTCTGTAGCTAGTCTAAAACTCAGTTTGAACCTTGATTTCC
The DNA here is from genome assembly GCF_000001405.40 of Homo sapiens. Lineage (NCBI taxonomy): Eukaryota > Metazoa > Chordata > Mammalia > Primates > Hominidae > Homo > Homo sapiens. The sequence goes on from NC_000006.12 coordinate 39,031,227, forward strand.
TGCTAAAGGAAACTGTCAATTTAACAAAACAGATGGGGTCCTATACTGAATGCTCATGCGGCTTCAGGACAGTGAAGAAGTGTCTCTACCAGTCTTCTCATCTAGAATCCTTGTGCCTGCCCACAGCTAAATGCATGAGCTTCATTCCTTCATCTATTCTGAAGGAGGGAATGTTTCAAGTTGCCTTGTTTCCCTCTCATCCTTCTGCCACCTTGATCAGAGATGCTGATGACAAACAAAACCAGGCAACCAAGCAATAGCCCAGGTAAGGTTTACAGAAAAGACCCCAGAGAAAACTCTGCCACAGTCTAGTGTACTTTCAAACAGTAGAAAACACATTATGAAATGCAAATTGTAGCAGTGGCCTCTGGTATTTTCCTGATATTGATTCAATGTCAAAACCATAGAACTTTAAAAAAATAAAGGCAGTTTTAAAAATAAAGTAGCCAACCCCTGGCTCAAGTGTTTTAGCACTTTCCTTGGCCGATACATACACTAAAGTAAGGATGGCATTCTTGAGAAAGAATATCCTCCTGAACTGAGGCTAGAATTTGGAAGCACCTGTCAGTCTGGGTGGACACAGAGAAAGTTAAACACCATGACATTATAGCAAACCAAGCTGCATGTTCCAAAATCAAACACACATGTTTTATTGATAGCCCTGTCCAGCTGCTAAAACAATTGAAGGCAAATGGAAAGTCGAAACCCCTGGATATCACGATAGGTTTTCCAAGAATAATAATTATGTTCAGTTTCCTCTAATGACTTGAATGTCTCGTGGAAAACTGGGAATAGAGGTGAAGAAGGTGTAAATCTGGCAAAGATCATTGATCAGACCAGTTAAAGTCACACATGTGCCATTTCCTGGGCACTCTCTGCTGTTGCTGGTTACTTTGGACTATGTCAACACAGAAGAGAGAGAGAGATGGGCATTAAGGTCCGGCAAGGATGGGCACCAGGCACCTGGGCAGGGCCTCAAAATGGTCTTCTTTCTGGTCAGTGCTTCTCAGCTGTCCCTAGTTCTGCCAGGGTCCAGTTCTGCTTTCTTTCTCTAGGCCCAGTAAATGGTTTCCTTGGACATTTTAATTGACATTAATTGAACTTCCATAAGCACATAACCATTTTCTCTGCAAAATTGTTGCTCTTTCACTAATTACATAATTTGCCCCACTTGAGTGAGGGAGACCTGGTGTGCACAAAGGAGCAAAGGATAGAGGACGAAATGATTAAGCCAATGAAGCTGAGAGAGAAGGAAAGTAATTGTTCTTCTTCCTTGGAATCAATCCACATCTTCTTATTTTGCTCTTGGCAAAATGAGCAATGAGATTTATACCTTCCTTGATTCAAAATGTTCCTTTAGTTTGGACTTTGCATAAAAATAAGACCAAAAGAAACGTGCAGAGAGATACATCATCCTAAAGGGATTGGTCTTGTGGGTGATGTTGCATGAATGAGCCACCATCTCTGCCACCAGAGACCTCAGATGAATAGGGGACTCACCGTAACTGGAGGCGCAAGGTGACTCAGGGCCATGGGTGAAGTTCAAAGGAATGGTGAAGGAAACTCAGGATTGAGGATGAACTTGAAGATAAGGTAGCATTTCAATTGGGTCTTGAACTTTTCATAGATATTACCAACACAGTAGATGGGTATGTTCAAAGGAAAGGAGCAGCATGAGAGAGAGAACAGTCTAAAGGTGGGAAACCTCATGGAACATCCAGAGACAGAAGATGGAGCCTTCAAAGAGTTTCCATTGCCTGGAATGTACTCTCCAAATACCAAAGCCTTCTAGGAGCTGGCCTCAAACAAAATTTCTGCTTTATCACCCATCCCATCTCTCAACTTGCTCAATTGCTTCTGCTACTCTGACTGTCTGATATTCTCTGAAAAAATCACACACATTTTTACCATCCTTTGATTACCTTATCAAAGAAAACCCTCTTGTGTGGAACAACTGGAAGTTTCATACATGGCTGTGGAGGTACTGTCAAAAGGTACAACCATTTTGGAAAACAATGGTTGGGCAGTTTCTTAAGAGTAAAACATACAGTTACCATATGACCCAGACATTTCGCTCTTAGGTATTACCCTAGAGAAATGAAAGTGTATGTCCATACAAAGACATACATTCCAGTGCTCATAGAAGCTTTATTGGAAGAGCCAACAATTGGAAATAATCCAAATGCCCATCAACAGGTAAATGACTGAAAAAAATATGGTATATAACTGCAATTGAATACTGCTCTTCAAGAAAAAGGAACAAACTATCGAGGATACACACTAAAGCTGGATGAATCTCAATTATGCTGAGTGAAAGAAGTCAGACCAAAAAAGGACTACACAATGTATGATTTTGTTTATGTAAAATTCTAAAAAATGCAAATTAACCAACAGTGACAGAAAAGAGATCAGAGCTTGACTGGGAAGGAAGGGAGCAGGAGAAAGAGGTTACAAAGGGGCAGGAGGAAATGTTGGAAGGTGGGTGACAGATATGTTCATTCTCTTGATAGTGGTCATAGTTTCATGGGTGTCAAAACTTATCAACTTGTACACTTTAAATGTATGCAGTTTATTGTACTTCCATTATACATCAATAAAGCTGTAAAGAAAAGCTCTTCCCATAGCATCTGATCCTTTCTTCACCTTCCTTGAGGATTTCCACAACCCCTCACTCCTCCCCCAGGCAAGATTCATTGTGCTTTCTGCATTTTGGTTGCAACTGTGTTTAGTAATCTGGGTTGCAATCCTAGAATTTTAATGCAAGGATTCAATGACATGCGTCTATCTCCCCACTCTGTAGCAAACTTTTGGAAAGCAGAATCTGGCTTTTGAGCACCCTAGGAAGTGTTGACTGAATGACAGAATGAATGGACAGCAAGTAGCCCAATTTGACTGGTAAATGTAGGCAAATGATGGCGAAGGAGGGAATACCAGGTGCAAGCCATGTTGGAAGGGTCTAGAGTGCCATAAAGGACAGTAGGGAGTCACTGGTGGTTCTGGACTGCTAAAGGAATGGAAGTGAGTAGGTCAGCTAGAAGGCTTCTAGATCAAAATCAAGAAAATGAGTGTTGGAACTACAGAGATGACAATTAGAATGGAAGCAAAGTAAGGCATTTGAAAGACGGTATGGAGGTAAAATTTGGGGACTCGGAAACTGAGCTGAGATGAAGGATAGAAAGGGTCTAAAGATAAGGCAGTTTATAGACTGGGGAGTCTAGCTGGATGTTTCCTGTATCATTAAAATTTGGGGAAAAGAGGTATTTTGCTAGCCCTGTGCTTATAAATAGCTGCCAGGGTCTCTGAAGAGAGACTTAAAGATCTGTGTGCTCACCGTTGCTCCCAACGAGGTCCGTGAATTAGTAATAATCTAGTGTACCTGTATGCCAGGCATTGGTCCAAGCACTTGATGGAAATTAATTTATGTAATCCTTGCACCAACCCCATGAAATGGATACTGATATTATTATCTCCATTTCACAGATTAGGGAACTGAGGCACAGAGAAGCTAAGCAACTTTCCCAAGTTCTCACAGCTACTAAGTGACAGAGCTGGGATGAACATAGGCTTAGGGCTTCTGATGTACTTTGTAAGACAATACTGGGTTTTTAAAAAGCCACAGTCCAAAGGCATGAACCATTAGAATTCATAATTGTGTATAGAAAATAGTATTATCTATGTTTCTCTGACTTGTTAATTTGAACAGCTTTCATTATCTAAATGGACAGAAAAATGTGCATAAAAGAGAGATTATAAGGCGAATATCAGCATTCGTGTGATATGCAAATAAATGTATATTTAAAATTCATGGATTTTGAAGATAATTAGTTGGTTCATTTTAATGTGCTTTTTCTGGGCTTTCTTGAAGATTCTATTCCAGTAGGTGCATTGCATGGTAACCAGAAGGAGCATGGCTGGAGAATTTTGCTCTAAACTCCAAGTGAGAAGACATGGAGTTTAGTCCTGAGACACAGGGCCCGTGCAGGGCTGTTACCTTGTCCACATGAAAAAGAAGAAAAGATAACTAAAATGTTATTTTCAAGAACACAATTCAGCAAGGGATAAATGGGAGCAAAAGTGTAAAAAATAATTCACTATCCTAAATGAAGAAAAAAAAGTTAAGGAACTATGGAGATTGTTTCCACTTAAAATGCCAAAAAAAAAAAAAAAAAAATCGTAGTTAAAGTAACCAGTGACTTAATCCAGGGTATCTAATAGAATCTCCAACGTTGTCTTTTTTTAAGGTTTTAGACAAATAATCCTACTTTAGATATAAAAAGATGCCACATGACAACACTCTAGGTATAGTTGGGATATATAGCATACATCCAGAAATATGCACTAATATTGAATGAATGAAGACACCAAAGGTTTTCCAGGGCTGTGACAAACACTTTGGCTTGTGTGCCTTTTCTGTATTTGATAAAAAATTATCTACTCTTTAAAAACACTAAAAGCCTTGTCCCCTACCTCCTCCCTCCCTGTCTTAGGTGAGGTTCTCTGGAAAAATCCTCTGAGATGGAGATCTACGTGCAGGAGGTTTCCTGGAAACGGCTTTTAGGAGCATCACTCACCGGGGAGTGAAGGAGGCAGGACAGGGCAGAGGGAGAGGTTGGGCTGCGATGCAATCACAGTGAAGGCCTCGGGCACCCCTGGAGCTATGAAGCAGGGATGTGCCGCATGGGGTGAGGGGGCACGGGGGCTGAGACCGCCAGGCAGCTGTGAGCCAGCACTTCTGGCAGCTGGGGAGGACAGCCTGGGACCTGAAGGCGTCTGTGTCCTGCCTTTCTTCCTCTACACTCTTCTCATCTTCTTTCCCCACCTCCTTTAATTTAAAAACAAATCATGAACATACTTTTCCTTGCTTCCTCTTTATGCTTTCCTCAGAGGATCTTAACAACTTAAATCAAGAGTGTTTTTGACACCTGCATACAGACTCCATATCCCTGAAATGTAGAGAGCTTTTCAGAATGTCCGAAATGGTGGGCAAGACACCAGAGGGACATGTGGTTTCTGTCCTCTCTGAGAGGTGGGGAAAGAGGGAGTCCCTGGCTGAGGGAGTCCCTAGACTGAGCACAGTAACTGGATAGGTTTTGAAGAGACCTCCAAGCACAAAGACAACTGAAACCTGAAAGTCTCCTTTTACTTTGCTGTTTTTCTCAGAGTCATGAATTTCCTCGCAACTTCTGAGGGATAGAGTTGTATTTTGCCTTCAGAAAATTACTTTTGTGTCTTGAGCAGGTGGAAAAAAGCTAGTCAACTCTGTCGTTTCTATCTTCCAGCATCTGGCTTTGACTGCAGATAAGAACCGAGGTTTTGAACACTCAAGTCTTGATTTACATCCAACCTTCTAAGATGAACATAAATACTTTGGAGTAATGCTTAAGAAATGAAGCTGTTCTGTCTACCCTGAATCAATACCAATTCCTTACGGAAGCTGCTGGCTTATAGAAGATTACCCTAACCCATTCCATTCTCCCCAGAAACAAACTGGAGAGGAGGAGCTCACAGTTGCTTCCAGCCCTCCGGGGCTTGCAAGATCACCCTTCTTGGGAATGTGGGATGTGACAGGGTGACAGTGTTACCGTTGTTTCTTTATAAGCTGCTTTGACGGAACAGGTGTCGTCAGGGAGTGTGGAAATTCCTCTTCACACATGTGCTGTGCCGGCAGCTCCCTGTTTCTCCTGACAGAGCCACCTCTCCTCTCATTCTCACCCAGGACATGACCGGTTCATTAAAGCACCTCCTCTCTATTTCCAGGCAAAATCCCCACCTGACCTGGTGCAGGGATTTGATGCTTTAGCCTCTAATTCCCCCGCATCTTCACAGCTTCTTCAAGATGGGGGGCTATGAATGCGAGGGCTCTGTCCCTATCTCCAAGATGACAAATCCGTGGGCGTTTCTGGCACTGGAAACTCAGCCTCCTCAGACATGTGAGTGGGGATGTCAACCTGTGTCTGGGGGATAAGGACACCCATCTGTCATTTGTGGTTTCTGTGTGGTCCTTCCTGATTATGCAAACCCTTTCCTTTCCATTGTTCCTCTTCTATTGTCCCCCTAAAGGACATCCGGTGTCCCTTCATGATAAGAAACTGAATGAGACAAATAGAAAATGCTCTTCCCCCTCCTCCTCCCTCTCCCCCTCTCTCTTTGCCTCTCTCTGTTTCTATGTGTGTCTCCTGTGTGAGTGTGTGTGTCTGCCCCTCTCTCTCTCCCCAACCCTGCTCCCTCCAGAGCTGATAACTAGCTCTTTGGCTTTTAGCTAGACTACGTCAGAAGCTTTGTCTATTATGTGTCATCCCCTCTCTTGGGGAAAGCAGTCACTTTTAGTTTTTTTCCATGTTTATGGAATTTTTTAGAGTAGACTTGCCCTTTCTGCCTGGTCTGCTTTCTCTGGAAGCCCACACCAGTCCTTGGCCACCAGCAGCCCACTATGGAGTTCCCTGGTGGGCCCTGGATCGTGCATTCCCCTCAGGGCCCTCCTCTGCCCATGGAACATTTGGCTGTGGGACAGCTGGCCCAGAGGTTGAGCAGGTGACTTCTCATCAGGCCCTGTCCCGCCCCTCATGCCCACCCATCCACTCTGCCCTAGGGCTCCTGGGAGGGCTGGCACTGATGCCTGCAGGAGGGAGGAGGGAGGTTGTGCTCACGCTTCATTTGCTCACATCACTCACTCTGGGAGCCACGCCAGGCGAGAGCAGGGGGGCCCCACCAGCCCCAGAGGGCACCTCTCTCAGGGCCAATCTATGATGTTTCTCCATTCTCTTCCTCCTGTCCTGGAGGAGGGACGTGCTCGCTGGGGGAAGCAGAGGGCACATGTGGGAAAGGGCCAGGGGGCTGCCATGCCTTTTTCTCATGACATCCTTCTAACAGCCTTGGAAAGGCAAGATGGCACCAGCTTTGCATACCATAGCACATGTCCCCCTAAATGACGTGTGTGAGCATTGCCCTTCTTCTCGAGGAATAGTCTGGGTTTTTCTAACACTCAGAGTTGCCTTTGCTTCCAACATCTTTTTGGGAAACTCTGACTTGACTGACACATAATGGGCAGGCATCTGCCACACCCAGCCATGTGGAGCTCAGACCACTCCTCACTCCATTCTCATCAGGGCACTATTCTGTGGTGTATATATCTCTGGTCAATTTATGTATTAATTTGCCACTTGGTGCATAATATGCAGCACTGAGATAAAAACAAATAAGCCATTCCTATGAGGAATTGATTTCCCTTCCACATCTGTTCATGAAGATATAAATCTAAAGTTTTGGTACTTTAAAAGCCTCCAAATGCAAATATAATCTAAAACTACTAGGCTTTGAAATTGGGCTTCTATGTCAAAAAATGTTTATAGACCCGATCCCTGGAGTCTGACTGCTCATCTTCTGCCTCCACGCCCTGAAGGCATTGATCACCTCTTGAGGTCCTTTCCGATTCATTGCAACAAGACAGAATGGTGCTGTGTGCCTCTTGTGTACTGTCAGCTCTGTACGCACCCTTAGGAGAGCTGCAAGAACCACCAAGGCATGGACCCTGCCCCCAGACAGGCAAGACAGCAGAGAACATAAACTACACATGAACAGCCATCATGTAAGGCAGAAAGTGGTCATTGCCCTAAAGATGAAGTGACATGGGAACGCAGAGGATAGAGACTTGACTTTCTTTTGAAGGATCAAGTCTTTGGAGAAAGTAGAATTCAGGTGGAGCCATGAAGGATGGATGGGATTTGACCAAAGGAAATAAGGGAGCAGAGCATTCTAGGAGAGACAGCAGGAGCTGAGGCCAGAGGTGCGCAAAGGTGGGCAGAGCTTAAACCAGGAGAAAGAGTTCGGTGTGGCTGCAGCACAGGACACACATCACCATGGAGGTGAATGAATGTTGTGGGCATCACCCTGATTTCCTTATATCTAGATGGCATTTTGCAATTTCCTATGTTCTTTTATGTGCACTATCACATTTGATTTTCACAACAATCGTATAAGTAGGCACTAGCAGGGATTATCATACAGTTGAGAAAACTAAGACTCGGCAAGTTAAGGTGCTCTGCCTTAGGGGACGAAGGAGAATAGCAGAAGACCAGGATGAGAACTCAGATTTTCCAACACCCTGACCAGGACCTTTCCCCTAAACCATGCAGTGGCAGGGAGGCTGCGAGAGAGCCTACCCCACAGTTATTCCCATACTGTGTGTTTGTGGGTTTTTTTGTTGGCTTGCTTTCAGGTTTATTCATTGATTGTTCCTGTGTAAAGGCACCATGTGGTGGCCATTCCTGGATGCTATGGTGTGGGTCCTTGTATTCACAATAGGGAGACTTGGGGAACAGTCTCTTTCCAGAAGTTAGCTCTGTAAGTCTTGGATGTGGCATCAAAGGCACAAAGCCGGCAGCATTGTGTCACCATGCAGAGCACTGTGTGGGGTTTGCTGACCTTGTCCCCTGGTAGTCACCCTACACCAGGATGATGGAGAGGATGTTGGTCCTGCAGACAGCAATGAGTAACTCCTTGGGCCACTCAACACCCAGACTGACGTTATCATTGCAGTCCCTTATGGTGACAATCACTTTGAACCTGATCCGCCGGCCAGCCTTGGGCTGCTTTTGCACAAACATGAGCTTCAGAACCTTGTCCTTGAGGGGCACCCCCAGGAGGAAGTCAGTGACCTCAAACTCCTTGATGGACAGAGAGAAGAGATAGACCTTCAGGGATTTGATCTTCATGTCCTTGACCTGGCAAGGTGACTTGGTGATGGAGCACCACTCCTTGTCTTAGATTTGTGTCCACAAGATCTGGAGTCTCAGTCTTGATGCTGACCATAGCCAAGAACCCAGCCACAGCTGAGCTGCCAGAGCCTCCCCATTCCAGGGCCCTAAGGTTCTCTGGCATCATCAGAAAACTGTTTGTGCATTTTTGTATCACAAAACTGCCATGCTTGGAATTAATTCTGTGAGCCCACTTCCCTTAGGAACCCCCCCTGAGAGTGCCTGAAAGATGGGGGATTAGACATCTGAGCTATTAGGTACTGGGTAGGCTCATCAGCTTTGTTTGCTATCCCGTTTGGCAAATGAGCCAGAAACCAGAGCATCACTGAGTGCATTGGAGGTGAGAGCTTTCAGAACGGAGAAGGAAGTGACTCGAGGTGGCTTTGCAATTGGGTCCTTGAAAAATGGCACCTGCTGGGCAAAGCCGCACATTCACTTGAGGCCAGGTCTAGAGGTCAGACCAGAACAACAGAGGGAAATTCCGAGCTTCCCTCAACCATAGGCCGGTTTTAAATTCTGACGCGTTGCCACATCACAAGTCAGATGGGACTGAGGGAAATGACCTGAGACGAGAATGAAATCTTCTGGGCTGTCAGCCTGTGGAGGGGTAGGAGACACCTGCAGGCTCAGTCCTAGATGGCTGCACCTCCAGCTAGATCCCAGGTGTGACTCGTAAGGTCCAAGGTGGCTGGAGATGACCACTGAGCCCATACCCAGAGAACAAAGGCATGGTGGTGCTGACTGTTAAGAGGAGTTGGCCCAGAAACATTCAGATTTTCCATTTTCTGTTTGTTTTCTTTTATTTAGGAGAGGGGAATGAGTGAGTTATCAAATTCCCTTTATGTGGAACCAGGGGAGCTAATTTTGTCTAACCTGAGTGTGGTAAGTGAAAGGGAGACCCAGAAGGCTCAGAGACAAGGGTCAGCCTGTTGCCTTGGGATCCTGCCTGCCCTAGAACTCCTCCTTCCTTACCTGGGGGGGACTCTGAGGCAGCTTTACTCAGTGCTGGTGCTAATCCTTGTCCCTGAAAGCCAGCAGCAGCTTCCCCACTCCTGGCTCCAGGGCCATTCTTTTCAGAGAAAATTCGGGTGCTTGGCTGGCCTCTTCTCCTCCCCATGAAGGTCTGAGGGGCAATGAGGGGAACAGTTGGGACAGTTTCTGGGAAGCAGGCTCCTTGGGCCAGTCAACATGTTAGTCTGAGGAAACCTCTTATTTCAGACAAGGGTTAAAGTTGGTTTCATTTCTCATTTTGGTCTCAGTAGGTTTCTCAGTCATGCCGGAGGTGCTGAAAGGTGACAGTGAGAAGGCCTCGTGTGACACTTCTTTTTCATTTGATTTCCAAATGTGTGAAATTTGGTACTTTTCCTCTTTACCCACAAGAGCTTTAATTCTGTGAAGGGGCAGTGTGGGCTCTGTCATAACACCTCTTCCCCAGCTCCCCACCTTTCCTCCAGAGAAAAAGGCAGACAAGTGGGGAAAGCTGGGGCTAGATGGACAAAAACAAATGAATCTACTCTCCTGGCCCAGAAGCCACGGCCGCACAGATCCAGAATCGTTTTTCTGACCCTGTGATCCATTGAGTAAGGTGAAGGGAGTAGGAAAGGAGGAGATGGGCCCAGAGTGAGGAACCTCATTTACTTAATTGCCCTTACATAGAGGAAACCTTCAGCAGCCCCTCTGCCTGGACTAACTGGCCCTGCCCCCAGATAAGCTCAGGGACATATGCCACTGGGCTTGTCTGGGTGGGCTGACTGCAATGACAAACAGCCCCAAATCTTGATGGCCTAACATACTACAATCTAACATGGGTTGGCAGGAGGCTCTGCTCCACACAGTCATTCATGGACCCAGGCCCCTTCTGTCTTGAGGTTCCATCATCCCTTGGGGCTTTGGCATTCTCCACTGACCATGTGTGTCCAACATGGTAGATGGAGGAAGAGAGGGTGTGAAAGGTCTTATGGGCCCATCCTGGAGGTGGCCTGTGTTACTTTTCTCCACATTACCTTGGCCACCCTAAACATCAAGGGAACCTGGGAATGTAGTCTTGATGTCTTATAGGTTGAGTTGTCACTCACCAGCAAAAGATATCTTGAAATCCTAATTTCCAGTACCTCAGAATGTGACCTTATTTGGAAATATGGTCTTTACAGAATAATCGAGTTAAAATGAGATCGTTAGGTGGGCTCTAATCTGACTGACATTTTTATACAAAAGAGAAATGTGGGTGCAGAGGGAAGACCATGTGAAGACAGGCAGAAGGCCACCCACAAGTCCAGGGATGTCTGAGGCTACCAGAAGCTGGGACAGAGGCAGGCAGAGTCTCCCTCATGGTTCTCAGATGGAACCAACTTTGCCAACACTTTGATTCCAGACTTCTGGCCTCCAGAACGATGAGACAACAAATTTCTGTTGCTTAAGCCACCCAGTTTGTGGAACTTTGTTATGGCTGCCCCAGGAAACTAAAATACACTATATGCTCAGATTTGAGGAGCATCCAGCCAGCTGTGCTGTGCAATCTCCTTGTCTGAAAGAAAGAGAATAGGTGGCTCTTAGCGCAATAGCTACCATCTTCGCTGATAGGTACTTTCTGGTTCTATGATTCTTGCCAAGCCTCTCCACCCATGACTCCCTCCCTCCCCTGGGTTTTCTCTCACCTTCTCCCCACTTCTGACACTAATCCCTCCTGGGAGAGAGCAAGGGAGCCCAGTCATTTCTGGCTAGAGTCCCCATGTGGAGAAGAGAGAGGAACTTTGCCGTTCTCATCTCATTTTTTTTCTCTTCTTTGGTCCAGAGTTGTACAAACCCTTCCGGCACCTTCCTAAATGACCTTGAGCAAAACCCCTGACTCTTGTGAGACTTAGTTTCCCTCCCAGTAAAGTGGGTGTGATCCCACTGAGTTCTTTCTCAACAGAAAAACCAGTTATAAAAATGATGCTATAACACTTCAGAAAAACAGCGTGCTGCATCCGCCCACGAGAGCAGTAATCACTGTAGCTCAAGAGGTTGTAAATTCTCCACAGCTGACTGTTGGGAGCTGGACAGGACCCAGCACCTGGTAACCTTGGCTGGCTTGGTAAATGGGGGGCAGTGATGGTCTACCACAGAGGAAGGGACCCTTTGCCCTGGCAGACCTCCTCCCCATCTAGACTTGGGGGATCTGACTGTAGCCACCTGAGCCAGGAAGTGATGTTCTGCACCAGAGCCCCTGGGCATTAGCAGCTGTACTTGCTGCCTGGATGAGACCTGGCACAGCTGGTGCACCCGCAGCAGGGAAGATAGAGGGCTGTGGGGAATAACAGTGGTGTTAACATTGCCATTTACTAGGACTTATTTGTGCCAGGTTCTGGGCAAGTGCTGCTTCTGATAGTCAGACTATCCTGCAAGGTGATAAATGTGGGATGGGGAGTTAGTGTGTGGGTCTGTGGGGGTTTGCATCCAGGCTCTCCTGGGCTGTCTCAATACCTAAGTGCACTGGGGATCAGCATCCTCATTTGTAAAATTGGGGTAAAAAATGGGCCGGGCGCGGTGGCTCACACCTGTAATTCCAGGTGTGGGAGGCCAAGGCAGGCAGATCATGAGGTCAGGAGTTCGAGACCAGCTCAGCCAACATGATGAAACCCCATCTCTACTAAAAATACAAAAATTAGTTGGGCGTGGTGACGGGAGCCTGTAATCCCAGCTACTTGGGAGGCTGAGGCAGGAGAATCACTTGAACCTGGGAGGCGGAGGTTGCAGTGAGCCAAGATCATGCCATTGTACTTTAGCCTGGGTGACAAGAGCAAGACTCCATCTAAAAAAAAAAAAAATCCCACTCTACAACTCAGGGTTGCTCCCAGGGCAGGGTCTGAGAAGAGAAGCAGGAGGTGGAGGGGTAGAGCCCTTACCTAAAGAGGCATCCTCTCGTGATACCCCCCTTTGCCCCCAGGACTTGCTGGCAGCCAGGTTCTCCTGGCAGAAAGTGGATTCCTGGCCCACTGCTGAGGTCTCTGCCTTCTCTCAGCAGCAGATCTTCAGACTGTCTGGCAAGGGCCAGCCTGAGGGCGATGGTGAGCATTAGATGAAATAACACATATACAGCTCCTAAAACAGTGCCTGGCTCAAGGCAAATGCTCGGTAAATATTGGTTCTTATTACTGGACCCATTTTATACCAAGGTTTAGTGCTATTAAGGATACAGAGTAAGTGACTGAGATGGATTTGACTGTCAGACTCTAAAAATCTGTGTTTAGGTATGTGTATGCATGTGTGTTTATATCAGGTTGAAAAAAATGCTGGCTCTTTCCTTATTTCATCACTCAGAAGATGAATGTGGTCTTGAACTTTGGGAAGTAAATGAGTTTCTTAGGGACATGGAGCTTGGAAAGAAACCTGAACTATGCGTGCAAGAGATACCTGTCCTGGCCGGGCTCAGTGACTCATGCCTGTAATCCCAGTACTTTGGGAGGCTGAGGTGGGTGGATCACTTGAGGCGAGGAGTTTGAGATCAGCCTGGCCAACATGGTGAAACCCTGTCTCTACTAAAAATACAAACATTAGCTGGGCATGGTGGCATAAGCTTGTAATCCTAGCTGCTTGGGAAGCTGAGGCACGAGAATCACTTGAACCCGGGAGGCGGACGTTGCAAGGAGCTGAAATTGCGCCACTGCACTCCAGACTGGGTGACAGACCGAGACTCTGTCTCAAAAAAAAAATTAAAAAAAAGAAGAGACACCTGTCTTTTCTAGCAATTCCCTTTCCTTCCCTCTCCTCCTCTCCACTCTACAACCTCCCTCTCTTTTCCTGCCTCTCTCTCCCTCCTGCCTCCTCTCAAGTGAAAGATCTGTCCTGGGCCGGGCGCGGTGGCTCACGCCTGTAATCCCAGCACTTTGGGAGGCTGAGGCGGGAGGATCACAAGGTCAGGAGTTCGAGACCAGCCAGGCCAACATGGCAAAATCCCATCTCTACTAAAAATACAAAAATTAGCTGGGCGTGGTGGCAGGTGCCTGTAATCCCAGCTACTGGGGAGGCTGAGGCAGGAGAATCACTTGAACCCAGGAGGCGAGGTTGCAGTGTCGCCACTGCACTCCAGCCCTGGTGACAATATGAGACTCTGTCTCAAAAAAAAAAAAAAAAAATCTGTCCTGTCCACTGACCTGGTCTTCCTGCTAGGGACAAGGTTTTCCTGTTGAAGACAAAAGAGGGCCGGGTGGCCTGCTCTCAGGTCTGCCTCCTTGGCGAATGGGCCTTACAGCACCTTTTCCTCAGGAGCACACATCAGTTGCTCCCATTCCTATTTCTGAAGACAATCTCAATACCACATTTTCTTAGTGGAAGCTGAGGGCACCCCACGCTAGGGTCACTGGAGAAGCCTTGGGCCTAAGGGTAAGGAGCAGGACCCGGAGCTCTGGGCTGTAGAGCGAGGTGCTCCCGGACAGGCTGGCTGAGCTGCAGCCTGCATCCTCTGTGCTGCCACAAATTCAGCTGCCTATTGGGGGTGTCGGCACCAGCTCTCAGGGCAGGTGGACCTGGGATGAATGCCCTGTTTGCTTTTATGGGCAACTCACTTTTCATACCTGAGCCTCGGTCTCCTCATCCATAAAATTGGCACAATAACACTTGTGCATAATACTGGATGAGATCAGGGTACACCAAGCATTCAGCAGCTCCTGGCCCAATAAGTAGTAGCTATTGTCTTTGTTTTCAAGGGTTTTTGCTTGTTTGTTTGTTTGAGATGGAGTCTTGCTCTGTCACCCAGGCTGGAGAGCAGTGGCATGATCTCTGCTCCCTGCAACCTCCGTCTCCTGGGTTCAAGCGATTCTCCTGTCTCAGCCTCCCGAGTAGCTGGGATTACAGGTGTTAACAGTTTACCAAACAGTATGCCATCCATTCAAATCTCTGCTCTTAGGGAGCTCATCCTTTCCTCTGCTCTAAGGAGCCTGAGTGAGAGGCCCTGGTAACAGCAAGGGGAAAGAAGGAAACTGTATTCCCGAGTCCATACTCTGTCCTAGCATCACAGCAAACTCAGAGGTTTTTGGACCCCCAGATGTTAAGAGGAGGGACAGGCCCTGAGCTTCCTAAATACCCTCATATGCCCACTGTCTTCAGCTGGGCTCTCCCAGAAGCAGATCCTGAGATAAGGATTTAAGGACAAATTATTTATTTATTTTTCATTTATTTTATTTTTTGAGACGGAGTTTCACTCTTGTTGCCCAGGCTGGAGTGCAATGGCATGATCTTGGCTCACTGCAACCTCCACCTCCCAGGTTCAAGCGATTCTCCTGCCTCAGCCTCCCGAGTAGCTGGGATTACAGGCATGGACCACCACGCCCGGCTAATTTTGTATTTTTAGTAGAGATGGGGTTTCTCCATGTTGGTCAGGCTGGTCTCGAACTCCCAACTTCAGGTGATCCGCCCACCTTGGCCTCCCAAAGTGCTGAGATTACAGACGGTGAGCCACCATGCCCAGCCAAATTGTTTATGTGAGGTGTGACCCCGGAAGCACTGGTACCCTACTGTGGGAAAGTGGGACAAGTGAGGAAATGAAGCCAACACAGGGTGCATTACTGAGCAGGTAACTGCTGTGGGAAGCTGGGCTCCATCGCACAGGGGACCTCTGGGAGACTGTGGTACACACCTCTGGATGGGGTATTTATCCATCCACTCCTGTCCATCCATGGTTGACAGCTGCTCTTAGGGGTACCTACCCTGCACTGGCTGAATGCAAAAATGTTCTCCAAGTCAGAGAAAGCCCCCTGGCAGAGAAAACATGGCCTTATAAGTACTGGGGGCATTTGCTTACCATAATAGTGCTTACACAATTATAAATGACTCCAATAATTATTTAATGTTTCCCTCCTGTATTAGAATATAATCTCTCTGAAGATAGGGACAGCATCACCAATTGTATCCCCAGGACCTAGAATGGTGTCTGGCACATGGTAGGTTTTCGATAGATACTTGCTGAATCAATGTAATCTGGAGGCTGACAAATTCATGATAAAGACCCCAGTTCTGTCTGAATAGCTTCTCTATCTCTTCCTTTCTCCTCTCTCCACCCTAAACTTGATATAGCAGTGCCTAAAACTCACTTCCAGTATCTTTTTTAAAATTTGCCTTCTTCTAGAGTATAAAAGCCCAGTATTTAACCTTGCCCATGGTTGCCTGGAATAGAGGGTGCTTTTCCCACCCTCCTTTGCAGCTAGCAGTGCCTATGTGACTAAGTTCTGAGCAAGAGGTGTGGAATTGATGGCTGCCACTTTCAAGATGTGTCTTTATGGGTGGAGGTGCACCCATCTCCTTCCCATTCCTCCTTCCTGCTGGTTGGAATTTGGATATCGTGGCTGGAGCAGCCACCTTGGATCATGAGGTGGAAATCTTGGACCAAAGGATGGTGGAAGCTAGAAGACCCAGGCACCCTGATGATCAGGGAGCAGCCACTCCAACCTTGGGCTGAACCTCTGGCCTTGCTTTACATGAGAGAGCCCTTGGTTATGCCATTGTTGTTTGGGGTGGGATTTTCTGTCACTCCCAGGTGAACAACCTAATCCTAAGTGATACCTAGAAGGTCCCTGCTAGACTGACCTCTTGGGAGGGGAGGGAATAAACGAGTCTCAGGTGGTGGAACCAGAGCTTGCTGGAGAGGAGAGTCTCTCCTGGTGAATGGAAGCCAGGGGCCCCTCCCACTGGCTGTCTCCTTCCCTGGGCTCAGGCAGGTCCAGCCTTCCTCAGGACTTTGAGAAGTTCAGTTCTCTCCCCAGGAGTAGCTACTTTCACAAACTTCCTGTCCCTTTAGTCGACATGCCCCACGGCAGGTCCGAGGCTGGGCTCTGCCACAACTCATCTTTCCTAAGAGTGGCATCAAGGTTCTTTGGTGGGGGATCCTCTTTTCCCATCCCCACTTCTCAAGAGCATTAGGGAAGATACAGTCAGTGCCCTCTTAGCATTCTCTTTCCACTTGTTGGGTGTAAGAAGGGAACCTGAGGGCCCTGCAGTGTTTAGGGGTGGGAGTGGAAACAGACAGGAAAGATCCAGAGTCCCCAAGAAGCGAAGCAGGGAGAGAGATAAAGAAGGCAGGAACAACCATGGACACACATTATCACACATACACAGGTTACAAGAGCAGGAGGCTGGAGCTGCAAGAGGTGGCAGGGAAGCTTCCAGAAAGGCAGACCCCAGCCTCATCCCTCCCTGCCCTGCAATGCTGAAGTTTCCAGGTAGAGGGGAACCTCTAGACCCTTGCGACTGTCAGAGTTCTGTGGATCCATTTGTCAGTCTCCCCACCCCCAACCTTGACTATCCTGGGCCTGCCTTCAGGACAGAACATGGGAATGAGAAGAGGACCTGGGAAGGGGTAATCCTGGGAAAAAAAAGTTCTTATTAGTCACCCCTGGCTCTGAGGATACTTTCCAGGAGTGGCCTGCCAAGCCGTGTGACCTTGGACAAGTCCCGTCCATTCCTCAGGCCTCAGTTTCCTTTGAGGGACCCTGAATGGGCGGGGGTTGCTGTAGCTTTCCTCAGCTGGGAGACCCGGGAGGAGGTCCGGGGTGCCAGGGTGGGAGGAGGGCCTGGCTTGTCGCTGAAAGCCGGCCAGGCGCACTGTCGGCGCTCAGAGCTGGTGGCCGCCTCCTGCGCTTCCTGATTCCCAGCCGCGCTCGCTCGGAGAGCAGTGCCCGCTATCTCCTGGCCCGGGACCGGCAGAGGGGTGCGGCGGGGCGGGCCCAGGGGTCTCTGGCGGCCGGAAGAACCGGGACCCTGCCAGGCCCCTCCCGCGGGCAGGGCGGCCCCTCGCCGGCTCCTCCCCCACCGCCCGCCACCAGCCCGGGATCAGTCTCCGCACGCGGTTCCGCAGGTGGCAGCGATGGCCCAGTCCTGAACTCCCCGCCATGGCCGGCGCCCCCGGCCCGCTGCGCCTTGCGCTGCTGCTGCTCGGGATGGTGGGCAGGGCCGGCCCCCGCCCCCAGGTGAGATCCAGGGACCCCGACGACACCGGGGGAGGCGGGTGGCTCTGCGGGCTGCAGGCGCAGTGTCCTGGTGGAGGGCCCCGGGACTTGAACGAAACTCCGAGACCGCTGGCGGGGGCATCCGAAAGCCTCGGGGGGAGTAGGGACTGGAGACTTGGTGCCCCTGGGCTGGAAGGCCCAGGTGAGGGCTTGGACTACAGAGGATTCCCCCCAACCCCAGCGAGGCGCCCTCTTCCTCGCCACCCGGGTCCCTCTGCCCGGGCACCCGCTGCCCCGCGGCCGCCCTGCGCTGACTTCTGCTCCGCTTCTCCTTTGTCCCCAGCACTTTCCCAACTCCTTCTAAACCGTGTCAGCGGCCCTGGCACAGCCCGGCATCCTCCCGGACTCCCTCTGCCCCACAGTCTGACCCAGACCCCTCTCCCGCAGTGCCTCCCCAGACAATCCACCTGCTCAAAGACCCTGAGAAGACCCTGGGAGGAGCTGAGAGGGCCAGGGTGCGGAGACCCGGCTCCTCTCCCTTTCTCATCAGCCCCCAGCACAGCCTTTGATTCATGGCTCCTGGGGCCCTGCGGTGGCAGCTTGTCCTTCCCAGTGACCTCCCAGATGGAACCTACCCCCCGTCCCCTACCAGCCTCTGTAGCAAACAGGCAGAAGGCTCAGTGCCCCCCTGGAAGCAGCCAGGCGCCCCCACTCACCCACTCTGCTGACCTCCCATTCTCATCCTGCACTGACAGCAGGCCCCAAGAGAAGGCATACTGGGACACGCAAGAACACCTGGGCTCCTTGGTGCCACCAGAGAGCAGGCCACAGGTGGACCACCGCAGCCCCTCTCTCTTGCCCTTGTTGCTTTTCCTGCCCTGGGATCCTGGGCTAGGGACAGTGGTCAGCTGCTTTTGAAGAGGGGAGCTGTCCAAAGATGCTGGGACTTGCTTGAGCAGAGAGGAGACATAGACTTGGGTGGCCTGTCCTGGGTCAGGAAACAGGTTCTTCCTATCACCTCCCACTGCTACCCCCAGACCTAAAGAACTGAGATCTGTGGGGAGTGGACCTGAACGAACCTTGAAGTTTGTCCCAGAACCATTGCCTTGGTGAGGGCAGACTCCACCTCGGCGGAAACCCCAGATGTGGACAGACATACCTCTCAGCTAAGATGCCAGCACATTTTTCAGCCCCCAGATTATTTTCCAGACGCATCCTCTCCCTGCCCCTGTTCCCCAGCCCAGCTGCTGTCCTGAGCCCCAGGAGACAACCTCCCCCTTCCAAGACACCTTCCTCACAGCGCCCCCAGCCAGGCCTTGGTTTTCCTGGTGCGGCTGGGATCTTTCAGGGGCCAGGGCTGCAGACCCAAGATGTGGTTCTTGCCCATCGTTCCCTCCTCTTACGGACTGGGTTGGGATAGGGGTGGAGGCTCTGCTTCCTGGTTCCATCCTCCTCCAGGCCAGGTTTACAGGTCTGGTTTGAATGAAGGGAAGAAAGCAAAGGGAAGAGGAAAGTTTCTGTGAGCTGTCTTCCCAGAGGCCTTATTCCCAGAAGTGTCAGGCTCCTGAACCCACACTTTCCTCTGATCCGATTTTACTCCTTAGCCCCAGGCCTAAGGCAAAAGCTGGGCATCCTGGGGGCATAACAGGATTGGGGTGGTAGAGAAGGATAGGAGGGGACAGGTCCTAGCAGGGAGGGGAGCTTTGAGGGGGTGCTCTTGTCATGGGAAACTGAGCTGCCACAGAGATCTGAGTCACAGGAGGTGTTAAGGATAGATTGCAACAATTATGACACAACATCATGCGTGCTTATAAGACTAAAAAATAGTGTATTTTGCATTTTGTTTTCTGTCTATGAAGTCAAAAGGGTTAGAGTTACTCCCCTCATGTTGCTGATGGGGGAATGAAAGCTCAGAAAAAGAGGGTCCCCTGTATAAAGTAGCCCAGCAGTTCAGGAGCAGGGAAGAGAAAGGGGTGAAGGGCTGGGCTCTTGACCTAACACCTCCTACTCAGACGGGACTGAAGGGAGACCTCTGAGAGTGAGCTGCTCACTGTCAGGTCTCGTGAGGCTGGAAACAGCATCCCTGCAGGTAGGGGGATGGCTGAGTTGACTTCTGAAGAAGGTGCCCTAGGCTACTCTTTCATTGCTGCTGGGAAGGCTCATTCCCCTACCCTGGTCCTTACCTCTCCAATACCCTGGTGAGGGAGCGGGCCTACTGAGGAGACAGGCAAGCCTTTGACACTCAAAGTTAAAATCAGACACAACTGGATTCAAATATAGGGTCTGCTATTAGCTGGTGATCTGGAGTTGGACACTTGGTTATCCCCAATACATGTCCTTATCTGTAAATAAGGATCATAAGCTCTATCACATAGGGTTATGGAGGGGATTGAGACACTGGCCCCTGAAATGGCAACTTTAGTCACTTTAGTCAAATGGCAGAACTGACCCATTTGTCCTTGGGGATCCAGAAGTGTTTTCCAGGGCTGCAGGATAGTATGAGAGAGGGGCTGTTGGAGACCCTGGGTCTCTGTACTCTAGTGAATGGCAGGTGGAGTCCAGGGCTGAGCCTTGATCAGTGCGGACATTGTTCTAAGCTGGGTTTCCTCCTGGACAGGACCCAGGCTGGGGGCTGGGGCAGGAGCAACCAAGAAACCACATCCTGCCCTCGAATGCCTTGCACCAAGGCAAAACAGGCTTCCTCAGCTGCAGCCTGCCCCTAGGAAAATTCCTATGTGTGTGTGGTGGTGGTGGTGGTTGGAGGAGGGGACAGAGATACAGACAGGTAGTCTGAGACAGACCAGGGGGAGAAGGGAGTAGGCTATATGAACCCCCAGTTCCCAGGTATGTGTGAGTGACCCTGTGTGTAACAGTCTGTGTGGGAATGAGTCCCTGTGTGTGCAACATCTCAGCATGCAACTGTACATCTGACAGTGTCTATGTTTTTGTGACCCTGCATATGATACTGTGTCTGTGGGAGGGTCTGTGTGTGTGTGTGGGGGGGGGGGCATCTTGGTGTGTGAATGGGTGTCAACTAGTGTGTGTCTATATGTGCAGGAGAGATAGTGTGCATGTGAGAGTGTCTGTGTGTTCCTCTGTGTGTGTGTGTTGGGGACAGTGTCTCAGCATGCGACTGTGTACCTGGCAGTCTGTGAGTGATTGTGTGTGGTGGGAGAGAGTCTGTGTCAGTGTCTCAGTATTGGGAATGTGCTTGGGGGCGTGTGTGATGATGCGTGTGACCGTGTGTCCACGTGGGGGTTTTTGTGACTGTAAGAACATGTGTGTAGTATTCCTTTTCCTGTCCTTTCGTTCAGATATCTAAAGCCCTTAGGGAAAAAAAATGGATTGTAAGCTCTGAGCTTTTGAAAAAAAAGAAAGAAAGAAAGAAAAACAAGGGGCGGTCAAAGAGACAGGGGTCTGTTGATGGAAGGGGTGATTTGACTTCTGGGAGGTGACACAGAGGAAGGAGGTTGGGGTCCTGGGAGGAGATGCCAGGGAACCTGAAGGGCTGGACTTAGTTGGGGGACTCCAGAAATTTGAGTTGGAATCCCTCCTTCCTCCTTCTGAGAGGCCTTCCTGCATGTCTCCCACCTCTGTGCCACCTCCTTCCCGTCACCAAAATGGTCCCCAGAGAAAGAAAGAATCTGATACACTTATTCGCACTGAGAAATAGGAGTGCCTTTCAGATTGGCAGCCAGTGTTTGGAGAGGGAGCCCCTTCCTGGGGTGTTGGAAAGCCCACCACCCCGGGGGCTTCCACTCCACCTGCTTCCTTCTCTGCTGTCCTTCCTTCCAACGCTGCCTGCTTGTACAGGGCTTGAGAAGTCACAAAGATTTTCACCTGCTTTATCTTGTTGGATCTGTGCAGTTTGAGAAGAATGATATGCCCATTTTATGGACGGCAGAACTGGCAACTGATGAGGAAACTGAGGTCCTAAAAGATAAATCGTGTCCCACAGTCCTGCATTAACAGAGCTGGGATTTAGACCAAGAACTTATAAATCGCTGTCCAGTGCTCCTTCCTGTAGACCACACCACTCCCTCCTGGTGTCCTCTTTCCTGTCTCCTGCTTCCTCCAAAAACTCCTGAATCTGAGGGATGCCCCTTCCTTCTTGTAACCTCCAACCCAGGTGTCGTCTCCACGTGCCTTCATCCACCTCAGAGAGATCCCATGAAGCCTGTCAAGTCTTGATTCTAGAAACTGCCATCCTGCCCTTCCCATGGCCCTTTAGACCCCCTCTGACCGCTGCTTTGCTCTCCTGGTCAGCTCTGCTGCCTTGTGAGGGACAGGGACATCTGGATTGCATCCTTCCCGCTACCCAGAACCCACAGCCCCACCTTGTCAGGCTTGCAGCAGGGACTTATGTTGTGGGAGGATGAAATGGAGGAGTGGGGGACACTGGTGGGCAGGGCCTTGCCCCTCCTCACAGGGCATGGGGTCCAAAGCTTCCTCCCTGCTTCACTTTGCCATTGGCTGTGGTTACTGCTGGAAGATCTCACAAATTAAGCAGAATGATTGGTCATTGGACATGAACATATATTCATTTCCTCTTTCTGGGAATATGTTGATCCTAGAAGTGAGGAAGGGGTGGGGCCCCAGTCCCCAGGAAGCCTGGTCACTCCCTCCCACTCTGCCCTTTCCACTAAACAGTAGAAATCATGGGGATTGCTGCCATTGACTGAGCCTTCTCCATGTGCCCACCATCCTAAGCATTAACTCAGTCCCCACAGCCATCCCATGGGGGAGGGGCTGCTGTTCCCTTTTGCACAAGTGTAAGCTGAGCCTAAAACATACAACTCTTGCACTCGGTTGCAAACCTAATATCTGGGTGACCCAGGTCCAGGCCCAGATCTGAGCCCAAGGCCAGGGTTGTTCAGCCTCCACTATGTTACCTGGGCACCCAGGCCCTATGGCACTGGGTGGCCCTAGCCTCATTTACTCAGTCTTTCCCCAGACCAGAACCTCCCATCTGTCCCAGGGCCCACCACCACTCTCTCCCTGCCCCAAAAAATCCTCCTGATAACAGTCCACAGCTCTCCTCTGCTCTCCGGAGCACTGATGTCCCCACCTTTGTACCTTTTCCCTGCTGTGCCCTCCTGCTGAAGTGCCCGCCCTCCTCCTTGCTAGCCCAGTCTGCCTCCAACCCCCTTCACCCCAGCCCCACCTCACAGTCCCCAATCCCTCAGGCCTCTTGAGTCTGCACTGAACCCTGCCCCAACCACTCCCTGAACACTTTCACCCACTGCCTTCCCTGTTATGTCACTTGTCCTGTAAAGCATTGACCCCCGAGTAGCCTGAAGACTCTCTCAGGCAGGGCTCCTGCAGTCACCTTTATACTCCCTGCATTCCCCTCCACCCACGACCACCCAGAACCTGGCACAGTTATGGTTTCTGTAAATACGAGGCGTGGGAGAGGCCAGAAGTCTGGGTAGTTTGCACTGTGTGTGCCTGCAGGGGTGGGATGAAGGCTCGAAGGTATTTAGAAGCCCTGATCTGGTGTAGGGAGGGGACAAGATACTCTTACTGTCAGGAATCCCTCACCTAAGGGGGAGCCACAGCCCCATCCTCAGGAAGCTCCAGTCTGAGGGGAGACACAGCCCCGTCCTCAGGGAGCCCCAGTCTGAATATAGTTTTATGTCCACAGCTCTGCTCAGAGTAGGTGACAGCGCTGCCCTGGGGTGCAGGAGGCCAGATTGGCCTTCATGGCGCTGTCGTTAACCCCTCCCCCCGCCTCTGGGAAGAACTGGCTTCCATACCTCTCTGCCTGCCCCAGACACACCTTCTGCCCCAGTTCCCAGCAGTGACCTTGTGTGTGGTCTGCTTTCATTCTAGAAACAGAAACCAAGGGGGATTTCTCCGTCTCTCTGCCCTCCACCCCCAGCAGCTGCTGCATTTAGGGGCAGCATGGAAGAGCCCTTTACCCGGAGAAGAGGGAAGAAGTGAGAAGGGAAACGGGGCGGTGGGGGTTGATCCACCAGGACTTGCTCTGATGAAAACTGTGCCACCTCCTCAGCTGTGGCTAATATCATGGACAACACCTTTGCAGCTGTTATGTTTGATTTCTTGTTCTTTTTTTCCCCAAGCAAATACAGTTGACCTTTGCCCTCAGAAGAGCTCTGTCCTTCAGGGTAGCCCCTGCCGCCTTGGCACACTTATGCCAAGGATGCTGCTGGGGCTTAAAGTGAGCTGGGCCCTTCCATGGGGCCTCCGAGGCAGCAAGGGGTGAGCAAGGCAACCCAAGTCTCTCAGGGAGGTGTGTGATAAGCCAGCTAGAACCCGAGACTGGATCCAGCATGTGCCCAGCACGCTACAAGGCAAGGGGGCAAGCTTCTAAAAAGAAGCTATTTTAATTTCAGCACACGTGGACATTTTTGTGATTTCAAAAAGCAAAATGTTGTTTTAAATTATGTATGGGTCCTACATTTTATACATGGGGCTCTTGGGTCATTTCAGCATCTGCAGCCTCTGAAGGACGAATATTTATAATTTTTAAGGCTGTTCAGGAAAAAACTAAAAAGAACGACAACCCCAAGACATAGCTGAAGGAAGTGCACAAAAACACTCAGAAGGAATGGTGGATTCTCAGTGGGATGGGTCTGTTTGGGTCTGTGTGCTGAAAAGCCATTTCGGTGACCTCACTGGAAGTGGAGGCTCAGCTCTCCCTACTCACAGGTGAGAGGGATCCCTCCCATTGCACGTGTGACTTCAGTGTTCTGGAACCTCCCTGACCCCTTCACCTCATGTCCTCAGGACTCTTCCTTTGGGTGGATAGAAGCTGGGTTGAATATTAGATTTGGTTGCTGTGTCAGAGGGGAGCACGGGGAGGGGGTGGGGGGTGCTGTGTTGAGTGCATCTGTAAGTGAGTGCGTTTTGGAGGAGGAATGCTAATGGCAGACATCCCAGCTCTTTGTAGCCCTGAACGCCACTACTCTCCCCGGCCCCCGCACACCTTGCGATATTCTACCATGGTCACTGATCTGAAGGACTCCAGATTCTAGCCTTAACTCTGCTTCCTGGGGGGGCTGTGCACCCTTGATTCAGTTCCTCTCCCACTCTGGCCTGTGTGTCTTCTTCTAGAATGGTTGAAAGTGCAAGAAGCCCTCAGGCAGGCTGACTAGGCGCCAGAAGGAGCTTAGAGTCCTGGGCCCTCAGAAAGTCTCTCTCCTAAGTGAGATCAGAGATCACAAATGAGACACACACGCTCCTTTCCTCCTTCACCCACCCACCTCCCCAAAAGCATCAATTTAGCAGACATTTGCTGGGTGCTCGTGACACATCAAGCTATGCACCCTGGGAGGAATGAAGATGTCAAACCATCCACCTGGGGCCCCTGGGTGGCAGTGACTTATTCTCACTCTCTTTCAGAGGTGGCTGATGCCTGGCAGAATTTGGGGCTTTGAGGTTTCATGGAGATTGAGAAACCAAGTGTGTTAGGGGGTGAGGGGGCAGGAGAGGGGCTGGCTGAACCCACAGGCCTCCCATATATGCCCTCCCCCCAGGGTGCCACTGTGTCCCTCTGGGAGACGGTGCAGAAATGGCGAGAATACCGACGCCAGTGCCAGCGCTCCCTGACTGAGGATCCACCTCCTGCCACAGGTGAGTCCATGTAGGCTCCCCACCTTTAGTGCTCCCCACCCAACCAACTTCTGGAGGACTTTGATGAACTCAATGTCCATGGCTGGGAGCCATTTGCCTCTATAGGATGCCACCCCTGCCCTCTGCCTTCATCTCATTGTCCAAGCTACTCCTTCACCTGGATACCTTCCTTTCTGCCGACCAAAATCTTCCTTTTCTTCAAAGTCCGCGGAAGCACTGCCTCCTCCAGAAAATCTTCCCCAGGACTTCTGCCATCATTTGGCCCTTACTCGTTTGCTGTAGTCTGCTTTGGGGTTGCTGTCTTATTTCTGTCTTAGCTGTCTTATCTGTGTGTCCTTCCCTGCACCGCCGGCCAGCCCCCCAGCTAGAGCCTCTCAGAGCAGGCACCCGGCCTTTCCATTTTTGTCCTCAGCACCTCCCAGCCTGTGCATGGACTGAGGGCTCCACAAACATATTTATAGGAATAAATGTTTCAGGGAGTTCACAAGGTGGTTTAAAGAGCACGGGATTGGAGCCCGCTGGGCCTAGGTTGAAATCCTGACTGTAATTATAACACGTGACCTAAAGAAGGTTATCTTAAGTGAGATCAGAAGGAAGGTAAGCTAACATTTCCCTCTAATCTGTGAAGTGCAATTTAAGAATAGGCCCATAGGGATTTTTCATTGAGCACGTACTATGTTCCATTATCTATGTAGCATATAGTCTTGATCCCACAAAACCCTATGGGGCTGGAAATACTCCTGTTTTACAGATCAGGAAACAGACATTAAGTTACTTGCTCAAGGTCCTGCCACTGATAAGTGGCAAGTGCCCCTGCTTGGCTCTTGCTGGGTGGGGAAAGTGCTTGGCATACAGTAAGCATTCAGCAGAGGTTAGTGGCATGCAGCCTCCGAGGAGGGGAGGGGTCTTGGGGAAGGGAGGGAAAGGGCCATGGCCAGTCACAAGCAGGGACTCAGAGACTGTTCTTTCTGCTCCCAGACTTGTTCTGCAACCGGACCTTCGATGAATACGCCTGCTGGCCAGATGGGGAGCCAGGCTCGTTCGTGAATGTCAGCTGCCCCTGGTACCTGCCCTGGGCCAGCAGTGGTGAGCCCCCTCCCCGACCTGGTACCTGCCCTGGGCCAGCAGTGGTGAACCCCCTCCCCGACCTGGTATCTGCCCTGGGCCAGCAGTGGTGAGCCCCCTCCCCGACCTGATACCTGCCCTGGGCCAGCAGTGGTGAGCCCCCTCCCTGACCTGGTACCTGCCCTGGGCCAGCAGTGGTGAGCCCCCTCCCTAACCTGGTACCTGCCGTGGGTCAGCAGTGGTGAGCCCCCTCCCTAACCTGGTACCTGCCGTGGGTCAGCAGTGGTGAGCCCCCTCCCTGACCTGGTACCTGCCCTGGGTCAGCAGTGGTGAGCTCCCTCCCCCACCGTCCCCTGTATCGAGGAGGCTGAGGTCAAGGCGCTGCTTCCTTTCCTCTGAGACACAGCCCTCCCCACCCAGAATGTCTTTAGGCCTCCTAGTGAGTGGTCCGCCTGCCTTTCCTGGGGTGAGGGGAGCAGTCAGTAGTGATAAGTTTCATGATGGCCTGAGGTACCACCTGGGTCTGGGCGTGAGGCCAGTGCTGGCCAGTGTGTGGGGAAGGGAAAGTAAGTGTCTGAAGAGAAATGCGACCCCTTCCAATTCAGTAGTCAGGAAAAGAGCTGGGTGGGGACAGACTCTTGCGGGGAGGGAAGCTACCCAGGGTGTCTGCTGTGTGTATACATGTATGTATGATATGTGTATGCAGGTGGCCCATACCTGGCAGTGACATTTAGCTACTTCCTCACTCTTTAGAGGTTCACTGGGAGAAGTGATCAGGGCATTGGTGGGGTGACGAACCCCACCAGACTCAGCCCTCCTCAGCTCACTCCTGCCTGCAAGGGGGACCTTGTACTGGGGAAGATGTGACTGGGTAGGTGGGAAGGTCATTTCATTGGGGGTACAGAGATTTGCAGAGGCTGCAAGAGGATCCCTGACTGGAGGGTTAGTTAATGTGCCCCGCTATCTATCCCAGCCTCCCTTGCTGAGCCCAGTTTCACCCAGGCACCGTGGAGGATAACAGGAGACAAGCACCCTCATGGCAAGGAGCTCCCAGTCTCCATAAGGGGAGAAAAGATATTTCCCTATCATCATCATCATCATCATCATCATCACCATCACCATCATCATCGTCATCATAGCCAGCATTTATTGAGTACCTACTGTGTGCCAAGTCCTGCCCTAAAAGCAGGGCTTTATAACTACCCTGTGGTTATACCTGCTGTACAGATGAGGAAACTGAAGCACAAAAAGTTTAAGTCACTTGTTCCAAATGATGTGGTCAATGGCAGAGCCAGGATTTGAATCCAATTCGTGCTCCTATCATCACACCTTGAAGGGGCTGGAGCCCAAGCAGCAACTGGCCCAGAAACAAGTGCGGGCATGAGGTTATGCTCTGGGGAAGCCAGGTGTCTTCCTGGAGGAGGTGGCCTGGTGGGGCCCAATGTAAGCTTCACCTTGGCACGTGGGACTGAAGTCAGATGAGGCCCAGGCTGGTCTCCTAAAAGTACTGTCTCCTTGTCCACACTCACAGTACACTCACCTCTCCCCAAGGAGCAGGGAGAGCCTGGGCCTAGAAGGAGGCAGGAGCCTGGGCCCATCAGTGGCCTGCCTTCTCCAATACTGCCTGTTGGAAGCACTTTCCGTGCTACACTCTTTTCATCCTCACAACCCTCTGAGGCAAGTACTCTGATTACCCTCCCATTTTCAGATGGGGAAACTAAGGCACAGAGGTGCTCAGTGACTTTTGCAAGCTCACACAGCCATTAGTGGGCGACCCAGAAGCTTGGTTTAGAGTCAGTGTGGCTAATTGCTACACCAAAGTCTTCCTTGGGGGTGTGTGTGTGTGCCCTTGCATGTGGCTCTGGCCTGGAGACAGGTGAGTGATCTGGATGCCCTCTGCTGTCTGGGCACACCTCTAGGGACAGGGGTGAGCTGTCTGCCCTCTCCTATGAACTCTGCAATCTGGTGGTTCTGCTGACTAGCCGTGTAAGCAGGAGCAAGTTGCCAGACCTCTCTGTGCCTTGGTTGACTCATCTGGGAGATGGTATAGAGCCAAGTGACATGGGTGTCGGGAGGACCACAGGGCCTTGAGAAATGGTAGCTGTTAATTTTTCCCACCTCCCTACATACCTCCCTGACTTCCTGCAATACACACACTTTCTCTGCCTCCCATAGATTTGAGACTGGCAGCTTGGCCAGCGTCTGCTGGGCCTCTAGACCCCAGGGAGCCAGGCGTAGGACAGGGCCCATCACTCAGCACTAAGCCACCCCCAGCTCTGCCTGCCGCTTGCAGCTCCATCCATCACCTTTAATTTTATTTGAGCAGGAAATAGGTCCTGGTGGTGCCCGTTTATGAGCAAACATGGTTTTATTGCTTTCTCCATGAAGATAACGGCCACTGCACAGGCCCCCTGCCAGCCTTTCCCCAACCCCGTCCCCCTGCCACTCACCAGGCTAATTTACTCCCTTTTTTGACACTTGGAATCACCGACTCTGCTGCCCTCTCCTCACTCCCTGAGTTACGGATGCTCAGAGACAACTACCACAGGCTCAAGCTGCGTAATTGCTGCCTCTGGCCTGTCCTGGAGCTTTCCTTGGCAAAGGTTGGCAGCGGAGGCTTCCCTGACCCCCACCCAGGTGTGTGGGAGCAGTTCTGAAGAAGGGGACAGTTCTGGAGCTTTCTTGGGCTGATCAAGCGAGTAGCCTGTGGAGAAACGTCACAGTGTGCCCTGGTGTCAAGGAGAAGGAAGGGAGTTATCTCAGGCAGGGTCCTGGCAGAAAACATGCTCAGTTGGCAATTTGGAGAGAATTTAATGTTGGGGAGGGGTCATTTTCAGAGGCTGGCAAGGTAAAGGGACCAATGAGGCATATAAAGCACCAGGGACTACAACAATGGAAAGCTTGAGCACCCCTAGACCTGAGAAGGAAGGGACAAGAATGGGGCTGGGGGGTCCCCATGACAGCTGGGCTACAATGGAGAAGCCACCCAGCAGGGCTGTGGCCACAGAGGGGACAAAGTCACAGGCAGACTTCAAATCAAGGCAGGGAGGGAGCAGGGGAGAACACCCAGCCTCTCTCTCCCTCTGCCCTTCCATCTTCTGCCAATGCCTCCCACTGGCCCAACCCAACAGAGGCCAGGGAAGCCGAGGGGTGCTGTCCCATGGCTCAGGCTTCTAGAGTTCAGAATGGAGCAGAGGAGTGGTGATCTGAGAAACAGCAAAAGTCAAAACAATCACCAGACCCCTGAGCTGGGTTGTGTTAGGAGCTAGGGATGCCACTGAGACCTTAGAGGTGTGTGAGTGTGTGCATTGGGGAGAAGGGGTAACCCCCCTCCATGGAGCTGAAGGTCGGCTCAGCAGCCCAGGCAGTGGTACTGAGGGAGGCCAGAGCCACCCCTTCTGCCAGGAGTGTGGCGGCATTAGGAAGGCTTCCAGGGACAGGTGACACTGGGGCCAGACGTGAAAGAACAGGCAGATGCAGAAGGGAAAAGGAAGCTCCTCCAAGGAATGAGGGTTCCAGGCAGCACCCTGGACATGGGGCCAGGCCACGGGCCTCGGAACTACGCAGTGTCCTGGAGAAGCCAGCCAAGCCCTTGAATTCTGACCCCTCTAATTGAGAACTTGGGTCTCAGGATTGTGCAGAGAGAGCAGGAGCAGATGAGTCAAAGACAGAAGATATTCAAAGGAAATGGCTGGTACAAACGAGACTGGGAGGAGAAGGCTGAAGTGGCTTCAGAGAGCCTGTTGGCCGCCCGAGGGCCCTTCAGCAGCCTCGTTTACCCACAAACAGCTGATCTGCTTGTTACAAATCATTCCAGCCTCATTAGCTACACCTCCTCCTGATCCCTACCTGTTTGTTAGCTTAGTTCTAATTATATGAGAGTCATAAAATGCTTTAAAAATAACCTATAACTCACAGTTCTTGGAAACTCTGGCGGGTGCCTCCCCTGAGTAATGTGGAGCCTGGGGGTTTTTACGACAGCCTGGGGTTGCCAAGGGGAAACTGAGGCCCAAGCTTGTCCCCAGAGGAGTTCTGGCTGAAGTGGTGTCACAAGCTCCATCTCCAGCCTCAGTGAAGGAGTGCCCCTTCAAGAAACCGGCATGGGGGAGGATGTTTCAAAGGTCTACTATGTACCGGGCACTTCACATGCTTTATCTTCTGGGAAGTCATTATGCTTCCCATTTTACAGATAAGGAAACTGAGGCCTGAGGATGTGAAGGGACATGCTCAACATCCCACAGCTGGTTGAAGGCAGAACCAGGATTTGAACTTGAGTCTGTGTTGTTCAGAACCTGAGCTCCTTCTCCTAAGCCCTGATGCTCTACAGTACCCTTCACCCTGGCCTTGAGCTGATGCCTTCATTTCGAGCCTGGCCTTTGACCCTCACCTCACTCCCTTGGGGAGGCCCTGTGCCTGGCCTCTCTGAGTCTCAGCTTCTGCATCTGTAAAATGGGGGCCCAGTAGTCCTTGCTGGCCACCTCGTTGCCAGGGTGCAGGAGCTAATGGATTCATGAGCAGCTCTCCACAGCCCTGAGTGCCAGCATCCACGTGGAAGGGCGGCTGTTAGCTTGATTACAGGCGCCGCAGCAGCTTCCGGGAGGGGAAGTGTTTAATTGGGGGTTTTATTTCCAGCAGCAGGGTCTGGCTTAATGAAATATCCCTGGGCCTCCTGGCATGTGGCTGCCCTGCTGCCTCCCTGTGTTGACAAGCCTTGAGCCAAATCCCTGGCTGTGATTTACCAGCTCCTCCCAAGTCAGATAAAGCTGGGTTGATAAGTAGGGCTATGCCCTGACCCACCCCACCTCCAGCCAAGGTGGGCATCTGGGGATCATGGGCCCAGCCAGGAACCAGCCTGGCTTTTAATATTTGATGTTAATGAAGGGTAATTGACAGATGCACTTGCACAGGCTCACTGAGCGAGGGACACAGTGATCCTTTGACTCTGTGCTAGTAATGCACACATCTGTGCACACACCACCTCCCCACCCTCCCAACTGGCTCTGAACAGAGGGAGCAGGAATGGTGCAGCGGCCGGGGGTCCACACTGGCAAGGGGGCCTGCTGGGAGGAGACTGAATGTTGAGAAATCTGAGCCCAGAGGAAGGGCAGAGGAGAATGGCACATGCCACATTCTTTCCTATTAACAGCAAGTTTGGCTGCTAACTTGGGACCTCCGGAGGCAAAGAGCTGGCGGATTTTAGTCTTGACTCTGCTACTTTCTAGTTGATGATCTTAGGCAAGTTGTTTGGCTTCTCAGAGGCTCAGTTTCTTCATATGTACAATGGGACTAACTGTTCCTACCTTGAAAGGTGGTTCTAATGTCCAAAGGTGTCAGGTGTACAGTAGGTGTTCAAAAACTGATTCTGTGAAGGCACAGCCTATGGAAAGAGCAAGTAAGGAGCATGTTGTGAAGGAATCTGCAACAAGGCAGTGCCTACTGTATGCCAGGCCCTGTGCCAGCTGTGGGAAGTGCATCTTACTAGCATCACACGGTTGCAGGCTGAGTCCTGGGTATGCGGGTCTTTAGATGGTTTGTGTGCCTGTGGTTCCATGGCTGTGTCTTCTTTTCTCTGGTCCCTCAACCTTCTTCCTTTCTCCCCATTTCCTCCCATCAAAGCAGGCTGCTAGTGCAGGCTCTGACACCATCTCATTCCGCATGGAGTCAGCTCAGGTCCCCATCACTGCTTTTGGGGGTATCTACAGGAAAACACTGATTTTGCCTCACGTCAGAAGACTTGGCCCCAGTGAAGAATCTCAGGCATCCATGCAGCAGATAAGAGAGGCATTTGTGGGCTTGAGAGGGGCCCTTCGCGTTGCTAAAATCAGACCACGTGCCTCCCCTTCTCTGCCGTTGGGGGTACACCTGATTTTGTTCATAAATGCGTTCGAAGGGTATTGGAACACCATCGTTCCCACTGCTGTCAGTTTCACCATTAGATTTTCAGGTTTTTGTTTTTCTCCCAGGTGAAGTATCTTTTAAAATGCAGGTTCTTCCAGAAGGAGTCATGCTGCAAGCTGACTTGCCCCACTGTGTTACCAGATAATTTCTGTGTCTTGAAGGGGGACCTGGTTCAGGGTTTGTTTGGGAAAGGAGCTGGGAAGGAGGAGAAGAAAGAGCAGGGAGGCTGTCCTGGTGTCTGGGATCAGGGTTAGGGGAGGGCAAGGTCCATTGGCAGGCCTTGCTGACAGTGCTGGAAGAGGCTGTCACCAGACTCTGCAGTAAAGTTGTCCCTGCCACATTTTTTGCTAGGGTGAAAAATAGAACTCCCAGACTAGATGGTTGCCCCTGTCCTGCACCCCTGAGGGTCAGGCCCTGGGGCTGCCACAGTCCCCATCGTGTACACACACACACACACACACAGACACATAACACACACACACACACACACACACACACACACACACCCCACATTAATGAAGCCTCTTCTCAGGAGACTCAGTTCTTTTTTTTTTTTTTTTTTTGAGGCAGAGTCTCACTCTGTCGCCTAGGCTGGAGTAGTTAGTGGCTTGATCTTAACTCACTACAACCTCCTCCTCCCAAGTTCAAGTGATTTTCGTGCCTCAGCTTCCTGAGTAGCTGGGACTACAGGCGCACGCCACCATGCCTGGCTAATTTTTTGTATTTTTAGTAGAGATGGGGTTTCACCATGTTGCCCAGGCTGGTCTCGAACTCTTGAGCTCAGGCAATCCACCTGCCTCGGCCTCCCAGAGTGCTAGGATTACAGGCATGAGCCACCACACCCAGCCGAGACCCAGTTCTGACTGCTGTCTCTCCACATGAACACTGAGCAGCCACTGCCCCCAGTGGGCCTCTGGTGCCTTCTCCATTCTCTGGCCTTCACTCCCTCCTTCCTCCCACAGCTGGGAAAACTGGTCTTTAAAATCTTCTAGTCTTTTAGAATGTTGAACTCTTTTAAAGTTTGTCCTGGCTGCAGCTTCTCTCCTTGGTCCCCCTGTTCTTCCTACAGGTCAATATCCCCCCACCCTCTCATTGTGCCCTTTTGTCCCAAGTTCATTGGCCCTGGTGTCAAACTTAAGTTCCCCTACAGAGAGGCCAGGAATGAACCATTTCCTCCTGGACACAAGTAAGCAGTGGCCTCTATCAGCCTCACATCAAACCTGAGGCCACAGGCCAGCCATCTCCCTGGTAGGTGGACATGGGGCATGGTGGGGGACAGCCTCTGCTGGGATGTGAATGGGCACAGGCAATGCCCCGCCTTGCCTCTGCAGGGCCTGTGTTTGATCTCTGTTAGTTTCCATCTATGCTCTTCCTTTCTCAGGTCTTTTTTGTTTTTTCTGTGTGAGTCTTGATTCTCTGAAGACAGGGACGGTGCCACCATCCTCAGACAGGGGAGCTCCCTGAGGACGGGGGCTGGATCCCTTTCCTCTCTCCAAGGGCTATCTCCATTTCCAACCTATAATTAGAGTCTATGTGAAGGTAGGAGCTGGGTATTCCCTTTTTCTATGGGGGATCTCCAAAGGCCAAGGCTGCATACGACCAAGAGGCCGTGTACTCCTTTTAGACCAGGGGGTCCTTGCAGGTAGGTCTGTGTCTCCTCCATCAGATTAGAACTTCTTATGGGCAGGGCTGTGTCTCTCTCTCTCTCAGATCAGTGCTCTGTCTTCCTTCCCTTCTCTTGGGAACTCAGTGCCAACCTTGTTCCCAGGGTCTGCTCTCCCCAAGGAGTGTGGGAGGGAGGTGGGCACTGAGTCCTAAAAATCAGAAATAGCGAGTGACTGCGGGGCAGGCACGGCTGCTGCTGGTCGGTGCCAGACCTTGTCAGTAGTGTGATTTGAGGCTGGAGGCAGGGACATGGAACTGAGCTAAACTCCTGTCATCTCAAAGGCATGAATTCATTAAACTGTGTCCTAGGGTTGCCGAGAGGCAGGGCTGAGGGTGGAGCTGAGGAGCCCCTGCCTTGGTGGCCCCCTGTCTTGTCCCTGGACCAACAGCGTATATGTCAGGGGAGGAAGGTCCAGGTGTGTGTGTGTGTGTTTGTGTGTAAAGAAGGGAAAAGGATGTCACTAACTCAGAGTAGTCCATTCTGGGGGAGCAGGGATAGCCCTCAGAATGGGGAGGAAGGGGAGCATCTAGCACTGGGCAGGCTGCCCTATTCTGGGCTGAGGCTCAGGGCCAGGTCTCCCCACCCCAGTGCCGCAGGGCCACGTGTACCGGTTCTGCACAGCTGAAGGCCTCTGGCTGCAGAAGGACAACTCCAGCCTGCCCTGGAGGGACTTGTCGGAGTGCGAGGAGTCCAAGCGAGGGGAAAGAGTGAGTTGAGGCGGGGTTCTGAGCCAGGGAGCGGGGAGCCATGTCTTGGAGCACTTCACTGGAGCAAAGACCCTTGGCTTTGATGGGGGCATCTGTGGTCATTTCATCCATCTCCTTGCCTCTGGGGGCTTTGCACACCATGCTTTCTGGACAAAGGTGGTGTGTATTCACCTCTCTGGCCTTGGAACAGGGCCCAAGATATCCAAGAACCATCGCCGTAGGTTACGGTTATTCTCTTTCTTGGTCTTGGTATCCCCGGTGAGTCCTGACTTGGGGCCCCAGCTCTGTCTCTGTGCCATGGGAAGGAAGATTGTGGGAAGAGGGCCATGGGCTGCCCATGTACACGTATGTCCCCCGTGTGCCACAGAGCTCCCCGGAGGAGCAGCTCCTGTTCCTCTACATCATCTACACGGTGGGCTACGCACTCTCCTTCTCTGCTCTGGTTATCGCCTCTGCGATCCTCCTCGGCTTCAGGTAAGGTGGCCCGGACCCTGGGAGGGGGCTGCTTCATCCTAACTCCCCCAGATAGAGGAATGAAGCAGCCCAACACCAAATCAAAGCAACAGTGCAGCACATTCGTCCTTCTCTCAAGAGCTCTCTACAGAGCCCTGACCGTAGAATATGAGGTTGAAAACACAGGATGTGATACTGTGTTCTTGGTCTAGTCTCCACGGTGTAAAAGTGTGCGTATGTACTGCAAAAAAGAACAAAAATACCACGCAAGCACCACCAACCTCAAAACCTTAACCGTCGGTGATGGGATTACGGAAAATCCCAGGAGATCTTCTCCAATGAACATGTGTAACTTTAATAATCAAGAATTCAGTATGATTTTAGAAAAGATCTTGGGGATTAGAGATCTTCCTCCCTTTGGAGCTTTTCAGCCCCAGTGGAAAAGTTCCTCCTTAGATCTAACCTAGATGAGACGTTCCTTCCAAACTAGGAGCTGGGAACAGAGTACCAGGTTCTTCCCACTCCTCTGCACTTGGAGAAGGGGGGCCAGGGGGACTGGGTTCAAAGAGGGAAGGGATTCTGAGAGAATGAGACCTCAGGACACCAGGCAGCAAGAGCAGGAGAGGTGGCATTCCCTCTCCTACCTTCAAAGCACCTGGCACAGTCCTGGGCACACGGTGCTCAATAAATGCATTCACTCAATGAATATTCTCCTCTTTTATTATGAATTATTCCAGTGATTCAAAAATGCAATGACTGATACTATGATCACTCATGCACACACCATCCAGCCTAAGAAATAACATGTCCCATAGTTACACTTCTCTGGGTAACCCTCTCTGATCCCATCCCTCTCCCTGCCCTACACCCATCAGAGGTAAGCCCTGAATGTGCCTCTTTTAATTCCGACACATTTCCTTGTACTTTTACCACATTTGTGAGTAGCTATAGAAATATATAGCAAGGTTCTGTGTATTTTTAATAGTGTATTGAACATATTTGTCTTAGTCTTTTCCTGCTGCTATAGCAAAATACCTTAGACTGGGTAATTTCTAAATAACAGAAATATATTCCTCACAATTCTGAAGGCTGTGAAGTCCAAGATCAAGGCACCAGCAGATTCCATGTCTAGTAAGTTCTTGTCCTCTCTTTCCAAGATGGCACCTTCTCACTGTGTCCTCACATGGCAGAGGGGCAAATGGGTGAAAAGCTCTCACAAACACCCTCAGGTCTCTTATAAGGTACTAATCCCATTCGTGAGGGCAGAGCCTTCATCAACCTTATCACCTAAAGGCTTCACCTTTTCATACTATTGCCTTGGGGACTAAGTTTCAACATGAATTTTGGAGTGACACAACATTCAAACCATAGCATTCTGCCCCTGGCCCCCCCAAATTCCTGTCCTCCTCACATACAAAATACATTCATTTAATCCCAATGGCTCCAAAGTCTTAATTCATCCCAGCATTAACTTTAAAGTCTAAGTCCAAAGTCTCATCTAAATATTATTTAAATCAGGTATGTGTGAGACTCAAGGGATGATTCCTCCTGAAGGAAATTTCTCTCTAGCTGTGAACTTATGAAATCACTGAAGTTATGTGCTTCCAAAATGAAATGTTGTGGCAGGCATTCTCATTTCATAGGACAGACATTCCCATTTCAAAAGGGAGCAATAGGTCTGCATGTGGTGGCTCATGCCTATAATCCTAGCTAATTGAGAGGCGAAAGTGGGAAGCCTGCTTGAGGCCAGAGATTGGAGACCAGCCTGACCGATGTAAGAGACCATTAAATAAATACAATTGTTTATTTTTTTATCTGGAAAAAAATAAAGAATTAAAATTCAAATAAAAAAAGAGAGAAATAGGAAGGAAGAAAGGGGTAACTGGTCCCAAGTAAATCCAGACTTAATGGGACAAACAACATTAAATCTTAAAGCTTGAGAATAATCTTCTTTGACTCAGTGTCCTGCCTTCCTGATATGGAGGTGGGAGTTGGGTCCCCAAGTCTCCCCGAAGCCCCACTCGCACAGCTTTGCTGGGTTCAGCTCATGTGGCAGCTCTCACAGGCTGGAGTTGTGTGCTGGTGGCTCTACCAGTCTGGGGTCTTGGAGGAGAATCTTGCCCCCCATGACTCTGCTAGTCATTGCCCTAGTCAGGACTCTCTGTAGCGGCCCCACACCTGTGCCTTAACTACTATAGATTTATTAGAAACCTCCACTCTGCCTGGGCCCTGAGGCTCTCCAGGATATCCTTTGAAATCTAGGTCTTCCTGGATTTCAAAGAAGTAACTATGTTCCCTACAGCTCGTGCACTCTGTGTGTCTGTAGAGTTAGCACCACGTGAACACTGCCGAGGTTTACTGCTACGTCCTCCAGAGGGACGGCCTGAGTTATACCTGGGCCCACTTGAGCCGCAGCTAGGGTAG
Source organism: Homo sapiens (assembly GCF_000001405.40). NCBI lineage: Eukaryota > Metazoa > Chordata > Mammalia > Primates > Hominidae > Homo > Homo sapiens. The sequence continues at coordinate 39,068,707 of NC_000006.12, forward strand.
CCAAGGAGCACTGCACCCAAGTGTAGGGAGCAGAGACAGGAGGTGGCCCTGGGCAGTGACTTCCAATGCCTCACAGTGTCCTGGGCTCCTCCCCCAGAACTGTTCTGCTCTCAAGACCCTGACATCTGGACCTGAAAGATCTCTGAAGTGCATTCAGGGTCATTCTTCCATTTTCTACCCATACTAATTTTATTAAATGTTCACTTGGCCACACCCTTGGTATTGTCTCCTGAACATGCTTTTGCATTCTTTACAATATGGTCAGACTGAAAATTTTCCAAATCTTTAAGTTCTCCTTCTCTTTTGATTATAAATTTCATCTTTCATTTCTCTCTTCTCATATTTTGCTATAAGCAGTCAAGGGCAGCCATGCTGTACCCTCAATACTTTGCTTAGAGATTTCTTCCACCAAATATTCTATTTCATTGCTCATAAGTCTTTGCTCCCATGAAACACTTGGACATAGACACAATTCAGCCAAGTTATTTGCCACTTTGTAACAAAAAGATGGCATTTCCTCTGGTCTCCAATGCCATGCTCCTCATTTCTATCTCAGACCTCATCAGAATGGCCTTTACTGTTCATATTTCTACCATTATTATGTTCACAACCACTTAGATAATCTCTGTGAAGATTGAAATTTTTGGCCGGGCGCAGTGGCTCACGCCTGTAATCCCAGCACTTTGGGAGGCCGAGGCAGGTGGATCATGCGGTCAGGAGATCGAGACCATCCTGGCTAGCATGGTGAAACCCCGTCTCTACTAAAAATACAAAAAATTAGCTGGGTGCGGTGGCGGGCGCCTGTAGTCCCAGCTACTCGGGAGGCTGAGGCAGGAGAATGGCGTGAACCTGGGAGGCGGAGTGAGCAGAGCAGTGAGCAGAGATCGTGCCACTGCACTCCAGCCTGGGCGACAGAGTGAGACTCTGTCTCAAAAAAAAAAAAAAAGACTGAAATTTTCTACATAGCTCTCATCTTCTTCTGAGCTCTCACCAGAATCACCTTGTATGGCCCATTTGTGGAAATATAGACTTTTTTCTATCCCACCACCCAGTTCCCAAGCTACTGCTACATTTTTAGGTATTTGTTACATGACTCCCCACTCTCGGTACCAATTTCTATCTTAGTCTGTGCCTGCTGTTATAACAAAATACCTTAGACTGGGTAATTTTTGAAAAATAGAAATTTATTTCTCATAATTTAGAGGGTGGGAAGCCCAAGATCAAGGCACCAGTGGGTTTGATGTCTAGTAAGGGCTTGCTCTCTGCTTCTGAGATGGTGTCTTCTCACTGTGTCCTCACATGATGGGGAAGGAGTGAACACTATGCCCTCACATCACAGAAGGCAAAAGGGCAAAAAGGGCTCACAAACTCACTTAGGCCTCTTTTATAAGGACGCTAATCCCATTCTTGAGAGCAGAGCCCTCATGATCTAATCATCTTCTGGAGGCTTCACCTCTTAATACTATCATTGCATTAAGGATTAAGTTTTATCATGAATTTTGGAGGAACACAACATTCAAATCATAGAAATATTTTTCTGTAATTTTTTGGTCCAACATTATGTTTGTGTGAGATTCATTCACATTGACACGAGCAGTCCTGTTTTGTGGATTTTTAACCACCATTCCATATTCCGTTGTATAATACAGCACAGTTTATCTGTCAACCTTTTAATGGACATTTGAGTTGTTCTCTTTTTTTCTTTCTGAATTACAAATGTTGGGTGCAATGTACATTCTTACTTGTGCATTTCTCTGGGGCATATAACTAGGAGTAGAATTGCCAGGTCTGACTACCACCTGCTTTCGCAATTTTACTATGTTAAGTTGTTCTTCACAGTGGTCACACCAGTTTACCCTCTCATCAGTAATAAAAGAGAGCTTCCTTTGTCTAGCCTTCTCACCAATATTTAGTGTCTTCAGACTTAATTGTTGCTAACCTGAAGTATGTGAAATTGCCTTATGATTTTAATTTGCATATTCCAGATTCCCAAAGAGATCAAGCATTTTTTTTCATGATTTTTTCTGTGAGTTGCTTTTTCATATCCTTTGCTTACTTTTTCATTGGCTTATTTGGGTTTTTCTTTTCTATTTTACATATTCATTATATATTCTGGATACTTATCCAGGATTTACCCTCTCTTTAGTCTGTGGCTTATTTTTTCACTCATTTTATGGTTTTTTATGCACAGAAGTTCTTCATTTTAATGGAATAAAGTTTATCAATTTAGTATTGATAAATAAAATTTATCAATAAAGATTAAGCAGTTGATAACAGTTAATTTTATTGATTGCTTTAAAATTATTCATTTTTTCCAAAGAACAAATTCTGGACAGTCTTATTAAGAAATCTTTCCTTGGCTGGGTGCGGTGGCTCACGCCAGTAATCCCAGCACTTTGGGAGGCTGAGGTGGGTGGATCACAAGGTCAGGAGATCGAGACCATCCTGGCTAACACAGTGGAACCCCATCTCTACTAAAAATACAAAAAATTAGGTGAGCATGGTGGCACCCGCCTGTAATCCCAGCTACTCAGGAGGCTGAGGCGGGAGAATCACTTGAACCCAGGAGGTGGAGGCTGCAGTGAGCCGAGATCACGTCACTGCACTCCAGCTTGGGCGACAGAGCAAGATTCCATCTCAAAAAAAAAAAAAAAAAAAAAAGAAAGAAAGAAAGAAAAAGAAATCTTTCCTTACCCTAGTGTCATAAAGATGGCCGTCTATATTTTCTGTAAGTTTCAGAGTTTTGCTCTTCCTTGTGGTTCTTTGATCTGCTTGGAATTCATATTGCGTATGATATAAATAAAGGATTTCATTTTTTTTTCTGTATGTGGAATTAGCTGCCTGAGTACCATTTATTGATAGCCTTTCCTTCCCCCTTGGTTTGCAATGACTGCCATTCCATGCAGCAAGGCTCCACGTATGTATGGGTTGGTTTCAGTCACCTACAGTTTTTTTCTGTTTATCTTTCCCTGTCCGGATACCATGGTGCCTTAGCTACTGTAGATTTACTAGAAATCATATAGCAAAATCTCCTCCTCTGTGATTCTTTAGGAGTGTCTGGAATATTCTTAGCCCTGGCTCTTCTTTATAAGTTTTTAAAGTTCTACTTTAAAAATAAGGTAGAATTTTTATGAATACGGAGAGACTTGACTCCTTTAAGGTAGCGAGTCTTTCTATCTGTGAATGTGATGTATCTATCTCCCACTAGTTTAAGTCTTCGCTAATGATTTTAAGCAAGATTTATAAAATTCTCCATCGAGATCTTACCTATCTTCTGTTAGACTCATTTCAAGCTAGTTAATTAAAAATATTGCAAAAGAATTATTTCTAAACATTTACTTTTAAATTTTTTTAACGCAGGCATATACAAACATACTTATCAGCAACCTTGCTAAACTGTCTTATTAGTTCTAATAATTTGTCCATAGATTTCTTGAATTTTCTATGAAGATAATCTACCATCTACAAATAATAACTATTTTGTTTACTTCTGATTCTTGTACATTTTTCCCTTGCCTTATTATAGTGGGCAGGATCTGTAGTTACAATGTTGACTAGAAGCAGTGATAACAGACATCCTTATTTTGTTCCTGATTTCAAAGGAAATGCTCCCACAGTTTCTCAGTTAAGATTGATATTTGCCCCTGGTTAGGTAAATAGCCTTCATTAGGTTAAGAAATGCCCCTGTACTTTCAATTTGCTACACATTTTCACATGAAAGGATATTAAAACTCTATCCAATAGTTTCTGAATTCCTACCAAGTGCCTAGTCCTGCTCTGCCTCTGTGAGGCATTTAGGATGTGGGCCCTGTCAACAAGAAGCAGTGTTCCCACTGGGGAAACTGATCCTCATGCATAAATCTCTTTGGTTATGCAAGACTTTGTGTCAAAGAAGATGCTGCAGAGAGAAGGATAGAATGTGGATGGGAGGAGGGGGCAGTGACTACATAGCGGAAGCCTTCATGGAGAGGCAGGATTTGAGTTGGACAGAAGGATTTTCACGATGATGAGGAAGAAGGGTATTCATAGAAGAAGACACACGCACAGTCCCAGGGCTGGAAACATGCCTAATGTGTGTGTTAGCTTGAGAGCCTGGGGTTGTAGAGCAGAACTGTTGGCTGCCTTGCCAGGGAAAGGCCCTGCTTTCTCCCTCAGACACCTGCACTGCACCAGGAACTACATCCACCTGAACCTGTTTGCATCCTTCATCCTGCGAGCATTGTCCGTCTTCATCAAGGACGCAGCCCTGAAGTGGATGTATAGCACAGCCGCCCAGCAGCACCAGTGGGATGGGCTCCTCTCCTACCAGGTGTGTGGTGCATCCAGGACCGCCTCAGGAGGGATGGGCGGTTGGAGGAGGCCTGCCTCTGCCACCCTAGACAGGCCTGGGACAGGAGAAGACAAGAGCCGAACAGTCCTGGCCCTTCGGGAGCCCCCAGTCTGATGGGAGAGGCAGTTCGCCTTGGGACCCTCCAGTCTGCTGAGAGAGGCAGTCTACCTTAGGGAGCTCCCAATCTAAGGGAGGAGACACTGCCCTAGGGAATTCTCAGTCTGACACAAAAGAGTAGTCTTTGGAGACACACTTGAGTTTGAATGTCAGCTCTGTCACTTACTATCTGTACACTTTTAGGCAAGTCACTTACTTCTCTGAGGCTGAGAAATAGGTGAGAAGTCACTTACTTCTCACCTGCAGGGGGATACATTACTTTCTTCCAATCAGGATAGTGAGGATTCAATGAGCTAAAGCAGATAAAGTCCTTAGCACTAGCCCTAGCCAGAGATGTGAGCTCTCTCCTCCTGCATTAACCATGGCAGGATAGTGGCTGGAGCAGGACGGGGAGTGGTATCAAGAGAGGCAGAGGGCAGAGCTGTTGTCCCCATGACACCCTTCCTCTACCCCCAGGACTCTCTGAGCTGCCGCCTGGTGTTTCTGCTCATGCAGTACTGTGTGGCGGCCAATTACTACTGGCTCTTGGTGGAGGGCGTGTACCTGTACACACTGCTGGCCTTCTCGGTCTTATCTGAGCAATGGATCTTCAGGCTCTACGTGAGCATAGGCTGGGGTAAGAACCGCCATCACCCACCCTGGACCTGTGGCACGGGGGTGGGAGACCTTGACCCCTCTTCTAACATGGTACTTGGAACGCACTGCTGAGCAAGGGGCAAGGCCCACTGGGTAACCCTCTTCCTGGGCACAGGACCTTCTGCCCCGGTGCTGTTAAGATGCCGTAGGGGGTTATGGTCCTCCCCTCCTCTGCATAACTCTCCTCCCTTAATGGAAGCCTCCACCGCATGTGGCCAAACACCACCCTCTACCACTATCATGCACACCACTGGAGGTCATGGCACTGTTCTCTTAAGACCACATGGGGACATAAGTTCACACCCAGTCCCGGGCAGCCCGAGGGCCTGAGGGAAATGGTGAGTCCTGGGCCTCAAGGTGGGGAGGGGATCAAGAGGGTAGGGGGCTGGCTGGGGGGAGCCTGCTGGTGCTCTGTCACATGACGATGAAGAGGAGGGCTCAGAGGAGAGCCAAGTACAGTGGGGCAGGGGGGCCAGAGGCCAGCCAAGGAAAGGGTGGACGGCGGATGTGCCTGGAGCCCAGCTGGAAATGTTCTAGCCAAAAAAGTTTGCCAAGAACCATTGTGTCTTTTTTTTTGCTGGAACATTTCTGGTTGTGCTTCTGCCTCTCACCACGTGGGATTGTAATGAGGGGCAGCATTGGGGTTGGGAAGGGGGCTGGGATCCCCTTCACCCCTGGGAAAACATGCAACAGGCCTTTCTGGAGGGACCCACGGTACCCAGAGAATAGGCCCTGCCCTCTGTCCTCCCTAATCTGCCATTGAATCCATGAGTTTTCCTGTTCCACACCATCCCCCGCCCTGCTTGCCACTCCTTCATTCACTCCTCCTTCCTTCATGCGCCCACCTCACGCTGCTCTGACCACGGCTGCCCCTGCCACGGACCTCCGGGGACTTTCCAGCTCAGTCACATCCAGACTCCTCTTCCCTGACAATGGTCCTGTCCCTGAGCCTTTGCAAGGCTGTTCTCCATGCAGGAATGTTCAGGGAGCATCCTTCCCACACCAGGGTGTCCGCTGCCTCTTCAGGAAGCTGCCTCAGGCCACCAGTCCTCGTGGTTCTGTGCTCTCTGCCCTCTCAAGCTCTCCATCCCCTGTCCTTGCACTTCATTTATTTTTACTGGTGTTCCTCAGCCATTTTTCTCTATACAGCTCCCCCCACCCCCCAGGAGAAGAGTAGCCTGAGAGATTTTAATGTGACCAGTGTCTTGAGGACACCAAGGCCCAGAGCTGGCAGGGCCTTACAGGCAGAGCAGGCCCTGGAACCCAGGCCTCCTGACTCCCAGGCTCTGGGCCTGCGGCCATCATGCCCTGTTCTCTTGCCTGGGCTGCATCCCTTCAGTCCCCTGCAGCACCCCTGAGCAGGCTCAGGCCTCTGCACAGGTGGGCAGGTAGGCCTGGCTCCTGCTCACAGATCCCTGCTCCTCACCTGCCTCCTCCACTCCCAGAACCCAGTCCCTTCCTTGGCCTTTTCTCCCCGAGGCTTCTTCCTCCTGCTAGAGCAGGAGGAGGGAGGCCATCGAGGGCAGCTCAGGGAAGGCTGTCTTCAGGGTGGGGGACGGTGTCTGTCCATTCTAGGAAATAGCATCAGCGCTGTTAGTGCCTGTCACCATGGCGACCCGAGGGCAGGAACAATCAAGGGACGTGTGTGATGTGTGCAGAGGAGCGGGGGTGGCTGGAGTTTGGTGGGGACACACTGCCCTAGAGGTCTCTGAGTGGGAGATGGGGGAGGGAGTGCCAAGTCCTTTTCCTACCACCTCACACCCTAGCTCAGGGCTCGGGGTCTGTGGGAGCACAAGGGCAAGACCCGGAGGACACCCTGCTCTAATCAGAACACCTTTTTCTTGAGGATTGGGGTGGGGGAGACGGAGAGAGATTCACAGGTTGCTAGGAGCTCAGACGTGATGCCAGGAGGCCTTGCCCAAGCTGGGATACTTGGGAAACAACTTTCAGCTTCATGTGCAAGTGGAAGAATTAAAATTAGGACTCTGACACAGTTGGAGAGGTCCCCCAAAGGGCATGGCAGCTTCTGCTGCAGTCCCCAGGCAGTTGGGGGCCTGTAGAAACCCACATGGAGGCTGTGCAAGAGGGAGGCAAATGATGGTTGAGGGAATCATTACTTCCTGGAGCCAGTTGTGTGTGTCTTAATTTGAGCTTTTTTCTCCAACCTGTCTTGCTCGTTTTCTAAATGGGAGAAAGATGAAGCCAGCAGGGAGTGCGTAATGTTTGCATGCAGCAGGGCTTTCGTGACTGTGTTTTTTGAAAAGGCCTTGTTAAGGAAATGCTGACGATGAGTGAAACTTGCCAGGTCTGGCTGATAACATGGGTGAGTGCCCTGATCCTGGAAGGAGGTCTCAGAGAGAAGGGACAGCAGGGGGCGAGGGATACCCAGAAGGAAGCTTCTGCATGTGTACGTGGTTCAGGAAATCGGCATGCTCTTGCCCAGACAATGTTCCTTCCCTTATTGGTGTGTTGACTCACCCATCATTCGTTCCATTCTCACTGGGCATCTTCTATGTGGCAGGGCCTGTACCATGTGCTGGGGCCTTTGGAGACCATCCCATTCCTTGTCCAGTCTCATAAAGGCCTGTTACTAAAGCACCGTAGATGCTGAGAGGTCCGATTTGTGTAGAAATCAATGGGCCAGGAGAGAGAGAGCTGATGAAGAATGCTGGTCCGCTGGGGGCTCCTTTGCCTCCTCCATCTCTCCCTGCATCATCAGGCACAGTAGATCTGGGCACACAACCTGCTTAGTAGCTGCTGTTGAGTGGACACTGATGTGCTAAAGACATAGACAATGGTGACAGGAAAGGCTATGAAGTGGTTCTGTCCTGGAAATGTGCTCCAGGCAGAGATTCCCAAAGTCATACGTGCACACTCATGGTCCACCCACCACACCCTCACACACACATGTCTACATACCTTAATATGCACATGCTTACCTATCTCAGACACATCTCCAACACTGAGGGAGGGGCCAACGGAGACGAGCATGGAGACAGCCAGTGCAGAAGGCCATTGAGGGCGGTGGGAGTGGGTATGGGATTGCAGCCCTGAATTCGAGCCCCACCTGTGCCCTTCTGAGTCCCTGATCCATCTCCTCATATGTCATGTGAGGAAGGAAAATCCAATTTTAAATCAACCAACACAGACCCTGAGCTCTCAGGGTGATCTGGGCATTGAGGCTCTGAAGGTGAGTGAGGCCCAGGCTCTACCCTCAAGGAACTGGGAACCAGTTGTATTAATTCTCTATTGCTGCAGAACGATTAACCCTGAAACTTAGCTACTTAAAACAACGAACCATTGTTATCTCACAGTTCCTGTGGCCTGCAATCTCGGTTCAACTTAGCTGGGTACCTTGTGGCTCAGGATCTCACAGAGAAAACTCTTTAGGCAAGAGCATGTGGATTTCCTGAATCACATACACATATAGAAACTTCCTTCTTGGGCATCCCCCACCCCCTGCTGTCCCTTCTCTCTGAGACCTCCTTCTAGGATCAGGGCACTCTCAGAGAAGCAGCCAGCTGTCACCAGGGTTGCTGTCATCTCAAGGCTTAACTGGGGATGGAGAATCTACTTCCAAGCTCATTCAAGAGGCAGTTGGCAGGAAGCCGCAGTTGCTGGCCAAAGGCTGGAGGCCTCCATTTCTTGCTGCAGAGACCTCCATCTAGGCCTTCTGAGTTCTCTCAGCACATGGCAACTGGTTTCCCCCAGAGCAAGTGATCAGAGAAAGAGAAAGAGAATGCAAAACAAGCCACAGTGTCTTTTATAACAATCAGAAGTGACATGCCATCACTTCTGCCAGAGGTTCCTGGGTCACATGAAACAATGCTGATACAACGTGGACTAACTACCCAAGGGTATGAGCACAGGAGGTGGGGATCCCTAGGGGCCATCTTAGAGGCTGTCTACTACACAAGTCAAGTCTCAGCCGAGTGGAAAGTAGTATTGTTGTAGCTGTTGTTATTGTAGGCCACTGCGGACAGTTAGTTGGTCAGCTGGCATCAAGGACTGGGCTCCTGTCTCCATTCCAGGATTCTGCCGAGCCCTCTTGAAGGTGCACAGTGGTAGGGAAGAGATGACTGAAAGGACATCCAGTGCCTTTAGGAGTTGACTGGCAACGTGGGCTGAAGCAAGAGAGAAAATGGGCATCAGAGGGTTCGCCTGCTCCTTGCCTCATCCGTCATGCTGTCCCCACCGCATGGCCCAGTCCCGCTGCTGTTTGTGTGTCTGTGGCCTGGTAACTTAGCCGGGACTCTGAGGGCAAGTCCTGACAGTGTGCCTGGCACACAGGAGGTGGGGGACTGATGACTGATGAGGACCTCTCTGTAAGGAAGAGTCTGGGGGTCCGCATGGGGCTCCTGCTGCCTCTGTTCTCCCAGGTGCCCAGAAAAAAACTAGAAAACATAGTTGGAGGCCAGGCAAGGAGAGGGGCTGGAAGTGTGAGGGGCTTGGGGCAGGGAGAGGCCTCGGCATGTAGACTGTGGCTCTGGCCTGCCAGCCCCTCTCCCCTTCTGTCTTTCCCTCTCTCTTAGGTGTTCCCCTGCTGTTTGTTGTCCCCTGGGGCATTGTCAAGTACCTCTATGAGGACGAGGGGTGAGTGTCCTGCTCCAAGGGGGCGGGTGTGCCCAGGTCCCCATCCTCAAGGTCCATGGGATTCCTTGGTACCTGGGGCACCCATCTGTTGAGAGGATAAAGGGGGGTACCAGGAGCTTAGAAGGTGAATTTAGTTCTCTAATCTCCCCTCCCTGCCCCTGCCCCTGCCCCTGCCCCTGTCCCAGGATTGTTTGATGACTAACGGAACTGGGTCTGTGGGGTACATGGTGCCCTCCTGCAGGTTTTTCTGTAATATCTGCAAGTGAAATGTTTGTGTCATTTTGTATATGATGCTGGGTACACACATGACTGTGTTGGTAGGTCCTTGAAAGCTTGTTTGGGGGCTGTGTGCATCTCTGTGTATGACTGTGTATTTGGACTATGCGTGTGTGTTGTGTGGCTGTGCACTGGCAGGGCTCTGTGGGTCCATGGGACTGGTTTTTGGGTGGCTCCTGGGAGCTGTGTGTGTGGCACTCAACATGGCCATGTGCATTGGCGGCCTCTGTGCCTGCACCTGAGCTGGGGGTCCTGTGAGTCCTGCTGGATGCATGTGTGCATCTCTCTCCCTCCCCAGCTGCTGGACCAGGAACTCCAACATGAACTACTGGCTCATTATCCGGCTGCCCATTCTCTTTGCCATTGGGGTGAGTGATGGTGTCAGGGATGGGAGTGGCAGCTATGATAGGGCTGGGCTGGTGCCCCCTGCCAATCCCCGGCCCCACCCCGCAGGTGAACTTCCTCATCTTTGTTCGGGTCATCTGCATCGTGGTATCCAAACTGAAGGCCAATCTCATGTGCAAGACAGACATCAAATGCAGGTGATGTAACTGAGCTGGCTTTACTGAGGACCCTCAGCAAGTGCCCCTTTCCTTCTAGCAGAGAGAGAGAGAGAGATCCTGGGATGCTTAGCTTAGAGCCCTACACTACCCTCTCCTTCCACCCAGGCCTGGCCTTGGACCCCAAACCCTTGCTTTTGCCCTGTCTCTGGGCAGCCCCTGGACTTGTTGGGGTCTTGACCTCTATTCTTTCCCTCCAGGCAGCCTGTCCCAGGGTATTTGGGGTGGGAGAACATCCATGACCCAGATATCAGGACTTGGTAGGAAGTGGGGAGGGTAGAGAAAGGGAAGAAGAGTCCATGGGAGAGGTCCAGAATGACTCGAGATCTCTGCCCTGCCCCTCAGACTTGCCAAGTCCACGCTGACACTCATCCCCCTGCTGGGGACTCATGAGGTCATCTTTGCCTTTGTGATGGACGAGCACGCCCGGGGGACCCTGCGCTTCATCAAGCTGTTTACAGAGCTCTCCTTCACCTCCTTCCAGGTGACTTCATGCTTGGGGACACTTGCTTGTAAAGTCCTAGAGTGGGGGTGGGACAGACACCAGCCTGCATCATGCAGATGGAAAAGGTGGGAAGACTGGGACCTGGAGGGGTGATCCCTGCCCAAAGTCACCTAGTTGGAGCAGAGCCAGAACTAGTATCCCCAGGTGTCCCAATACCTGGGCCAGTCTTCTCTGTAAGCACATGGGACAAGAAGCCTTCCTGGATGTAGCTCTGGGTACCAGCCTGGCATTGCAGCTGCCATCTACTTGGTGGCGAGCACCCTGCCAGGTGCTTTACATGCATTGTGCATTTACTCCTCACAGAACCCAGGAGATGTGCAGGGTTAGCCTCACTTTACAGAGGAGACTCAGAGGTGTTAAAACCAGAGTTACGGTGTCACAGTTTCAAAGAAAAGAACTGATCCTCTCCACTAGCATTAGATGATGCTAAGGGGGTGTAAAAATACAAAAAAACTGGTCCCTGCCTGCCCCTCAAGAGTGTCATGAGATGCCTGCACACATGTGGGCTCATGTGTGTGTATTTACATACATGTGCAGACATACAGAACACAATTCTGGAGCCCTGGGTCTCCTTCATGAACAGATGGGGCTGGAGTGGGGAATATTCTCCATGATCAGAGTCATTGTACTTCACTGGATCAGGCCTCCTCAAGGAGAGGTTGGATGTAGGATCTCTACAGCTTCTGGGCAGCTTCTGAGCAGGGTCTCCTGGACCCCATGGCACATGCCTGGGAGACCCATGGGGAGAGGCTAGCTGGGGCCTGTAGCCAGGCCTAGTCGCAGAGGTGCAACCCTGGTGTTCCTTCAGAAAGGAAATGAGAGGGAAGCCACTGCCCCATTCCTGGATCTGCCTGGGCCGCTGGATTTGGGGAGGGGGTTGTTGAGGATGGAGTCCCAAAGTGCTTCCGACCAGGGCCAGTCTGCAGGGCACCTCCCTCCTGCTTCCTCCCTCTTGATGTGACTCTTGTTTCCAGGGGCTGATGGTGGCCATATTATACTGCTTTGTCAACAATGAGGTAAGCTCTGAGGAGGGACGGTGGGGACCCTGGTGGGTGGGTACCATCAGCCCGTCTGGAGTAGTACAATGGGGACTCCCATCAATCTTGCCAGCTGAAACCCCCTACTCACCTCACTGAGGCACTAGGGTTGAGAAGCCATCTTGTCCACAGATTTGGTTTTCTGTGCATGGTCTCTCTCACACATGAACACACACACACAAGTACATGTACAGGTATACCCTAATGGCATGTGACCCTAAGGAAGACCCAGACTCATGTTAAGGGGATCCTGAATGACCCTCTTTGCTTGGTGGTAGTGACTGTCACTTACAAAGTGATTCAACACACACATACCCAAGCCACATGCTTGGGGCTTTAATAATCACTATCTCATTTAATTATGACCCCCACATCCCTCAAAAAAAAACCCTGCTAAAATTCTTATTTCATATTCCCATTTTTTATATATACATGAAAACACTGAAGATCAGAAAGAGTCAGGAACCTGCCCTAGGTTTGGAAATAGTGGCACACATCGCTTCTTAGCCTTTTGGCTAAGGTGAAGTGTGGAAATAGTGGCATGGCAGAGCCAGGATTCAAATTAATTCTGCATTAAAGCAGAAAGTACCCCATTCTTCATACACACAGGCAAGAGCCCTGGCTCACTGTGGGGAAGGGGGTGGCTTTCTGGTGCTAGGATGGGAGAAGGGGGTTCTCGCTGGCCCCACACACTCTCCTGAAAATGTCTGCAGGACAGCAGGCCTCCCTCCCATCCCTGAGATGGTCAGCTCCTGGGAGGAGGGCATGGCTGTGTTCATGGGCACCTGGAAAAGGCCCCTTCCACCAAGGTACTCAGCTTTGGAATCCCAGAGCTCAGGGATGTTGGAGTCAGCACATTAATAGGCTTGTCTTTTTCTATGGGTGTGGGGGATGCAGAAAGGACAGTGGGTGGGGACCTGGGTGTTTCAAGGAGCTATGAGATGGCTCAAAGAAGCAATGTGATGTAGCAGAAAAGATGCAAGGATGCAGGCTTTGGCATCTTATTTGGTCTGATCTGGGCCCCATCACTTAATGAGCTGTGTGACTTTGCCTAAGTTACCTGCCCACTCTGAAACTTAGTTTGCTCATTTACAAAGTGGGGATAATCCTGTGAGGATTAAGAAAGTCTGAAAAAGGTGCGAAAGGGGAACAGAGAACAAGTCCTTCCTTCAAGGTGGGATGCTGAAGGCCCATCCTAGCTCCTCACAGGTGCTGCTTGGCATGGAGAAACACACACCATTATCTCCAGATGCTCAGTAAGCAATCACTATTAGATCAGTATTCAGTGATTCCCAGAGACAGGGGCCTAAGGAATTTCAGAGGATGCCGTGCAGAGAAAATGAGGCTGGGTGAAAGGGAAGGGAGGGGAATGTTCCCTTGTCCCTGAGGCCTCCCCCTGCTTCTGCTGAACTGGCTACCTGTGGGAAGTGTGGCCCTCAGATCTCTAAATGGGAGGGAAACCAAGGTCTCTTAAGGGTTTACTGCATATAAGGTGCTCAGAGTGTCTCATTACATCCAATGCTGTGCAGCAGATGGTATCCCCAATTCACAGCTAAGAACGTTAAGCCTCAGCAAAATGAAATGAGTAGCCTAATTCAATAGACAGAAGATGGTAGAGCTAGTGGGCTGTGGCGGGGGCAAGATCCCACTTAATGCCTCAGGGAAGCAGGTGCTGGGGAGGTGAAGGCAGCGCCAGGCAAAGAGTGGCCCATAAATGGGATTCTGGCTGCTCCTGGGACAGGTCTTAGAGGACCCAGCGGCTCCGTTTGGAGGGTAGGGCAGGGAACAGGCTCGTGACCCACAGGAGGCAGTCCTGGTCCTCCTCCACTGCCATATCCTCAAAATGAGTTTCTTTAAAACTGATGCAAACGAGGAAGTGCAAAAACCTAAGCTCTGTGGGTGGCCTCCCCTCCAGGAATGCTCTCAGCCAGCTGGGTGATGCGCTACCCAGCCCTGAGCTCTGCTGCTTTCCATTCCAGCCCAGTGGTGATGGGGGCAAGACAGGGTGGCATGTATCCTGTGTGGGGATGAGGAGCAGAGGCCTGTAGGGAGAGACTGAGGCTCCCTGCTGCCACCTTGTCATCTTGACCCCCCCACGTCCCCGTTTCTCACTTCTCTATCCTCTGACACTGTCACTGCAGCCCTACTAGCAGACACGTGTGCTTGGCTTCCCCCCCGCCATTGTGAACAGTCTCCCCTGACCCCTGGCTCAGCTGCCTCTCCAGATTCCATCCTTCCAAGCCTAGTCATCTCATCACCTCCCTCCTCATGCACCACCTATGGCTGGCCCACCTTTGTAAGGGGATAGTACTTCTTTGCCCTTGGAAAAAAACTTGATCCTGAATCACCAGGGTTGCACCTCTCTGACCAGGCCTGGCTACAGACCCCAGCTAGCATCTCCCCGTGGATCTTCCAGGCTAGTGCCACGGGGTCCAGGAGACCCTGCTCAGAGAACGGGAGAACCTGTCTCCCTTCAGAGCACCAGCCAGTTCCTTTAAACCCACCCTGAGACTCCTCATGCCCTGGCTGCTCCAGGCACAAGGACAGATACATCATTGTCACTGGGCCACAAAAGACACATGTGGCTCTGGGGCTAAGGCCTCTGTCCACAAGAGCTGTTCTGCAGACCCAGGGTTGCCATGGCAATGCCAGGTACTTGTGACCTGAGGAGAAAAGATGGCTTGAATATTGGTTCTGTGTGGCTGCCAAGGCCTGCACCAGCTGCTGGTGGGCGTGAGTGGGGACAGGGAGGGGGAGGCCTGAAGGTGGTTTTGCTGTAGCTTGTGCCTGAGAGCCACAGTGAGGTGACTCAGAGCCCTGAGTGCTTGTCCCAGCCCTGCCACTGCCGAGCTGTGTGACCTGGGGCAAGTCATTTTGCCTCCCTTGCCTCTGTCTCCCCAGCCGTAAATGAAGGTGAATGAGCTTCCCAATTCACCCCGAATCCTGAGGCTGGCATGGTGCCTGCTGGAGAGGGAGGTCAGGAGGGGTGTGCTGCACTGCAGAGGTCGAGGGCAGGGATGAGGATAAAAATCCGATGGTGGAGGAGGAAGTGTGGTGGCCTAAGTCCCAGCCCAGGTGCTCAGAATCTGTGGTGTTGTCTTTGTGGGTTCATTTTCATAGCTGAGGAACAGAAGGAACCTGATGTGAGATGCTCATGCATTTATGTGTTCATTCATTTGGTTCATTTAAAACACATGTACTGAGCACCTGCTGTATGCTGGGCACTGTGCTAGGTTCAGGGATGCTGAGATGAAGAAGATGTGGTCCCAGCCCTCGAGGTGCTCCCAGGTGAGAGGTAGGAGATGGACCAGGGACAAGCAGGACTGCAAGAGCCACGCAGGCAGGAGGCCAGGGGTTAGGAGCCGGGCATTGGAATCAGGCCAGATCTAGGTTCAAATCCTGGCTGAGCGACCTGAGGAAATAAACACTCTGCACCTCAGTTTCCTCATCTTTAAATGTGGAGCTACTTTGCAGGGTTGATGTGAAAGTCAGCTAAGATAATTAATGGAAAATTCTGTGCATACAGTAAGTGCCCAATAAATATGGTGATTTTCAAGGACAATCGTGATTACAGGGGTCACAGCAGAGGTTCAGGAAAAGTGCTGAAGGAGATGGGGGCAGAAGGAGACACTGTGTGTCAGCACCCTGAGAAGTCCCATAGGTGTCCCTGAAACCTCTCTTTGGTCTCTGGTTTCCCGGAGGTGTGCCTCAGTTTACCATCTTTCCCCCCCTCTCCAGCGGAAGGGCTATGAAACAAGCCTGGCCTCCTGGCAGCTGCACAAGTGGGGGCCACCACTGGACTCAGGGCCCCCATCCCAGCTGTCAGCATGCGCTCCCTTCACAAAGACTCAGCCGGGCAGGGAGCTGGCATACAACAGGGTGGCTGTAGGTGGTGTCTGCTCAGCCTCCTTCCCTCCCCCACTCAAGCTTGGGTTCATGACGCTGCATGGGACACTGGCGTCATCCTGGCAGGCAGCCTCTGGGCCATCTCAACTCTACTCAGTGCAGAAAATGTTCTTTTAAGGGATGGCATGCAGCCATACCAGGCGTCTTGCTGGGCATAGCTGGATGGACGACAAAGGAGGAGAGGAGGGTTGTTTGCACAGGGGCTGGTGGGGAGATTGGCCCCTTATCCACAGCCGCTGGCATCTGGCTGTCTTGGTGACTTGGCCTAAAGGGAAGGGCCCAGACCCCAGACACTCTGGTGTGGGAAGGGTGGGGACTTCAAAGAAGCTCTGGAAAGCAAATGTATGGGAACATCACCCAGAAGAGCAGTCCAGACCCCCCAGGACTAGCTTGGCAGGTTCCAGCTAGGCCTCTCCAGGGACCAGAATCACTGGCCACCACCGGGAGCCACAGCATTGCCACAAACCCTCAAGGGATGGGGGCTCCACAGTGTTACTTGGATTTGTCTCTTTCTGCCCCAACAATCTGGCCCCCAAGCATCAGCCCTCCTGAGAGGCTTTTCCTGATGGGGAGGCCAGAGCCCAGCACAACAGGGATCCTGGCTGACTGAGCTCCCCTGGGCTGCACCCCCATGGTCACTGCAGTGTCTCTCTAGATGGCATCAGTTGAGAAGCCCTCACTGGCTGCCCCTTCCTCCCTGCTGTTTCCCGTCTCAGCCACATTCCTTCCTTCCCTCCCTCCTCCCCTGTGAGGTGCTGGGGCCTGGAGAGAAGCCCTCAGGGAGTTTAGAAGGGTCTGCTGTAGACACCAGGAAGGCTGGGGGTTGCCGTCCCCCTTCTCAAGCATCCAAGCTGAAACTGGACTGTGCGCTGTAAAGACAGAGTCTCTCTTCTCTCTCCCATCTCCTGTCTCCCTGTGTTTCACCCTCCCTCTCATTCTCTTCCGTTAAATAATACTGTGATGGATTGTAAAAGGTACTTAGCTGAATCACAGAGTTTAGAGATGGAAAAGACCAATTAGGTCATCAAGCTGATCTCTCTCCTGAGGAGCTGCAGAAAATAGGAGACAACAATAAACAATTTTATTGGGATATTAATTTAGGAGCCCGAAGGCCTTGACTTGTGTCTCTTAATATAATGCAGTGGATTTCTTCCCTTCCCCACTAATGTAATAGTGGGGCCATTTTGTTAGCCATTGGTTTGCATGATGGCTTTCGTTTCCCTCCTTTTCCCATGGAAGGTCCAGCTGGAATTTCGGAAGAGCTGGGAGCGCTGGCGGCTTGAGCACTTGCACATCCAGAGGGACAGCAGCATGAAGCCCCTCAAGTGTCCCACCAGCAGCCTGAGCAGTGGAGCCACGGCGGGCAGCAGCATGTACACAGCCACTTGCCAGGCCTCCTGCAGCTGAGACTCCAGCGCCTGCCCTCCCTGGGGTCCTTGCTGCAGGCCGGGTGGCCAATCCAGGTGGGAGAGACACTCCCAGGGACAAGGGAAGGAAGGGACACACACACACACACACACACACACACACACACACACATACATCCTGCTTTCCCTCCCCAAACCCATCAGACAGGTAAATGGGCAGTGCCTCCTGGGACCATGGACACATTTTCTCCTAGGAGAAGCAGCCTCCTAATTTGATCACAGTGGCGAGAGGAGAGGAAAAACGATCGCTGTGAAAATGAGGAGGATTGCTTCTTGTGAAACCACAGGCCCTTGGGGTTCCCCCAGACAGAGCCGCAAATCAACCCCAGACTCAAACTCAAGGTCAACGGCTTATTAGTGAAACTGGGGCTTGCAAGAGGAGGTGGTTCTGAAAGTGGCTCTTCTAACCTCAGCCAAACACAGAGCGGGAGTGACGGGAGCCTCCTCTGCTTGCATCACTTGGGGTCACCACCCTCCCCTGTCTTCTCTCAAAGGGAAGCTGTTTGTGTGTCTGGGTTGCTTATTTCCCTCATCTTGCCCCCTCATCTCACTGCCCAGTTTCTTTTTGAGGGGCTTTGTTTGGGCCACTGCCAGCAGCTGTTTCTGGAAATGGCTGTAGGTGGTGTTGAGAAAGAATGAGCATTGAGACGGTGCTCGCTTCTCCTCCAGGTATTTGAGTTGTTTTGGTGCCTGCCTCTGCCATGCCCAGAGAATCAGGGCAGGCTTGCCACCGGGGAACCCAGCCCTGGGGTATGAGCTGCCAAGTCTATTTTAAAGACGCTCAAGAATCCTCTGGGGTTCATCTAGGGACACGTTAGGAATGTCCAGACTGTGGGTGTAGATTACCTGCCACTTCCAGGAGCCCAGAGGGCCAAGAGAGACATTGCCTCCACCTCTCCTTGGAAATACTTTATCTGTGACCACACGCTGTCTCTTGAGAATTTGGATACACTCTCTAGCTTTAGGGGACCATGAAGAGACTCTCTTAGGGAAACCAATAGTCCCCATCAGCACCATGGAGGCAGGCTCCCCCTGCCTTTGAAATTCCCCCACTTGGGAGCTTGTATATACTTCACTCACTTTTCTTTATTGCTGTGAATAGTCTGTGTGCACAATGGGCAATTCTGACTTCTCCCATCTAGTGGAAATGAGCGAAATCATGGTTGTAGTGATGTTGTTTGGGAGAGTGCAGTAGTAATTGATTTGACCCACTCACACTTGGAGCTAATTAAGGTTTGCCCTGCCTGCAGCCTCCCCCACAAATAATGAACAGCAGAAAGACTGGACGGGGAAACCTATCAATCCTGCCCCCAGCCATGGTGAGGAAGCCCCAAGCCATGGTGACACACAGCAGCACTGCAGATAGCCAGACACATGGCTATCCTAGAGAGGCTGGCAAGGAGTTCGTGGCTGCAAAAGAAGTTTCTGGAGCAAGAGAGAGCTCGCTCTTGGGAGTCAGGACCTCCGGGGAGAGCAGAGGGTTCCGACGGATTCCTTTATGAGTCAGTCTCTCTCTCCCTTTTAAATGGTGGGAACCCTCCCCAAAACCTTTCCCCAGACACATTCTCCTGTGCCCCTCAGAGAGGCATGTGATGTGCAAGGAAAATAATAGGATATAAAACACATCAAGTAGAAAATTTCTTATACTTCAGCTTCAGTGAAGTGTTGTCTATGTTAATAGGCAAGTTGAACCTCGGGCTAAAGAAAGGAATTGTGTGGATGGCTGCCTTGACTGAGACAATATGGGCAGGGGGGCGTTCCTGCTTCCCCAGAACAAGGGCAGGCTTCCCAAAGGCACCCCTTATTTGCTGTCTCTTCGTAAGCGTGGGCACCAGTGGGTTGATGTGGGAAACAGTGCTGGTGCAAGTGTTTAAGTTTTGGATAAACTGAGGATTTTGAGAATCATTATTACATTACATAGCAACAAAGAAACAGATTGATATAATCTGTGTGAAATAAATTGCTGAGGAGAGGGATTGTAGGGAAGAAGTTGCTTAGTTAGGCACCTGGGAAGCTCAAATCATTTAGTTTAAACTGTAAGTAGAGTTGTCTTCCCAACGAGAACTGGTGATTCCTGATTTCAGAAGGCTCATCAGACCCCTACACCCAAGTCTTTTAACACGGAGGAAGTTTTTCCTTCATGAATACATACAAGATACCGAACTGAAGAAATCTTTTCTTTGCTCCAACCCCCGCTCCCCCGGCCCCCCGAAGCTATTAATAGTCATTCAAATGGCACTGCACTCTTTCCAAGCTTTCCTAAGCTAAATATGGCTCCAACAGGTCTGGGAACTATTGAATGCAATGTACTCTGAAATTCCAGCAGCTGTTTACATGCCTGATGCCTAATGCCATACGCCTGGAACTTGCTGAGAACTCTCGGCTGCCTCTGTCCTGGGGTACTATTGCTGACCAGCAGGGTGTAGGCGCTGCTTTTGTTTGAGCTTTGTAGCCACAAGGTCTGATGTCTGTTGTGAACAGCAGCTGACTTCAGCACTCTGGCCAGCTTCCTCAAACTTGTTAGTGGCTTGCATTTTGTCAATTTTTCTTTGCCATTTCAGTCTTTCAAGCAGCTGAATCGCAGAACTGAAACAAAACACTTATATTGCAAAGTTCCTTCCCTTTAAAATGAGCTTCTGGATTGCAGAGATGATTTTTTATGGTCTTAGCGTGCCTCATGCTGTAGACCACATCGTTGGAGCTCTGGGAGAGCTCTGAGCAGAGAAAGACCTTGGTGATCCCCCCTGGCCCGATCTATAGGATTGAGGAATGAGGCTTGTAGAGGTGGCTTGCCCAAGGTCACAACACTAGAGGGTGGTTGAGCTGGGCCAGGACCCAGACAAGCCCTTTTCTCTCAGTCTAGTGAGGCCTCTGGGAAGGATAGGTGAAAACTATAAATAGCTGTTCAAGATACTCTGAGTAAAAGTCAGTGGTGTTATCTGGAATTTCTACTGAAGAGGAAATACAGCAGCAAAGGTAGACTCATCAGATGGTGAAAGTGTCATCTCCTTTGTAATTTATACTGGTGAGAGGAGGGGAAGGATGTGCTTTCCTATTTTTACACTGGTACTTCATTCATCCTTGTCTTAAACTTAAGAAATGAAATGCATCAGGGCACACATATACATAGAAACAGCACATAAGCCATTTTGGATGGCAATTCCAGCACTCTTTTAATGGATTGGCTTAATTTTTTTTTCTGATGCCTCTCTATGTGTTTGAAAAGTTGTATTGATAGTCACACAGAGTGTACTAAAATAACCTAAAAGGTCTTGAACCTCCCCTTTACCTCTTTAGAACCTCTGAATTTGGAGACAGCTAGCAAACGGCAACTGTAGCCTAGCAAAGATGGCACAGCACCACAAAGGGCAAATGGAGTCAACTCCCTTCCATGCTCTGAAGGTCTTGGCCACTCTCATCAGGGTTGGCTGTGTACTATCCAGCAGCTCACAGTCAGGAGACCTCCCCTCCTCAGTCCCTCCCATTTCTTTCTTCCGCAAGGAAAGAACATTGCATGTGGGCGTGTGTGTGTGTATGTGTGTGCATGTGTGTGTGCATGTTTCTTCTGTGCATAGCAGCATAAAGTTAGGAGATGATGACTCCAGAATCATCACACCCGCTGTGCAGGTCATAGGACCGCACACCCGAGGCTGGGAGTCTAAGTGGTAGATGCTTCCTCTCCATGCGCAGACAGGGCTCCCATTATTTGCTAATGCCTGCGACGTGCTCAGGGAAGGCAAAATCTATTCCAAAGGTTTATTTTCCCTCTGTTGAATTGATTCTAATCTACAGTGCTTACCCTGCTTTTGGCTCCTACGAGGCAAACTATAAAAATTCTCAAATAAAATACAGAGGCTTACTCTGCAAAGACACCTGTGTGAATGACGTGCTAAACATTCAGCAGAAACCAAATTAGGATCAACTCTTAACATTTTTTCCCTCTTTTGTGGCTGGAATGAGTTCCCCTGGGAAAGAAAATCGCCCAAGTGAGAAACTTATGCCAACCACATTCCCATGCCCCTACAGTTACCTGCTGGCCCAGATCAGCTCTCTGGGTCTGCAGAGGGCCGAGACAGGAAGCATTATTAAGCAGTATAATTTCAAACACTTTACTTAGTGCCACAGTGTGTCTGCAGTATCTATAAGTACTTCCGCTCTGTCAAGGAATACAGACTGGCAGGAAGCAGATAAGCATAATTGTTTTCCAATAACTCCCCAAGTCTCTTGGAATATATATGTATCTGAATCTCTCAGAGGAGAGAGTTTTCTCTCTTCTTTGGCCATTTTAGCCTATTTTCCAGGACCTTGTCTAGCAGTGGCTCCATTTTTCCCCGATGCATCCAACTTCCCTCCCTGCACTCCTCCTCCCCGACAGCTGCCTCAGGAATAGGTGACCCTGCTGGCCATACTGTGAATGCTGTTCTTTCAGCTGTGACCAATTTGGGGGTGCAGCTGAGAGTGAGGTGCTGTCAGGGCTGAAAAGGACGCACCTCATTCTACATTTGGATGTGATGAGGAGCAGGGCAGCCACCAGCTTGGATCCTAACTTACATTGGGTGGTGCAACCTTTCTGACGGGGCCTGCCAAACTATCAGTAATTAGCCAGCCTAGACAATGTAGCATGACTAATTATTGCTGTGTCAAAGCAATTCAGGACAAGAAAAACATATCTAAATGAGAATGTTTAGATGTGGTGAGAAAAGAGCTCTCACCACAATTTGAAACATATAAAAAGTTGAGTTCTTTGCAGGGGAGCCAACGGGGGCATTGAGGGAAGGGCAAAATTCACCCCAGACAGCCAGTGCTTGATCTTGCCAAACAGTTTACACTTTACCTCCAAACCTGCAGTTCTAAGCTACTCCACTAAAATAATCATCCCATCCTCAAAGCAGACCAACTCCAGCATCCCATCGGTTCTGGAGGGATTTGATGCAAACCTTTAAATGCACCAACAGAGAGGTAAGCCAAGCTCTCAGGAGGGACAAAGATAGATTTCTATCTTCAGTGCTCTTGGGGGATGTTTGCTCCTCATGAGTGTTTAAACAAGATCATTTCCAGGTGATTTCTTAACATATAAATTCCTGCAAAATAGGACCAGCTTCTATAGGTAGCGAATGTGTAGGTCATATAATTCCTTGTACAGATGTGAATGGATGCAGACTCTTTCCTAATTTGCCTTGTAAGCCAAATAAAAGTCTGTCTCTACTGTCTCTCTTGCTCTTCCTTTGCGAAAGGAGGCTTTCTGCAATGTCAATCCAGGTGACTCACAGTGCAGTGGGAAAACACAAAAGATGCCGTTTCCAGCCAAGGAAAAAAACCTTGCTCATTACTCACACCGTGATTTTCATCTTCAAAGCACTCACCAAGTACTAATTTATCCATCGCAGCCTTTATGCAGGGACTGCAATGTCATTTAATTAGAGAAGTTGGGTGGTCGAGTGGCTTAAACAATAACTGATGGCCAAATGGATGTGTATTTTAATTCCGCTCATTCATTCGATCTCTCCTGTCTAAATGAACTCAGTCCATTAAATCCATTAAAAAAAAAGTCATAAAAGCATAAGCTTTGTTTGCAAAGCAGCCACAGAATTTGAATGGAACTGCTGTTTAGAAATTCATCTTCAGAAAAAATGAACTTTTCTCCAATTTAAATAATCACTCACTCTCCAGATTTGCAACTCACTCTTATAGAAGGGCAGAGGAATTGCAGATTCTCCTAATTCCCCCATCATTTCAGCTACACCTATTTGAAGGTCGGTGTACTTACCTGAAAGTATCTTTAAACATCCGCTTTTTAGACAAGCTGTGGTAATTGTCCCTTTCAAACATAAGAATAATTCTTACCCTGAGAGCAAGTTATACCTACAGCCAACTCCTGATAGCAGCAGGTGGAACATCTGCATTTGTTTCTCTGCACCAATCTTGCTTTTGAGTTAATTCCCTCCCCTATGGATATTCTTACCTTTCTGTGCCCTTCCCCTTCCACTTAACAGGACCAAAATAGAGGTTTTTATCCCCTCCCTACCTTCCAGGAAAACATCCACCCAAACCAATTAATGACCACCACATTTCTAGGTAGCTATTACAAATAATAGAAATCAGGTAGAAGTGCACCTTCTTTCTCTGAGGTTGCACTGTGGCTTAATAAGGGCTTGACCTCAGCCTAAAGAAAGGGGGTTGGGGAGCTGCCCTGCTGTTCCGAGGCCTAGCCACTGGGGAGACAAATGAGAATTCTTGGCTTCCAGACTCATTCATCCTCACATGCAATATAAAGCCATATTCTAGTGACTGCTGCCCCCAGATGGGGAAGACTGTGTTCCACATAGAGTTTGTGAAGGATCTCACTCACATGCCATGCATATCAGCATTTTCAAGGTTTGAGAACTCCTGTCCCCTTCCCTTATTATCCTCTCAAAACCCTGTGCCATGAACATATGGCAGTTCAGTCTCTTTCAATCTCTGTCTCTGTCTCTTCCTCTGTCCTTCCTTTTTCCCTCCTTCCCTACCCACCCTCCCAACACATACACACAAAGAGAAAGACTGGAAACAGTGAGGTTTTCCCCATCAGAAGTAGAGAAATAGTTGGTGGGGCAGAGAGGGAGGGCTGGGAACTAGCAGCACAAGCTGGACTACATGACAAATGCAGCCAGATGGTTGGAGAAGATGGGAACAGAGATCCAATATTGTGTGACTACAAGGAAGGAGTCGAACTGAGTGTCCCCAAGGTGGGAAGGGTAGGTGAGGAAGAGAAGATGAAGAGGCCAGAACATAAGTAGATAAAGAAAAAAGAAAAATAGCAGACTGTTTAACTGTGAAAAAGGGCTGTAGTGAAAGAGGGGAGGAAATTGCAGAGGAGGAAAAAAGAATGAGAATTACAAGTGGCATGCGACAAGGAACTAGGTTAGGAACCCTATCTCCAGTCAGTGTTATTAACTCCATCTTCCATAAATCTGAGCTCTTTCCCTGTAGCGTTCTCTAATCCTAAGCGGTGATAGAATATTTTCTTTTGTACAAAAGCTCATTTTAACTAACACAATGATTTTGGAAAGAGAAAAAGACCCGCGGCCCAGAGTGAATCCAACAAGACTTTTATTTTTTTCACACTGACACTGGGCACCAATGTGAGAATGAATTACTATGGCTCCCCCTCATGTAGGACAAATAGACCTTAGAATTTATTTGTGGTACAACCTCCAACTACAAACAAAATCAATAGCTGAGAATTACAAACACTGGGGAGTCCCATGCTGAGGGATGGATTGCCTTAGAGCTAATGCAGGCTGGTAACACCCAGAGGCGATTAGCAGGCTTTTTTTTTTTTTTAACTTTCCAAATCTTTAGGGTGAAAGAGCAAGGACTTGAGGCAGTAAATGATATTTACACAAAACTTTTTTAATGCCGATGACCTAAGGTTGCATTAGAAACACACTTGGCAACTACACAAACTAAATAGTGACAACAAAAAGGCCATGGTTACTTTACCCTTTAGCTCCAGTCTTTGACAATCTGTAACCATTATGTACATTTCTGGCTGAAAAAAAAGCAGTGTTTTACCATATTTTTGCCCTCCAGAACCCTTCTGAACCTTCAAAATTCCTAGGAAATTGAATTTACAGCTTTAATAAAACCCTCTGCTACCCATCGATTAGATGCTACTTGACAATAAAACCACCCTCAAGCTCTTTCATCTTTCAAATCCTGGTGTTAAAAGTAGAGACTAGAGAAGCCAAACCAGAGACACACACCAAAGCAAAGACATTTCCCCCTAGTTAAGTTAAATCAATGTCCTTCCAATGGCATCCTTTGGAAAGGTACAGTTAAAAATACAGATGAAGTCTGGGCGCAGTGGCTCATTCCTGTAATCCCAGCACTTTGGGAGGCCGAGGCAGGTGGATCATGAGGTCAAGAGATCGAGACCATCCTGGCCAACATAGTGAAAACCAATCTCTGCTAAAAATACAAAAATTAGCTGGGTGTGGTGGCGTGCACCTGTAGTCCCAGCTACTTGGGAGGCTGAGGCAGGAGAATCACTTGAACCCGGAGGCAGAGGTTGCAGTGAGCTGAGATTGCGCCACTGCACTCCAGCCTGGAGACACAGTGAGACTCCGTCTCAAAAAAAAAAAAAAAAAAATACAGATGAAAAGATTTCTCATGTACACTCATTATATGAAAGAACCATGTTACATTAAGAATTATACTGTGTTGAAATATTCTCAGCTGTCAAGAAAAACATCTATAACATCCCAGCTACATAAAGCATTTACAAAAACACCTTCTAGAAATTGGTAAAGATTGTGAAGCCTGCCAAACAAGGCATGGTGGTGCCACAAGTCCAGAAAGAATGCCACCCGTGGGGTCTCAGAATCAGCTGTAACGGCAGTGCTCTCACTCACTCTCCTAGCCTTGAACAACATCTGCTTCTCAAATACAGACCTTCCTTCTGGCAGGAAGGGGCCCTTACCTCTCAGGCTCCATGACTGAGTTAGTCTTGCTGTCACTTGTTACATGAGAAATGCAATAGCTCTTGAGACATTCTGTATCCATGGTGCATATCTCCTGGGAGCATGCCAAGCCACCCAAATCCCAGTAATACCCCCAAGTTAGAGTCATCTCCATAATGAAGTGTGGGGCTCATGCACCCTCTGCATTGGCCACCCACATGAAGAACAGCTTTCTTCAGCCGCACTAAAAATGATGCATAGATGTAGATTTCCAAAGGCTATAGCAGCAAGATCACAGAAACCTTACATGAACTTCAGAATCTGACTTCTCTCTCTTCCTTGGGGCTGGATCCTCCAAAGCGATCAGATTCTAACATGAATTTCCAAAATGATCATGTTTCTTCAGGAAATGTCTCTTACAGGGCCCCTACTCACCCTGCATTGCCCAGCCTTTTATTAGGCCATGAGGATTCTGGGAAAAATGCAAATTGTCTAGGAAATGCTCCTCTTTGCAGAAATAGTTTTTTGAAAATTATATATGGGACAG
This sequence comes from Homo sapiens, assembly GCF_000001405.40. Lineage (NCBI taxonomy): Eukaryota > Metazoa > Chordata > Mammalia > Primates > Hominidae > Homo > Homo sapiens. Next base: position 39,095,082 of record NC_000006.12, read on the forward strand.
AACCTGATAATAATCTATGAGAAGAGCCAGAATAGCCAAAGACATTTTTTTTTATTGATGAGGATCTAGAACAAGGCGATTGTTTCATACCAATCTGGTGCCATTTCACAATATGTTTGGCACTGCCAAACTTAGTCTAAATCTCAGAGGAAAAGTCATTAGAAGAAAAATGATTAAAACAAGCTCTGCAAAACAAAGCTATTTCTGTCCCTAGAGATGGTCCACTGTAAATGAACTGCCATGTATATAAAGAATACTCTGCCTGTCAGCACATATGCTTTTCTCTAAGAGTTATTAAAATAAGATCAATATTATTAGTGAAGCAATCAATGAAATATTTACCGAGAGAGAAAGGCAGTAAAGGACATGGAGATATGGGGGTAGGGTGCTATTTTAGGCTGGATGGTCAGGGAAGGCCTCTCTGATGAAGTGACATCTGAGAGACCCCAGTGGAGTAAGGGAGCAAGACCTAGGATCATCTAGGGGAGTGAGTTCCCAGAAAAGGCAACAGTGAAAACCCTAAAGCAGAAAGAAGCATATTTAGTTTGTTAGATCAGTAAACTATGGTTCACCACCTGATTTTATCAATAAAGTTTTATTGGCTCATTCATTTACTTATATATTGTCTATGGATGCTTTTGCTCTACAATGGCAAAGTTGAGTAATTGCAACAGAGACAGTTTGGTCAACAAAGCCTATTTACCAACTGGCCCTTTACAGAAAGTCTGCCAAACCAAGGAGGTGAATGTAACCTGGAAAGAGAGGCAGGGGCCAGATCACTTTGGGCCTGGTAGGATAAAACCACCTAAACAACCACCTACCTACTGAACAACATCCCCAAGAGATTAAGAGTGCAGATATTATTTACAAATTGAGGTCCAAAGGTTTCTTTTCACTGCCTCATTCTAAGGTACCCGTCTGACCTCTGCTTTATTTCTGGTCTCAGCCTTTTTTTCCATGTGACAGGGATGTACACATCTGAGAGGGTTCCAGGGACATATCCACAATAAGCCCAAACAAATGAGATTTAAGAAAATTGTAAAATGAATGTTCACAAATAATAATTATATGCTACAAGTTATTATGATACAAATGTGATATTTTAAACTGTATCATAAGACACAGTGAAACTACTGCTATAGACTATGTTTTCCAGCATTTTGTTTATTCAAGTAGAATTCCCTAGAAATGAAATGTATTCAAAGACCTTGCTATGCAAAGTGTGGTCCAAAGACCAGTGGCATCAGCATCACCTACGAGGTGGTTAGAAATGCAGAATCTCAGGCCTTGACCCAGACCTATTTAATCAGAATCCACATTTTCACGAGATCACCAGGGGATTTGGTGATTAAAGTGTGAGATCCGGTTTTAATAGGGATTGGCTTCTAATTACTCTTTTCTAAGAGATGGAAATATAGAATTTTAAATTTCAAAGAGGTTAGCCTGGTTTGTACTATTCATGCTAGTGACAACTGAATACAACTGAAATGTTTAATAATAGGGGATTGGCTAAATAAAGGCTGGCACATTTATCCATACAGAAATATTATGCAGCTGTCAAAATCAATACTATAGGACAATAACATGAGAATATATTCAGAGTTAATCACTAAGTGAAAAAAATCAATTGTAGATAGGACTAAGACTAAAACAAATGTAGAGATAGGACTAAAGAACAGAATATAAATGTTATAAACCTTAACAATAGGGTATAACTAATAAAATGAGGGAAGGAAGAGAGGAGGCATAAAAGGTAGTGGTGGTATGTTGATTTCATTATCTATCAGGTCAAAATATATCATTTAAGGCTGATAACTCAAGTAGTAGGTTGTAATTATATTTAAAGATACAAAGTCAATCAATTAGTCAATAAATCAGTAGAGCTGGGGGTTGGAAGATGGAGAAAAGTAGGAAGAAGGTGGAAATATAAATTTATTACACTTATTTTTTACAGATGTTAATAAACATTGCCTAAAAATATCAATTTTTAAGTAATCAATATAAAGTTAAAAATATAAACTTGAAACAGAAATGTAAACTTTCTAGATTATTGAAAGAAACACACATACACAGAAACAAAACAAGCAAACACAAAAAACCCAGAGACCATATGGTAAAAGAAGCTACCTAAACAGAATAATATAAAATGTGATGAGATAAGCAAGACTTTCATAAACATAAATAAGTTAAACTCACCTATTAAAAGAAAATATTCTCACAATAGATTATAAAAGAAAGCCCAACTAGTCTTTATATACGAGCAGCATACCTAATAAAAATAATTCAAGCTGAAAACAAAACTATGGGCAGAGGCACATGAGGCAAATGCAAACAAAAAGTAAGCAGGGCTTCCAGCCTTAATATCAGATAAGAATAAATTCAGGGCAAAATGCAATAAAGAAAACAAAGAGGGCTTTGCATAATGATAAAGGGAGCAATCTATAATGAAGACCTTAAAAATATGCTTTTTATACATTTCAAAATCTAAAGTGCTAAAAAATACTACAATCTCATGAAAATCACTGATAAAAACCATAAATAAAACTATTAACAAACAGAATCTATCAGCACATCAAAAAATAGTACATCACAATCAAGGGTGGTTTATTCCAGGAATAAAAGGATGGTTCAATATATAAATCTGTAATATTAATTGATTATATTAATTGATCAAAAAGAAAAACCATAAGATTAATTTCCACTACATTGAAAGGAGATTTTGTGAAATTCTACATCCATTCTTAATTTAAGAAAAACTTTTAAATAACGTAAGTACAGATGAGTAATTTCTTTTTTGTTTGTTTTTTTTTTTTGAGACAGAGTCTTGTTCTGTCGCTCAGGCTGGAGTGTAGTGGCACGATCTCGGCTCACTGCAACCTCCACCTCCCAGGTTCAAGTGATTCCCATGCCTCAGCCTCCCAATAGCTGGGATTACAGGCACCCACCACCACACCTGGCTAATTTTTGTATTTTTAGTAGAGATGGGGTTTCTCCATGTTCGCCAGGCTGGTCTCAAACTACTGGCCTTCAGTGATCTGCCTGCCTTGGCCTCCCAAAGTGCTGAGATTACAGGCGTGAGCCACTGCATCTGGCCCAGATGAGTAATTTCTTAAGATATCTGTTTGTCTGTCTATCTATTCACTACCCCAAAGCCAGGATCATGCTTAGTGGGAAATACTGGCACATGCTCATTAAAGTCAAGAGCAAAACAAAGATATCATTGATTACTATTCTGATTTAATATTTTTCTGGGTGCTTTAGCCAACGTAATGGACAAACAGAAAAAAATAAGAGGCATAAAAATTGGGAAAAGAGGCCGGGCACAGTGGCTCATACCTGTAATCTCAGCACTTTGGGATGCCAAGAGGGGAGGATCACTTGAGGCCACGAGTTCAAGACTAGCCTGGCCAACAAGGCAAAGCCCCGTCTTTACTAAAAATACAAAAAATTAGCCAGGCATAGCGGCGCACACTTGTAGTCCCAGCTACTCGGGAGGCTGAGGTGAGAGAGTTGCTTGAACCCAGGAGGCAGAGGTTGCAGTGAGCCAAGATTGCTCCACTGCACTCCAGCCTGGGTGACAAGATTAAGACCCTGTCTCAAAAAACAAAACAAACAAAACAAAACAAAACAAAACCCCACAGGTAAAATAAGAACTAAATTTTACATTATTTGAAAAGGAAATAATTACCTATGTGGCAAATCCAGGCAAATCAACTGAAAAATCATTATAATTAGTAAGAGAATTTGGTAAAGGACTGGTACAAAATTAATATACCAAAATCAATAGTTTTCATACACACATACACAACAACAAGTTGGAGGAAATAATAGAAGAAAAGATCTACTGAACTTAATAGCAAAAGATAAAATAACCAGGAATAACAGGGAATAGTAAGATCAATATAAAGCAAACTTGAAAATGCAACTGAGGGACAGTAAAAGAGGCTTAAACAAATGGTAGCATACCGTATTCTTGAACAGTAAAACAATAACTTATAGGTGCTTCTTCTCCTTAAGTTATCTGTAAATTTAATGTGAAACTAATGAAAATATCAAGAGAAATTTTGGGGACCTGGTCAAGTTAATTCTAAAGAACTCAGGGAGAAAATAAACATGTTAAGTGTAAGTTTTAAAAAAGAAAGCAAAAATAAGAGTAATAAAGAGGTGTCTAGCCCATTCAGATTTTAAAACACACTAAAGAGCTACAATAATAAAAAGTGAAAAAGCTGTCAGATCAAAAGAACAGACCAGAAAGCCCAAAATAGATACAAATACACAAGAAATGTGGTATATGATACAGAAGGGTTTTAAATTAGCAGGAAAGAGATGGGTTATTTAATAAATAAACCTGAGGGAACTAGATACCTGAACAAATAGATGCCTGAATAAATAAAGCTGGATCCCTATCTGTAACCCCACTCCAAACTAAATACTATAGATAAAAAACTTAAATATAGAAAATGAAAGCAATGGGTAAACATGGAAATTTTTTTGCCGTATGACAAAAACCCAGGTCATAAAATACATAAATTTGACAACAAAAAATTTCCACACAGAAACAAAAACGGCAACAAGTTTGAACAAATTGAGCAAAAATATTTGAAATGCATAATTCAAAGAGCCAATTTTCTTCATTTATGAAGAGTTCCTAAATGAAATTTTAAAATTCCCAAGAACTCAACAGAAATCACGCAAAAGCTAAAAGAGTTCACAGATAAATACAAATGGCTCACAAATTTATAGAAAGATGTTCTCCCATAATAAGAAATTTAAATTAAAACTATGAGGTGTCATTTCACTTCTCAGATATTGGCAAAGTACAGAAAGTTGGGAAAACACCCTGTGTTGGTGAGGATATGAGGAAATTGGCATTTTCATACATTGCTGGTAGGAATGTAAATAAGAATCACTTCTACGCAGGGCAACATCTATCAACATTTTCAGTCAAATATCCTTTTGCCAGCAAATCTAATTCTAAGACATTATCCCAGAGAAGTATTCCCATATGTCGAAATGACATATGTGCAAGGATATTTGTTGTACATTGTTTGCAACAACAAAAGATTAGAAACTACCTAAATATACATTAATGGAGACTTGTTGAGTTATAATCTATCCATACAATGGTACACTCTGTAGCTGTGAAAAAGCAGGAAGCAGCTCTATTTGTGCTGATGTAATTATTAAGAAATATTGTTTGCTCAAAAAGCAAGAGGCACTCAATATTCCTTTCTGGAATTGCCTCTCATCAATTCCTTTTATTTGTTCCTAAACATCCAAGTCTTCAGAATGCATCCAAGCTTGTTATTCTCCTTCATGATTATCACCTTTCTCCCAGGTGGTTTTCTCTGACCAAAATGCTACTTTTTGCCCCCACCTTCTTTTTTGGGGGAGTACCTAGTCCTCCTTTAAACTCAGCACAGTGTCATTGCCTCCAGGAAGCCTTTCCTGACCTGTGATTTAAGATCCTCTTTTGATGCTGTGGTCCTCGTTCAGACGACATACTCAGTGTGGCTTACCACACTGCACTGTAACTGTCTGGTTATTGGCTACCTCCCCCATTTGCTGTGAGCTCCTTGAGAAAAGGAACCTTGTCTGCCTTATGTCTGTATGAGCTACGCCCAGCACCAGGACTGGCAAAGTTTAGATGCTCTGTAAATGGATAGATGGATGGATGAATGAATGACATAGATAATCTACTCCCCACCATAGCGTGGATGATCTTTTAGAAATGAAAATTGGGGGCCGGCTGCAGTGGCTTATGCCTGTAATCCCAACACTTTGAGAAGCCGAGGTGGGCAGATCACCTGAAGCCAGGAGTTTGAGACCAGGCAGGCCAGCATATAGTGAAACCCCATCTCTACTAAAAATACGAAAATTAGCTGGGTGTTGTGGCACATGCCTGTAGTCCCAGCTACTTGGGAAGCTGAGGCAGGAGAATTGCTTGAACCTGGGAGGCAGATCATGCTACTGCACTCCAGCCTGGGTGACAGAGTGAGACTCTGTCTCTCAAAAAAAAAAAAAAAAAAAAAAAAGTAAATTGGATCATATCACTCCCTTACATAAAAACTTCAAATGCACATAAATAAAACTCAAACTCCTAAGAAAGAAAAAGAAAGCAAGGGAAAGAATAGCGTGTTTAGAATGGTGTCATTTGCAGGCTTGAGAAAGAACAAACATGGCAGGGTGGAGGGAGATGTTCTCACTATACACCCCATGTACCTCTTGGCTTCTAAAATATATGCATAGAAGTACAACAATATTTTATTCCTTCCTGTATTTCCAAAATGTTCTAAAATGAGCATGTACTTCTTGTTGTAATCATTTAGAGAAAACCTCAAAAATAAAGGACTTAATTTCCACGTAGTCTTTGGAGTTAGCTCCTCATTGTTTTAAAGCTATGTTTCTTCGTCTCTCGCTTTGGTGTTCCAAATGAACAGTTTGAAAAATAGCAAGCCTCATTGCTCCCTTTAAAAATGCACACCAATTTTCTTTGCTTGGATCTAATAATCACTAAATTTTCTTCCTATTTTAACATTTATTGTTTACGTCAGCGGCTCTTAATCTTTATTGTGCCAGAGATCACACCTGGGAGGCTGTTAAAATGCAGATTCTCAGGATTCTACCCTCAGACATTCTGAGTCAGTGGGGGCCCTGGAATCTGCATTTTAACATTACTACAGGAGATTCCTATGCAGGTGCGTGGTCTATAGACCATACTTTTCAAAACGTTCATCCATGACTTGTTAAGGAAAGAGTATTTTTCACATAGAAGTGAAAATCCTATATAGTATAGAATTTAGGACTGCAAGTGATCTCTCCCTTGAACACACACACACACACCTTACACCTTTATAAACATTCACATTATGTCCTGTACTTTATAATACAGTTTGTGTGCACTCATCTTGTCTTCTCTCTCAGATTTTTGAGAATGGGATCCAAGTCTTTATGTAGCCTAGTGCTCCAAAGTTGTGAAATAAAATTATGTGTGATAGAAACCAAAGCATATGGTTCAAAAGTTACTTTCTTTGGCTTAGGGAGTTGGTTTTCTCTGCCAACTATGTAAATTCTTAGTCATTCCACCTCCCCTTCCCGCAAAGCTTAGCTATGTGCAAGCAACTGTAACACTGCCTGCTAAGTCTAGAGAGGGGCTGCTGTTTTATTTTTAAATACATATATAAATCACTTCTGGTAGCTTTCTATGCCTTTCCCAGGACCTCTGATGGGCCCTTTCCTCTGTGAGTTTTAAACTGAAAAAAACATCTGAAAAAGCAGCACAAGCGGTTGAGATAAACATCCCAGAGGGTTTTCCACATTACGTAAATTTTCAAGTGTGATGTGAAGGGACCCGTGAGGTATAGTGGCAGCTCTACGCCACCGCCTGGCGGCAACATGCTTCATGACATCCCAACCCCACCCCTGCATCCCCGGGCTCTTAGGGACGCTCATCCTATGCAGGAGCTCATATGTGTGTGTCCCCAGCAGCGCCAAATCCAGGGCATCTACAAATATTTGCTGGTATGAGTGGCAGGAACTAAAAACACACAGCTCGAATTTTGATGTCTTCTGCCCAACTGAGGGTCACTGGTTCTTTCAATTCTGTAACTTTCTAAGATTTTGCAGCACAGAGCTTTTTGATTGACGCACAGATCAGTCAAAAGGCAAATGTGAAAGACAGCCTATACTCAAAGCATAACTCTAATAGCACAAAATACACATGCCTAAGTCATCACTGGCAAAGCTCCAAAGCTTTTGAGAAAGATCATTATACCCATCCACAGGGCCACTCACCCCCACCCAAACCTGAAACACTTAGAATAGGTCAGGGCTAGCATGAAAGTGATTGAGTCCCAGAGGTATAGCTCAATGACTTGGCCTAAAGAGCAGAGAGAAAAGAGAACTGAGTAAAGGTTTACCAGTGTGAAGGATGCTCACATAGGCCTCCAGGGACTCCACATCCACTGAGATTAGGAGACAAAATAACCCCAGATGGCGGGGATGGGGGTGGCAAAAGTTCTTTCAGTAAACATAAAGAACTTCCTAGGAAGTACCTGGAATCTTCTTTAGGGGTTCACTAGAAACAAATTATCTTTAGTTGGGAATAAATGATGGCCCTGCCCAAGGTTGGGGGTGGGGAACACACTTGATGGTATTTTGGGGTCCCTTCCAACTTTAGATGTAGAGTCTTGTTGAACAGTCCCTATCAATAGGCAAGATGGGATAATGTGAATAAAAGCAAAAACCAAGTTACTTGTTAGACTTGGACACAAACGACTTCACTCGTGTATAAAGCTATCACAGTGACTGCATCTACCTCTGGGATTTCAAGTTCCCTGATGACAGAAGAATCCTTTAATGGAAGCTGCATGCTGGGTTAATGGTCAGGCTGTGAGTGGAAATTCTGAGATCAATAGGCCTAAATTCGGAAAATCAAGGCTGCACCTAAAACCTAATGGTCTGATCAGAGCACCAAATACTTATTGTTCTTTCTTCTTCTCCCTGCCAGGCCATTAATTGATTCACACACTATTTTTCCTAGAAGTTAATGCCATCATTACATGCACCTTTGGTAAGAGGTTAGAAGTGACAAATTGTTCACAGAAAATCTCATGCAAGATGGGTTTGAGGCAATCTAGACTCCACCTCAAAAACAGCTGCATTTCAAAAATCACTACTGAGGTCCACCCATAGGTCAAGTCTCATGCGTGCTTAAGTCTTTACCCCACTGGGATTACTAATTGGATCAAACCTAATTCAGAGTTACAGGCATTTTGTTTTAGGGGAAAGTCTGAATTATATGTTTTTAAAATACAAATTAGTTCTTTCCTACAGCAATGCTTACTGCCCTGAGCACTGCAGTAAAACTTAAGATTAGGGAATTACTCCCTTGTATGGGGCTTTTATGAAACAGAAAAGCCCAAGGAAAGTATCAAGAAAATTAAGAAAGCCTTAAGAAAATAAATCAGTCAACAAAATTGTATCTTAAATACAATCAAAACTTCATGTTTAATAGGGATTCATCTGTTTCCCATACTTTTTACATGTTCAGTTCAGACAGAACTCATGGAAGAAAAGACTTTTCTGTGAGATAGAACAGACCATCTGCTTGACCGGATGGCTCTGAGGGACAGCCAAACTCCCAATGGCCAAAGGGCTGTGAGGAAGGGCAACACATATCAGAAGAATTTTCAGCAAGGGCTGAAACACAGTAAGGTTAGCCACAAAATGGAATGAGAGAAGCCCTAACCCAATGGGAGTTTGCCTAATTTTAATGAACCCAAACTCTAACATTGTACTGGAAAAGCAGCATTAAAATCCAGCCTGATTATCACAATTTACAGAATTTCTCACCAGAGGCCCACAGGTGAAAAAGCTGCTTACTCTAAAGCCCTTAGAACCGTATTGTGAACTGCGCATGCGAGGGATCTAGGTTGCGTGCTCCTTATGAGACTCTAATGCCTGATGATCTGAGGTGGAAGTTTCATCCTCCACCACCACCCCGTCCATGGAAAAACTGTGTTCCACAAAACTGGTCCCTGGTGCCAAAAAGGTTAGGGACTGCTGCTTTAGAATATAAGAAACAACTCAAGCAGCCAACGGGTCTGGAGTTAACACTTCCAGCCCTCCCCTTTGTACACACTCAACACTTCTTGCTGAACTGGCCGTTAATAACCACTTGTGAAATCCCTCCCCACACCTGCACTTAGGCGTTTGTCTCTTCCTACCTTCCTTTACTGAGTAGTGGCAAAATAATAGGAGAGTGGAAGATGGTGATGGGCAATGAAGAGGGACCTATTTCTGAAGAGGAGATGTTTTAAAGATATTTTATTTTTCAATACCAGTAATGACTGAAAATTAAAGAATTAAAGCAGGAAGCAAAACAAAAACAAACAAGAAACCCAAAACTTGCAACCTAAACTCTCCGGGAAAAAAAAAATTGCTATAAATGTTAAAAGACTTAAAGAGAACATTGACAATGCAGCCCTGATGTACCTAATCATACTTCAAACTGCTGGATGTTTTAAGCTGAGAATCTCCCCAGTGCCTTTCTAGTGCTCTAAAATCATCTCCCAAACAGATGAGAAATGAAACAAACAGGTCTCCCTTCTTGAGTACATAATTTTTATAAATTGCGTCGGACCCACAGTGAATGTATTTTAGAGAGTTTCACCAAAACTATCAAAGATCAAATGGCAGCAAAAGATCAGGGAAAGAAGGTAGAAAAACTATGCAGTCACAGAGCTAACCCGCAAGCTGCCCTTAGTCCTATACACCTGAAATCAAATCCATAGCCAATGGTGAGGAAGACCACATCAGAGGTTAGCTGCATGACAGCACAGCTGGGTCCTATCTCCCTGCCAGGGGTCTCAACTGTAACTCGCGCTCCAACTGCTCTGCAGTCAGGGTGCCCTGGATGGCTTCACAGCCTGGATTGAACACAGAGTAGGCGCTCTTCTCTCCCTCTTTCTTCTCTTCAGGGCCTCGTGTCCCGACGTACATCCAATAGAACAAGGACAGGACAAAATATGCCAGGCCAAATTCCAGTTCCACAAACAGTCCCAGCAGGACCAACCAGAGAAGAACCTTCAAGAAGGTGATATTGGTCAGGAAAGACTGGTCCCAGCACGACGGCAGAGGAATGGCTGTGTTCCATGGTGTCTCTGATGTGCTGCCCTGGGGCTGAGCCGCTTCCTAGGATACACAAACAAACAAAAGAAAGAATAAAGGGTAATGGAGCTGAGATGATCAAAACTAATCTGAAAAGGCAGTTTTCATTGCTCTGAGAAGGCTGCTGGCTCATTGATTTCTATTCTTTCATGCAACTCTCTAAAACAATCATCTCCAAAGAACCTATGTGCTCTACTCCAACTGAATCAAAACTGATCAGCACTTAGTGAGATGTGACCTAATAAAAGCCCTACGTATTCAGACAGATTCTTATTCGTGGGAGTCATTTCTTCAGATTAGTCTGCTGCTAAGAAGAGCTAATTTGTGCCCCATACAGAAACTCCTGAATAACTGATAATGCAACAGTCATGACAAATGCTTCAAATACAGAGTCAATATACCTTTGTTGATTGGATTAGATGACCTAAAATATTACAAGTGACATGATTCTAAAATAGAGACAGGAAACAAAAATCCTTTTTACGTTTAAAAAAAAAAATCAGCCAGGTGCACACCTGTAATCCCAGCACTTTGGGAGGCTGAGGCAGACAGATCACTTGAGCTCAGGAGTTTGAGACCAGCCTGGCCAACATGGTGGAACCTCATCTCTACTAAAAATACGAAAATTAGCCAGCATGGTGGCACACGACTGTAATCCCAGCTACTCAGGAGGCCAAGGCATGAGAATCGCTCAAACCTGGGAGGCGGAGGCTGCAGTGAGCTGAGATTGCACCACCACACTCTAGCTTGGGCAACAGACCAAGACACTGTCTCAAAAACAAACAAAAACCACTGTTACAGCCATTACTGGGCCCCCTTACCTTCCCATCCCGTGATTAACCTACACAGGTCATTGTCACTCACCCAAGGCCCAGCCAATGTCTCCTAACTAGACTCCCTGCCTCCTATCTCTTCCCTCCCCAAGCCATCCTATGTACAACTGCTAAATGAATTTTCTTAAAGACCTATTACCCTCCTGTTCACAAACCTTCAAAAACTTTCACTGTCTACAGGATAAAATCCAAACTCCTTGGGCTGGAACCCAAGACCCTCAATTTGTTCAACAGATTGAAATGCCAGTAGACAGGCCCCTGTGCCAGATGCTAATGGCAGACACAGGTATTTAGACAGCTCTGTGTCCAGTCCACTGTTTTCGGAACTCTTTTGAACATGACCTACAATAAGGAATACATTTTAGACTGTAATCCAGAATACATATATGCAACAAAGTTTCACAAGTCAACACTTACCCTCCCTGAGACATTCTCTTGTATTTCCTATTCTACTTTAAAAACATTTTTAATAGGGAACAAGATCTTCTATATTAATTTCACCATCCACTAATGGGTCACAGTGGTCTAGGAAATTCCATGACAACACGATCCACAATCTTTTGTTCCATAAATGACCCTTCTTCTCCAGCTTAACTGGTCTTATTACCCAAAGATATTCTCAGTCCTCATCTCAAGCCTAGAATTCCGTCCACTTCCTCTTTCTTCCTTAACTCTTTGCCTTCCTTCCAGGCAAGCACCGTTCATGAACTGTCAGCCCTGACCTCCCTGGGCATCAGGGAGGGTGCCCCCTCTGCCTCCCCCAGAACTAGCTCTCCCGTTCATTAAGCACCAAACTATTCAGCACTACAGTGTCTCTCTTTTACTATAGGTCATGTCATGTATGATGCCAGATTGTTTAAGTACCAGGAAGCCACGTGTCTCCAGATCCAAACATGGCATCCCATACTTAGGTTCTCAATTCATAGCAGAACTTTCAGTTCATCTCTTCAGTTACATCCCCTATTCTTCTTCACGTGCATATTTAAAAGGGGATCACAAATACTGGTCATCTGATTTATGATGTTTCAGAAGTTCTATTTTGTCAGAACCTTCTTTTTTAGCATCAACATTGTAATTATTATCTTTTCAGTTAGATTAGAAAGTCTGATTGGAGAGGCCCTTATATTATCAGCCACATCCCTGACCCCTGATACTCATTAAAGAAAGAAATGTCTGTTTCAGATTTGACATGCATGCACAGTATGCGTTCTGGCCCAAGAAGAATGCATCTGGGCAGTGTTCTGGGCAAAGGGGAGAGTAGCATGAGATGACGGGGCTAAGGAGGGAGGGCATGAGGGTGGGAGCCAGATAAAGTAGGGCCAGGCAGGTTGCAGTGAAGATTCTGGAAATGGGAAACAGCTGAAGGTCTAAGCAGGGAACTAACCAAAAGCATGAAATCCCTGGTGCTAAAAAGGTTGGGGAGGAGGCCTAGCAAGAGAGAGCCAGACATTGACCAGGGTGGTGACAGCAGTCAGATGGAAATAGTGGACTGATGGACACAAAATACATTCTGAATATACATGCTGAGATTCACAATAAACTAAATTTATCATTTAGGGAGTATAAAAAGAAGAATGTTCCTATGTCACCATTTACTGAGAGCCTTCCAATGTATGAACTCTGGTAATCCAGGAAGCAGGCATTATTATTCCCAACTTACTGATAAGAAAACACTGAGAGGTTAAGTAATTTCCCTAAAGCCATAAAACTAGTGATAGGCAGAGATGAGGTCAGTCTCGGATCCTAGGATGGTCTCCTCCAAAATATATTTTATTTAATTAGGGGCCTTTATGGGGGGTGGCAGGAGAAAGGTTAGGGAGCTAGAGGTAGATGGGTGTGGGGGTGGGGGGGTAAACAAACTGACGAAGGGAACAAACAAGAGGAGAGATACGGACATTCTTCTGCCTCATTTGGAACTTGTCGGAGTACCAGTTCCCTTCTGCTGTAAAACCTGGGTGAAGAAGTGTTTGTGACTGTTACATCACACACAGGCATGGCCCAAGGAAGGCACTGCCATTCCTCAAATATCAAGCTGCTTCTTACCTTAGGGCCTCTGCACTTGTGGTTCCCTCTGAGAGGAATGCTCCCTTCCCCTCATATCACTTGGTTGACCCCTCCTACTACAAACGGCAAAAATGTCACCGTATGTGCCCTTGGCTTAGTCCCCGTTTTTGCCAGGGTGGTTCCTTCTTGTTAAATGTCTCCTCCTTAGTGAGTTCTCCCTGCTCAGCTGATTTAAAATAGTACTCTGCTCCCCTCACCCCTAATTCACTATCACAGTCTACTGGTTTTATCTTTTTTCTTTCATAGCATTTATCTGGTTTTGTTTATTGTCCTCCTTTCCCTGCTGCCCCAAGCTCAAATGCAAGTTGTACAAGAGTAGGACTTGTGTGTCTTAATTACACTGTCTCCCAGGATTTAGAACAAAAGCTGGAACACAGCGGGCACATGACAAGATTTTTGTTGAATGAATGAATGATAGTGAGGGAAAGGAAGAAATTCAAGATGACTACTAGATTTTGCGGGGGTGAGGCACAGCTGTGCTTAGCCAGGCGACTCCAAAGGAGAGCCTTTGAGCAGAAGGCCAGCCTGAGCCAAGGCCTGGAGGTCAGGAGTGGTGGATGGGTATGGGAAATGGGTTCTGGGGCAGGGTGGTGTGCTGGGGGCTTGCCTGGGATATGGCTGGAGAGGGAAGCAGGAGGTTTCTGTAGGAATTTTTAAAAGTTACCAGCATTTTTGTCCTAATGTGGAAGAAGCTCGTCACAGAATTATTTCAGGAAACTGCTTTTCTCCAAGCAAAATCTGGTAGTGGGAAGGAGGATGTAGATACTTCCTCATCAATGACTGCTGAAAAGATGCAGCGGCATTGTCAGTCACAGCGAGGCCCGGGTCGGGGCAGAGGCATCATTGCAGTCAGAGCTTGGCCCAAATGGAGGCCGCAGTGGCTTTGTTGCTCCAAATGACATGGTTTAGTTATTTTGATGGCCAAAGAGTATTCTTTGTGCATATACATTACAGTTTCTTGATCCCTTCATCTGTAGATGGACAGGAGATAAAGTTTTTGGAATCTCCATGCCTGAGATTAAAAGGTGTGGGACTTCCTCTACCAGGCTCATTTCCTTGGACCTAATATCCTCTGGGTTTCTTGGGTTTCTCCACATGGCTGTGGATGACAGGATTTCCCAAAGCTTTATGGCTGAAGCATATTCCATAGTGTATCTGTATGGTGGTTTCTTTATCCCTTCAGCTGTGGGTGGACAGGACAGGTCATTTACCATGATGTCCTCTAGGTTCAACAGTGTGGCTGCAAATGATGTAATTTCATTACATTTTTCTGGATGAAGAGTATTCCATTTGTGTATATATACTACAGTTTCTTTATCCCTTCATCTGCGGATGAACAGGTTTCTCCACATGGCTGCAAATGACAGGATTTCATCCACTTCTGTCGTGGAAGGGTATTCCATTCTGGATATATATTTCAGTTTTGTCATCCCTTCATCAAGGGATGAACAGGTTCAACTGTGTGGCTCCAGGTGATATGATTTCAGTATATGTGCACAGCTGAAGGGTATTCCATTGTGAATGAATACTACAGTTTCTGTATCCCTTCATCTGTGGATGAACAGGTCTCTCTCCACGTTGCTGGAAGTGGGGTGATGTCCTAAAGTTTGATGGCTGAAGAGTATTCCATTGTGCAAATATCCTGGAGTTTCTGTATTCCTTCATCTGTGGATGAACACGACTGCTTTACATTTGGCCTGTGCCAATGGCCATGTGGAAGTGGTCACTCTCCAGGTGAACTGAAAGTGCCAGACTGACATTGGTGACAAATGAAACAGGATGCCTTTGATGAAGGCTGTACATTGCCAAGAAGAGATTTGTGTCATCATTCTGCTAGAATGTGGCACCAACCCAGATCTTATGGATGTCTATAGCAACAATGCACTACACTATGCTGTGTATAATGAGAATACACTACTGGCAGAAAAACTGCCCTCACACCATGTGAATACTGAAGTGCTGAACAAGGATACTGAAGTGCTGAACAAGGATGCAAACACACCACTTTTACTTGCTATAGTTTGCAAAACACAGCAAAAGGTGGAATTTTAGTGAAGAAACAAGCAAATGTACATGCTGTTGATAGGTTGAAAAGAACAGCTCTCATGCCTGTTGTACATTATGGCTTGTCAGGTATAGTTAGCATTCTTCTTCAACAAAATATTGTCTTTACTCAAGAGTATGTATGAACAGACTGCAGATTATGCTATTTCTGGTGGTCTGACAAGCACTCACAACAAATTTTGCAACATTAAAAAAAAAAGATACTTGAAAATGGTCTTCAAAATGACAACCCAGAAGAAGCATCCAAGAAGAATGCAAGTTTGAAAACAGGAGGAGCAAGTGCAAAAGATTCTGGGAGTTCTGAAGCATCTGCATTCAGTATTTAAAAAAAAACTGTGTGTTGACTCATGGCCTAAACCAGATGATGAAGACTTGACTTTTACTACCAAGCAGTGTATCCCTGAGAGTGTTTCAAAGTCTTTACTTGGACCTTCATATAAAAAAGGAAAAAATATATAGTAAATGGAAAGGGAGAAGGGCCTCCTGAAAAACATCCTTCCCTAAAGCCTACCATGGAAATGAAAGATTCTGTTGTGAAGAAAGCAATAGAAAGGAAGAACGAACAAACATCCAAAGCAGAACAAGAAGTACAAGTGACATCAGAGGAAGAACAGGAAAAGCTTGAAAGTGAAAATAAACAGCCACAGGTTGAAGAAGCTAGAAAGAAGCACGAAAGTTAAAAAAAAAAAGTATCAAAAAAACGTATATGATAGTACATCTGCTGACGATGATGATAAATTAATTCAACAAAGAAAGAGTGGAAAAACTTACCATCAGCGATTTCCTAGGAAGGAGAACAAAGAGTATGCTAGGCCTGCAAAGAAAATGTCAAATGAAAAGAAAAAGGTCAAAAAGCAAACTCATTTAGAGATGAACCTGATGACTTAACTCGGCCCTCTGAAACAGCTTCAGAGGATCATGAGAAACCTTACCCTCATTGTAAGAAGTTTATGATGCTCATTAAGCAATATGGAATGGATTGTAATGATTCTCGTATCCTAATGGAAGTCCAGAATGCATTTCTTTCATGTGAAAAGTCACTGGACCTTAAAAAAAATTATCTGTGAACAACTTACACTAGACAATAAGAAATATGAAAACTGAGTTTAGTGTACTGAAGGAGCTATCCAAAACACAAGAAACGAAGTCACAGTTCAATATCAAAAAGTAGAATGGAAACAGGAACTCTACAGTTTGCAGCTTAGAAGAAGATGAGAAGAAATGCTAATATGTTATATGAAAAAATTAGGGAAGAGTTAGAAAGGAAAGTGGAGCAACATAGGAAAGAAGTTGAAGTAAAAGAACAGCTTAAACTGACTATCGGATCACTAGAAATAGAATTGAAGGCTTGAAGAAATACTTTAAGAAAAAAAAAGATCTGATGCATGAAAATTGCTTGTTGAAGAGAGATATTGCCTTTATTGTGTATGTAAGTATACACAATAAAAAATAGGAACCTCGAAAGGGAAAAAGGACATTGAAATTGTTAAAGAAATGAATGATGACCTTCAAGAGACTATAAAACTGAATGGAAAAACATTAACAAAAACAGTATCCCAGTATGGTCAACAGCTTAACGACCTCAAAACTGAGAATACAATGCTCAAGTCTAAACTGGAGAAGGAAAATCAAAACAAGGAAAGACTGGAAGCTGAAGTTGAGTCATTCCATGCTAGACTGGCTGCTGCTATAAGTGAGTGTGATCAAAGTGTGAAAACAAAAAGAGACCTAGAACTTGCTTTACAGAGAGCACAAGACGTTTCTTTACAAGAAAGAAAATGAGTTCTGATATTTCTGAACTAAAAGATAATAATGAGTTTTTAACTGAGCAACTTTCCGAAGCTCGAATTCAATACCCTAAAAAGTAAACTCCATGACACAAGAAATTCTCTCAGAGAAAAGGTTTTGGTTTTATAAAGTGTACAAAAGGACCTAAGCCAAGTAAATCCTTTGGAAAGTGGGACTACGTAGAGGAGAGAATATCTCAACTACAACATGAAAATCTGTTGCTTCAACAACTAGATGGTGCTCATAAGAAAGGGGATAATGAACAAAAGGTAATTAATATCCAAGGATGCTGTCTTGAGAGTGAAAAGGAAGGTCTTCTGCTAGAAGGGAAAAATAAGGAATTAATCAATGAATGCAATCATTTAAAAGACTGTTTCAGTATGAAAAAGAGAAAGCAGAAGGAGAAGTAAGTATCAAAAAAGATAAATATTTTCAAACTTCCAGAAGGAAAATTTAAAATATTTGGCTACGGCTACATGTTGAACCTAGTTGAATATAAAAATTAATAGACAAAAAATGTGTTTACCATACTGTATAATTCCATTTACATGAAACATCCGGAAAAGACAAATGTATAGATAGAAAGCAGACTGACATTTGTGCGGGGCTGGGGTTGGAAATGGGTAGTAACTGCTAATGTGCAAGAGGGGTCTTCTTGGAGTGATAGAGACGTTCTAAAGTTGCAGTGATGGTTGCATGACTCAATAAATTTACTAAAAATCTTTGAACTGTATGTTAAAAGAGATAAATTCTGTAGTATGTAAACCTTATTTCAATAAAGCTGTTTCAATTAAAAAAACAAAAATTAAAAATAATTTAAAAAAATAGAATGCTAAAGAAATCTCTGACAGGCCACAGTGTGCCATCAAAATTGTCTGACATGAATTGTAAATTAGACTTTTTCTTTTCTAAACTAGAGGCAGAATCTGAAGAAAAAAAATTAAATGAGAATTTTCACACCAGAGCAAACCCAGAAATGATAAGTCAATGAAAATGAGCTTAAGGCAGAGTCCCTTATGGAAAAACAGAGCAATTAACAAGAAACTGGAGGTCCAGCATTTCCTCTCATCCTTTTGTCTGGCAATCAGCGTTTGGGTTCTCAATAATGGAAGTTTTTCTCTGAATTCAGTTTCTCTGGGTCCACCTCAATGATCTCATTCCTTTGGAAATGAGACATACAGTCAAAAGTTCATTGCATGGGTTAGACATTGTTTTTTAACTGCAGAGAGAAAAAGAATAAGGGAAATGGTTTCTAAAATCTTAAGCAAGTGTTGTACTTAGAAAGTTCTAGTCAACAATAAAATTATCCAAAGACAATTAACACAAACTGCACACAAGGAAATGGATTGTCTGAACTCTGCTGCGCTCTTTTCACCTTTCTGCAAGTCAGCTGGAATCCTGTATATCACTGAGAATATCAAATCAAAATTGAGTAATAGGTTCAGTAATTTTTAAAAATTCCCTCAAATCAAATGTTGTGCAATAATAGATGAACTTACAGGAAATAATTTTAAGGTGAGCAAGGTACACTTTTCTTCCAGTATATTTTCATTTTAAAAGGAATTTTTTAGTTCTTATTGCACTTATGAGGAACAAAGCACTGGGCACAAATTGTTACAAAGCACTCATCCCTTGATATGTTTTGTCTTGTATTTCCACATAGACATTTCAACCTCACTGCAAGCCACCTTACCATTTTACTGAGTTAAAACTAAATGAAAACACAAA
The DNA here is from genome assembly GCF_000001405.40 of Homo sapiens. Classification (NCBI taxonomy): domain Eukaryota; kingdom Metazoa; phylum Chordata; class Mammalia; order Primates; family Hominidae; genus Homo; species Homo sapiens. Next base: position 39,114,230 of record NC_000006.12, read on the forward strand.
AGGATGCAAATTAAATTCATCTGCAAAACAAGAGATTACCAAAACAATTAAATGTGAAAAGGTTATCATACTAAATCACTTTTTTTTGTTTGTGTCTTGAACATTCACTATGGAACTGGAATAAGCTTCTGCCACTACCGGCAGTTACAGCTACCACACTTTGGTAAATTCTGTATTCAAACGCATTTCTAAGTCACAGGCTATCTGGGCTACTAGCTGCATGTGCCCCAGGTGCGAATCAAATGAAGTTTTAATTACTGCTACTTGTGATCGGTATCCAATTAGACCTTTTACCCTCCTCCATTAGCAGAGGGCTGTGGCTCAACTTGGTTGTGGAGAGGTTTCCCAATGCCACAGGGCGTCACGATAACTCAATTCGGAGTGAATAATTTAAGAGCAGAGGTGCTTTCTCCCAGGACCCTCGACTCTCGCTGGAATCAGGACCTGCGTGGGTCGCGGGCTGGAAAGAAAATGTCAAAACTGGTAACAGTGCTGACACGTGTGGCCGGAGATGAGCGGTCCGGCCCTCGATCAGGATGGGGGGCCAGTAGCCCCGCCTCCGGCAGCTAGGGCCACACCCCCGGCAGCTAGGGCCGCGCCCTCGACTGTGGCTCCGAGGCCAGGTCCTAGGGCCGAAGTTTCCATCGTCTCACCTGAACTAGGCCGGGCTGGGCCCGGGCACTCGCGGGCCTAGGTTTCCATACCAGGAACCGCTTTAGCCAGCCTGGGGCTGCCTTTAGAGTCGCTGCTGCTTCCGCCTTCTCTCCTGGGGTTTGTGCGCCCTGACTGGCAGCAGGGGGTTGGGCCGCCAGACCCGCCCGTTTCCGCGCCGCCCGAAACTCAGCTAACCGCTGTTCCATGGCGCGCGCCTCGCGTCCGTTGGCCGATAAGGGAGCGCGCGCCCGCAGGCCGCACAGCAGTTGCCTCCGCTCGGCCCGCGCCGGCCGCCGTGCGCCTGCGTGGCAGAAGCCCCTGCTGAGCATGCGCACTGGTGTGACCCGCGTCTCCTCCGTTTGTGAAGTCTGGCGGGTCGCGTGTATACTCAGCCGTTCTCTCTTCACAGGCACGTGGACACAGTGTCACCTCCTCAAGCCAAGTCTAAAGCACAGGGCTGCCCCATTGCCCTCTCCCAAAGGCCGCTCTGCCTTGCTGCATCTCACTTAAGGGCTCGAGGCCCCACTGATCCAGCGTCCTGTATTCGGGATCTCTGTTGCTGGGCCCCAATGAACAGCGCCACAGTGAGAAGATGGTTCCAGGGGTTAGGAGAGGCCCGTGATCTCTACGACATTCCAGCGTCAGAGGAATAACAGGCTACATCTTACCCTTTTTCTCTTATCAAGGAAAGGGTATGCCAATCTTAGTACCTGGAGGGTGACTTTCTCACTGCTCACAAAGCAGGCTGTGCAGCTCCATCATTGGTCTTGCCACGTTGGGAAATTATCTCGTTTTGTGTCTAGATACGTCAGAACCTTAAAAAAACCAACAACAAAAACTTTTATTGGGGTGCAACATAAAATACACATCTTAAGAATATGACTCAGTAGATTTGCTCTTATGTATGCACCTGTGTAACTACCACCCAGATGGAGAGAAAGAACATTTCTGTACTCTGGGAGTTTCCTTGTGCCCTCTCCCAATCAGTACCCTCCCAAAAGGACACAGTTCAGGTTAGGGGCTGTTTTATACGTTCTTAAAGCTGTAAGCATCTAGCTAAGTGTCACTTACATAATTAAGACTCAAATATTTGTTGGATCTGGCTGAGGGTGACTCGAGAAATTAGACAAATTAGAACAGAGTCATCCATTCATTTAACAGACGTTTACCTAGGGCCTGCTCTGTCTAAAGTCACAGGCACTGGGGATGCTGGGATGAAAGGAAAAAACAAACAAAAACCTGTTTTCTTAGAGCTTACACTCCAAATGGAAATACAGACAATAAACAAATGTGTATCTACATATTTCATGTCATATCAGGTACTGATAAGTGCTGTGAAGAAAAGTGAAGCAAAGTAGGCAATGGTGGAGGTATTAGAGAAGACCTCCCTGAAGGTTTGTCATTTGGGCATAGACTTAAATGAGTGAGGTATGTAGATATCTGAACAGGAGTGTTTCAGTCAGAGGAACAAGTGCAAAGGTCCCGAGGCCTCAAATAGCACGCTTGACTTGTTCACAGAACATCAGGGAGGCTGTTATGACTGGATTGGAAGGAGGGAGAGGGAGGCAGGGAGGGAGGGAGGGAAGGAGGGAAGGAGGGAGAGAGGGGGAGAGAGGGAGGGAGGGAGGGAGGAAAGAGTGACAGAAAATAAAGATGCCAGGGGCAAGATCGTGCATGTAAGGCCCTGTAGGCCATGGTGAAGACTAAGTGTGGTGGGAAGCAGTTAGTGGATTTTGAGCAGGAGATGATATGATATGACATATTTTTAAAGGATTACACTGGCTGATGGAGGTGGGACCCTGGAAGATTGCAAGAATAGAAGAAGGGAAACTAGTTAGGAATAAATATGGTAGAATGAGAAACTGTAGTAGTTTGAGCTAGAGTGGTAGTGATGGAGGTCACGAGAATTGGTCAGATTCTGAATGTATTTTGAAGACCTGAGCCAACATGGTGTGAGACGGATTGGATGTGGAATGTGAGGAAAAAAGGTATCAAGGATGACAGGGCCAGCCATCGTGGCTCACGCCTATAATCCCAGCACTTTGGGAGGCCAAGGCAGGGGGATCGCTTGAACCTAGGAGTTCAAGACCAGCCTGGGGAACATAGCAAGACCTCATCGCTATTAAAAAAAAAAAAAAAAAAAAAGGATGACAGGTTTCTTCCATTACTACCCCACTCCTCCTGCCCCCCCATATACATACACACATGCCCTGAGCAACCAGGCAAATGATGCTGGGGCCCTCTATTGAAATGAGGGCACACTGGGAGGAGAGAATTACAGAATAAACACTGGAAGTTTTGTTTTGGACATACAAAGAACTTGGGATGCCTATTGGATATCCAAAAAATAGGCAGTTAGATAGTGAAAATGATTTGAGGGGAAAGTCAGGACCGGAGGCACACACTGGGAGTCATCAGCATGTGTATATTTAAAGCTGTAAGACTAGATAAGATCAAACAGTGAGTGTGGATAAGAAGAGATTTGAGGGCTGAGCCCTGAGTGGATTAGAGATGGTTTGTAAGAGAAAAGAATGGGATTATTACACCACAATGTCCTCTCTTTGAGAAACCACAAGAGGAAATTTCTTGCCCATTTTGGTGTCAGGAGTATGTCTGCTTCTCTTGAGAGATGGGATTCTTTAACCGATTTTGTCTCCCACTTGATAATGACTCTAAGACCTTAGGCCCGCATCTTGCAGGTGTATAGAATTAAGGCATACAATTTGTGGGCGGTTGCAGTCAGGGTCCCTGACAGGAAACGTGGCACCTTCCAAAGGGTGAAGTAAGAAGGGCTTAGTGAAGGAGTAAGTTACAAAGGTGTGGCAGGATGAAGGAAGCCAGCAAGGGATGGTTCACAGGAAGTGCTACCTGTCTCTAGGCCCAAAGCATCAGGAGGACAGAGCAGTTATCAGAACCCAGTGAGCCCTGTAGCTATAGGAGAAGCAAGGAGACACAGGAGCCCTTCAGGGAGCATAGAACAGGTAGAGAAGGGTGGAAAGAGGATCAGAAGAGGCAAACAGAACATCCAGGCCAGAGCTAATGTGGTTCCTGCTCTGTCTTGCTTTGGAAACCTTATTTTCTTTTTGCTTTGTTTTATTTATTATGAATTTACTTTTACTTGGTGCTTTGTAAGCCTCTTTAAATCCTTTTTGGAAGAGGTTAAAAGAATAGAAAAAAGAAAAGATGAAAGAGACCATCATGAAGAACAACTCCTGCCAAGCCAACTTTATTTCCTCTTTGGACGGGATTATGAGACTAGTAAATAAGAAGGGTCCCCAAAATGTGCTTAATGTGTGAATTTCATTAATTTTTATTATGAAATATTTTGTAAATGCCACATTTTACATATATATAATGTATATGCCATATACATAACATATATAATGTGTATGTGTCATACATATAAGTTATAAATAAAATACCCACATGATATGGTTTGGATCTGTGTCCCTGCCCAAATTTCATGTCAAATTGTAATCCCCAGTGTGGAGGTGCGGCCTGGTGAGATTGGATCATGAGTTTTTTTCTAATGGTTTAGCACCATCCTCCTAGTGCTGTCTTGTGATAGAGTTCTCACTAGATCTGGTTGTGTAAAAGTGTGTGGCATGGCTGGGTGCAGTGTCTCACGCCTGTAATCCCAGCACTTTGGGAGGCCAAGGCAGGTGGATCACTTGAGACAAGGGGTTTGAGACCAGCCTGGCCAACATGGTGAAACCTTGTCTCTACTAAAAACATAAAAATTAGCTGGGCATGGTGGCACACGCCTGTAATCCTAGCTACTCGGGAGACTGAGGCATGAGAATTGGGTGAACCCAGGAGGTGGAGGTTGCCGTGAGGTGAGATCGTGCCACTACACTCCAGCCCGGGCAACAGAGCGAGACCCTGTCTTGGAAAAAAAAAAAATTGTGGCACTTTCCTGCCCCTTCTCTCTTCCTCCTGCTCCAGCCATGTAAGACCTGCATGCTTTCCCTTCACCTTCTGCCATGATTATAAGTTTCCTGAGGCCTCCCCAGCTATGCTTCCTATATAGCCTGCAGAACTGTGAACCAATTAAACCTCTTTATAAATTACCCAGTCTCAGGTGTTTCTTCATAGCAATGCAAGAATGCACTAATACAGGCCTTGTTATAGAATTGAGTCATTGGCCCGATTCTATATTCCTATCTGTATCCACGCCGTAAAAGGCAGAGTAGACTTCCCCATTCCTTGACTGTAAACTCAGCCATGCAGATTGCTTTGGCCAAATGGGATGATGGCAGAAACTACGTGAGCAGGAACTTGAAGTGTGTTTGTCCTGTTAAATAAATTCTCTTAATATTCCACATTTCCATGAGATGAACTTGCAACAGCTAGCCAGCTAATCCAAGAATAATGAAAGACATCTAGGTTGTGGTCACCTGGCTGACCCAGAGACTTGCAGTTTAAAGCTGAGCTGCCCAACTGAGCACAGCCTCAAATAGCTAACCCCCAGCTTACCCTAAAATGTATGAAAACAAATGCTTATTTTACATAACTGAAATTTTGCAGTTGCATGTTACACAGCAAATGCTAACCAATACATACATACCCAATACCCAAGAAGAACATTTTAAGTTCCCTGTGTCCCTGTATGCTCATTCTTGATTCCCCACTCCTTTAATCTATTAGTGTGGTGGGGTATAGTAATCGATTTTCTGTTGTTAAATCATCCTCCATTCATGGAATAAATAAAACTCAAATCACTTTATAAAACATAAAACTCAAAGCTAAATTCAGTTTGAGAATTTTCTAGAAATTTTACATCTTTTGTTCATTAGTGAGATTTTCCTATAATTTTCTTTTCATGTGCTGTCCTCAATTTTAGATAGATTTTGCTAGCCTTATGAAATAAGCTGAAGTGTGCCTCCATCTTCCACACCCCCCACCCAAATTTTCTAGAACAGTTTGAACAAAATAGGAATTAACTGTTTCTTTAATATTTTGGTCGGACTTAGTAGTAAAACCATCTGGACCTGGTGTTTCCTTGTATCAGGTAAATAAATGTAATCTACAATTAACTGGATTCATAGCTGGTCAATTCACCCTTACCCAAAAAGGGTCAAGAAATGGATCAACATTGCTCTGTCCTGTTTGATATTTTTAGGAGTGTCTTGGGTGAAAATATGAGAGAGAATTTATCGTTTATTCAGGTGACAAAAATTTGGTAGAGAAGATCTGCAGTTATGCCTTTAGGGTAAAAAATAAACCAAAATGAATTTGATTCAATTTATTACGATTAAAGCATTGTGGGGATGCTCAGAGGGAACTGTGCTTCCTTCTAGATTTGCATTTATGTTTTTATATTATTGTTTTTGTTTCTTAATCATTGGCTTGGGAGCAATTTGTTTCAATAGGACTTGGAGCCTTTCCCTGACCACAGACTGGGTAGGAGGAGGGTTATATGGGGAATGTTTCAGCTGCTACTATGAATCCCATTTTCAAAGTGAGAGAGGATATAGTTTTTTTTTTTTTGAGACAGTCTCACTCTGTCACCCAGGTTGGAGTACAGCGGCACGATCTCAGCTCACTGCAACCTCCGCTTCTCGGGTTCAAGCGATTCTCGTGTCTCAGCCTCCCAAGTAGCTGGGACTACAGGCACGAGCCGCCACACCTGGCTAATTTTTTATATTTTTTGTAGAGATGGGGTTTTGCCATGTTGGCCAGGCTGGTCTTGAACTCCTCACCTCAGGTGATCTGCCTTCCTCAGCCTCCCAAAGTGCTGGGATTACAGGCATGAGCCACTGCACCCAGCCCAAGGATGTATTCTTGATACCCCCATGTATTCATGCTCTCTTTGGTCCTATCCTTGCAGGTACCACATACCAAGTTCTGAGCACTATGCTTTATATGACAAACCATATAAAGCAGAGGGGGGTAGCCTGGATAATGATGTGTCTAGAGCAGGATTTCTCAGCCTTGGCACTTTTGATGTTTTGGGCCAGAAAATCGTTGTGGGGGTTGTCCTGTGTCTCGTAGGATTCTTAGCAGCATCCTGGCCACCACCCACTAGTTGCCGGTAGCTTCTCCCTTAGATGTAACAACCAAAAATGTCTCTAGATAATGCCAAATGCCTCCTAAGAGGCAAGTTTGCCCCTGGTTGAGAACCACTGGTCTAAAGACCACATTGTAGTAAGAATGGTAAAGGCAGTGAGTGATTTGGGCCAGAGAGGGAGATTCACGGTGAAAACATACCAGTTTGTTTTAGAAACTCTGTTAGAAGTGCTGTTGTGGCCCTCTGGGCGACTATCTTCCAGTCTTCCAACAGGCTAGACAGGAAATTCGCCAGGCTGCTAATCTTCTCTTGCCTACTCCAGATTCCCAGCCATATGAAGACACCCTAGCTGGACGATCAGTTCTTGTTAAGAATCTGACCCCTCAAACTCTACAACCTCGATGGACCAGACCCTCCTTAGTCATCCATAGTACCCCAATTGCAGTCTGCCTGCAGGACCCTCCCCATTGGGTTCACTGTTCCAGAATAAAACTGTGTCCATTGGACAGCCAACCTGATTTCTCCTCTTCCTCCTGGAAGTCACAGGTACTCTCCCCTACTTCCCTTAAACTCACTCGAATTTCTGAAGAACGTAATAACCCTCATGAGCCTAATACATCCCTTCATTCTATTAAGTCTATTCATCCTTACCCTCCTTTTTGCAACAGGGCTTTACGCAGTCACCCCCACTACTTGGACTGCGCCCCAAAAACTTGTCATCCCTACTATCTTCTGTCTAGTCATACTCCTATTCACCATTCTCAACTGCTTATAAATGCCCTGCTCTTGTTTACACTGCCAGTTTACACTGTTTCTCCAAGCCATCACAGCTGATATCTCCTGGTGCTATCCCCAAACTGCCACTCTTAACTCCCTCTTAGAGTGGATAGATGATCTTTGCTGGCAGGGCACCCTCCAATACTTTCACCCTGATAAAGTCCTATTCCTTAGTTTTATACTCTTATTCTCGTTCCCATTCTTATGCTACCCTCTACCTCTCCCCAGCTATCTCCACCATACTATCAATCTCAGTCACTCTTTCCTAGCCGTTTCTAGTCCTTTTTTAACAAACAATTGCTGGCTTTGCATTTCTCTTTCCTCCAGGATCGCCAAGGCCTCGACTTACTCACTGCTAAAAAAGGAGACTCTGTATATTTTTAAATGAAGAGTGTTGTTTTTACCTAAATCAATCTGGCCTGGTATATGACAACATAAAAAACTCAAGGATAGAGCCCAAAAACTAGCCAACCAAGCAAATAATTATGCTGAACCCCCTTGGGCACTCTCTAATTGGATGTCCTGGGTCCTCCCAATTCTTAGTCCTTTAATACCTGTTTTTCTCCTTCTCTTATTCGGACCTTGTGTCTTCCGCTTAGTTTCTCAATTCATACAAAACCGCATACAGGCCATCACCAATAATTCTATATAACAAATGCTCCTTCTAACAACCCCACAATATCACCCCTTACCCCAAAATCTTGCTTCAGTTTAATCTCTCCCACTCTAGGTTCCCATGCCGCCCCTAATCCCGCTTGAAGCAGCCCTGAGAAACATCGCCCATTATCCCCCCAAAATTTTCACCACCTCAACACTTCACCACCATTTTGTTTTGTTTTTCTTATTAATGTAAGAAGACAGGAATGTCAGGCCTCTGAGCCCAAGCTAAGCCATCATATCCCCTATGACCTGCACGTATACATCCAGATGGCCCGAAGCAACTGAAGATCCACAAAAGAAGTGAAAATAGCCTTAACTGATAACATTCCACCATTGTGATTTGTTCCTGCCCCACCCTGATAGACATATTCTCCCCCGCCCTTAAGGTACTTTGTAATATTCTCCCCTCCCCTCCCCCCACTCTTAAGAAGGTACTTTGTACACCTATCCCAAACCTGCAAGAACTAAATGATAATCCCACCACCCTTTGCTGACTCCTTTTTCGGACTCAGCCCGCCTGCATCCAGGTGAAATAAACAGCCTTGTTGCGCACGCACACACACATACACAAAAGTGCTGTTGTGGTGAAGGAGAATCATTCTGTGGGACTCCAAGGGGTAGAACTTAGTTGGAAATTACAAGATGACAACTGTGGAATCTTAAAAAAAAAAAAAAAAAATTGGCATCTCAGTTATTTCAGCAATAGAATGTGCTGCCTTGCAGAGGCAATAAGTTCCCTGACACTAGCAGTATTCAAGCAGGGACTGACTGTCTACTTGTCAGGGTACTGTAGAGGGAAATTGGAGAGCTTCATATTTCAATCCAAGTAGACTAAACTAGGAGGAAAGAATGGAAGACTTTGGGGCATTTGAGTCTAGAAGTCTTAGTTGTAGCTATGATGAGTAGCATAAGGTACCGGTATGGCTACCCATATCCCCTTAATCTCACTGTTGCTGTACATGATGATGGCTTTTTTCCCCCACTTTTTTTTTTCTTTTTAGGGACAGGGTCTTGCTCTGTTGCCCAGACCAGAGTGCCCTGGCGATTATAATTCACTGCAGTCTTGAACTCCTGGGCTCAAGCAATCCTCTGTCTGAACCTCTCAAGTAGCTGGGACTACAGGTGTGCATCACCATGCCTGGCTATTTTTTTTTTTTCTTGTAGAGACTAGTTTTTGCTATGTTGTCCGGGCTGGTCTGGAACTGTTAGCCTCAAGCTATCTTCCCACCTTGGCTCCCAGAGTGCTGGGATTACAGCCACTATGTAAGCCATTGCACCCAGCCCTGATGGCTTCTACAAGCACCTGGGGGCTTTCTCTGGCTGCAGGAGTGTGTTCAACTAGTACATGAGGCAAATTAGTAGTGGTGGGAGACTATTCCTCTCCAACCCTGAAAAAGTCTTCAACCAATTTTAGATGGGAGTTGGTGGATAAATACCCTAGCTCCCTCACTCCTTATGGGGGATGATTCTGATGTGTGTTCCCCAGAGTCTCCCAAGAGTCTTCGGTAGGAATGAGCCTCAGTTGCCCACAGCTCATTAACACACCCTATATCACCTTTCTTCCCTTTCCTGTCTCACTTCCCTGCTGCCCTATCAGTGCTCCCTAGAATCACTTTCCCAGTAAACTTCTTACATTTGAATCTTTAGCTCAGGATTTTCTACCAAGAGAATCTAAGAGCTATGCAAGACCTAAGCCTATGGACTTGCCTGAGAAAAGGGAAGTAAACTAGAGGGATGGTTGGTATTTCACATTTACAAAACCCCTACCTTGATGTTTGAAGCAAGCAAAACAGGACTTTAGACTGTCACCAAAGAAGATATTTGGAAATGGTAATAAAGAAGTTAAGAGAGAGGATGGGAAGCAGAGGGCTATAGTGCTTCAACTGAAGCAGCCTGCTTTGCACTGCTGCTGCTGGACTGCTGCTGGCAAGGTTTTTTAGCTCTCACTTTATCTTGAACTCTGCAGAGGTCAGAGTCCTAGAATAACTGATTCAGTCATTCTATGAGTCTGTCCTCCAAGGAATTTAGAGACCATTTAGTCAGCAAATATTGATGGAACACCTGTTATATGCCAGGCCCTGGACCAGGCTTTGAGGATGCAGACATGAATAAAATACAGTCCTACTGTTAGGAATTCAAGGTATAGTTAGAGAGACAGACTCACTGATAGACAGTTATAACACAGAGGTCTGGGGAACAGAGGAGGGGCACTAACTCAAGCTGGGAGTTCTTCAGATTCAAATATGGGGAAACTGAGGCCCAGAGAGGGAAAGCTGATGAGATGATATAATTCATGGGCATTGCTATAGACATTAAATATTTCTGGTGATAGTTTGATGCTTTATAATTATCTTTTGCATGAAAGGTAATGGTTCATGACCCTTCTGCCCCCACTTACTCTTGGCTTTGTGGTTACAACTGCTTTTCCTGACACTTATTGCTGGCTTGAACTTTGCCTTTTTGTAACCCCCCCGTGACTGGGATCTTGTGTTCTGAAAGAGCTCAACAGTCTCTACTATTTGTCCCCATCAGTCTGCCCAATCCTATTACCTGAAGCTTCTCCATTTTCCTCCTCTACATCTCAACTCCCTGTAAATTCCAAGATCTTAGGTTTTGACAATTTCCTAACCACCTGACTTGCCTTATGTCCAAGTTCCATTGTGCTTAGCTCTGATACTCAGAGAAATGCCTCCTGTGGCCTGCAGAACAGATGACCTAAAGCTCACAGGCTTGCAACAAAAATGATCTATATGTAAATCCCATCCCAAAACTCTCCCCCAAACTAACTGAAAGTAGTTGGAGAAGAATCTCTTTGCAGGTTGACAATGCACCTGAAGAAAACCATAGGAATTGTGTGTTTTATAAGAGCCTGCTTCCTCATGATTTTGTATGGGAATAAAGTCAGAAGGAAGGCAAGCTTTTGTCCTATAAAGTCCTTGGAAGAAATGGGCCATTTCACTAAAATACATGTACATACATCCAGAGAAGTATATTTCCTGACTCGAAAAATATCGCCTGCTTAGCCACCTCCTTGGAAGCTCCTGCTTCAGCCTTACATTTCTCTTCAACCATTGACCTTCTAGAGTCTTGACTAAACACCAGGGTTTAGGGCCCAAATATATATATATACACACACATATATATATATTTTAACCTTGAGAACCAGTTGAGTCATTCACTATTAACAACAAATTGGGCTCCTAATAATATCTGGCCTTTGTGGAGTGATTAATGTGTGCCAGACACTGTGCTGACCACTTGAAAATTATTATGTACTTTAATTTTCTCAACAACTCTTCAGGAAGGCATGTGAGCAGATTCCATAGTTTGATGTCACACAGCAAGCAACTAGCAGGACCAGGTTTTGAACCCAGGGAGTCTGACTCCAGAGCAGAGCCCAGGAACCCACTATCCTGTCTATTCTATGTGCAGATCAGTTTCAAGGTTCTGGGAAGACAAACAGGTATAAGTTGTGGTCCTCGAGTTCCAGAAAAACTTATGAAATCATGGAGAAGATGAAACAAGAATGCAAAATGAGAAATAATGCCAGAAACTATTGCTAAGTGTCTTATCAGTGGGACAGACAGAGCAGGAACTTACCAGGTAGAGGAAGAGATCAGTGAGGCAGGGGAGGTCTAAACGACTCCACGGAGAAGCATGGTATTTGGCCTTGAAAGATTGAAAGGACTTAGGTAAGCTGAGAGGAAGAAGTCAACCAAGATAAGAGGACTTTGCACACATGGGTTCAAGTCCCAGCTCTGACGTTATCTACACAATCATAGGAAAGTCACTCATTCTCCTTATTGTTCTATTTCCTTTTTGTAAAGAGAGAATCTCAGGGAAGTGGTATGGAGTAAGAGAGAAAGTACAAATTTGGAACCTGGCTTCAGAGAGGTGGGGAGGGAGGAGTTAATGATTTGGTGAGGGGGGTTTACAAAGTTCTAGTTCTTGACCTAAATAGTGGTTCCATGAGTAAAAATCAACATCCAGGCTAGGCGCGGTGGCTGACGCCTGTAATCCCAGCACTTTGGGAGGCTAAGGTGGGCAGATAACCTGAGGTCAGGAGTTCAAGACAGCCTGGCAAACATGGTGAAACCCCATCTCCACTAAAAATACAAAAATTAGCCAGGTGTGGTGGTGCGTGCCTGTAATCCCAGCTACTCGGGAGGCTGAGGCAGGAGAATCGCTTGAACCTGGGAGACAGAGGTGGCAGTGAGCTGAGATCATGCCACTGCACTCCAGCCTGGGTGACAGAGTAAGACTCTGTCTCAAAAACAAACAAACAAACAAACAAACAAGCAAACAAACAAACAAAAAAACAGGCCAGGCACGGCGGCTCATGCCTGTAATCCCAGCACTTTGGGAGGCCAAGGCAGGCAGATCACCTGAGGTCAGGAGTTCGAGACCAGCCTGGCCAACATGGCAAAACCCCGTCTCTACTAAAAATACAAAAATTAGCTGGTTGTGGTGGGGGGTGCACCTGTAATCCCAGCTACTCAGGAGGCTGAGGCAGGAGAATTGCTTGAACCTGGGAGGCGGAGGTTGCAGTGAGCTGAGATCATACCACTGCACTCCAGCCTGGGCAACAAGAGTGAGACTCCATCTCAAAACAAAAACAAAACAACAACAACAACAACAACCACCACCAAAAACCAACATCCATAAGTGATAACCCATCAAACAGTAAAAGTAAGTACTTAAGTAGCTTCTAATTTTTATTTGTCTGTTTCTTTATTTATAAATGGGGATGATACCTCACAAGAAGACTGATAGAATGAGGTGACCTGATGGGGAGTACCTAGCAGTACACAGGAAGCTTAAAAGGTATGAAACCGGCATAGTCCAAGCTCAGTAGATGACCAAAGTCCTGGGAAGACACAGCGGGAGGAAAAGAAGATCCTCCTATCCCAAAGGAATTGGAATGCATATTGAGAATTGGTGCCTTAATAGGCTTTTAAATTAGGGAAGACACTATTCATCTGAGCTAGTTGAAATTGTTTCCATATTAAAAAAAAAACAACTGATGGGATGGCTTCCTCGCCTGCTTTCTCCCCTGTCTCCCATCACTCTTTTGGGATTATTTGAACCAAAATAAACCTCTTTTTCCAATTATCTTAATAGGGCTTGGGTTAAATATACGCAGTCATTGATATAACTTTGAAGGGGTATTGAGAAGCCTGTCAGCCAGGCTCCCACAGTCTCCACAGTCTATAGGAGACACAGGGATTTCTGTCTACCTCAGAAGAAATCCAGCTGGTCAGGACAATGGACTAAGCCCCTCTGTGAATCTGAGTTCTTCATTAGGAAGCAAATAGTAGGGGGAACTAGATAGCACTTATCTTTGGCTTCAGGCTCCTTCCTCACCCAGAGCTGCTAAAGACATGGAAGGCTCTGTGGTGAGGGATTCCATGGTGGAGGGCCCCATGGTGGAGGATTCCATGGTTGGGGGTTCTATGGTAGACATTTCCATGGTGGAGTGTTCTGTAGTGAGGGGTTACATGTGGTGGGGGGAGTCTCTGATTGGAACCTTCATCATGCCACTACACCTTTCCTTTTCCCACACAAACCCCACTCCCAAGCCCCAGCCTCATTACTTCCCACTGACCACTAATACCCCACCCTTTAGCAATGCTAAACTACAGTTTCTCAAACATCCCAACTTGTTTCCCTTCCTCACATGCCAAGTGCCACTCATCTCACATACTTGGCTTCTACATTTCCTTCTTCAGGAAGCTCCTCAGGCCTTGTTCCTGGGCCTGGCTTTGGTTCTTTCAGATATAATCTCCCAACACGAAGTGCATCCTCTATTGCAACCCTTATCAGCTGTATTACAATGGTCGGTTTACTAGTTGATAGGATATTGTTTCATGTTTCTGAATAGAGACCAAAAATAATAATGAACAAAATAGAAATGTGTGTCTTCCCAGCAGGCATCACATGAGAGTGTTATGGGGCCATGACTCAGGCCCATTCACTCTTGTTGCTCTGCCTCCCTAGGGGGTTGACAACATGGTGCAATTTGGCTCCAAGCTACACCAGAATTCCAACCTGTCCTAATTCCAAAGCCAGCCATCCACAAGCTATGCTGCCTGTGTTAGTGAAGTGTAGCTCATTGCAGATTAGGGAGGAAGATGCGAAGAAAATTAGGAAAGTTCAAGGGATATTGGGAGACACTTGAGTGCCCAGTGGGGGTTGGTAGGAGATGCAATCATAAAGGTCGGTTCACTGTGCAGGACTCGAATGTCATAAATACATTTGATAATGACAGTGCCCTTGTCTTAATCCATTTGTTTTGTTTTAAAGGAACACTTGAGGCTGTTTAATTTATAAAGAAAAGAGGTTTATTTGGCACATGATTCTGTTGGCTGGAAGACTATGCACCTGGTGAAAGCCTCAGCTGCTTCCACTCATGGTGGAAGGTGAAGGGGATTCAACATGTGCAGAGACCACACAGTGAGAGAGGAAGCAAGAGAGAGGAAGGGAGGTGCCAGGCTCTTTTTAACAACCAATCTTGTGGGAACTAATATAGTGAGAGCTCACTCACTGCCCCCACTTCAGGGAGGGAATTAATGTATTTGTGAGGGAGCCAGCCCCATGACCCAACACCTCCCACTAGGCCTCACTTCCCAACACTGTAACACTGGGGATGAAATTTCAACATGAGATTTGGAGGGGTCAAATGTCCAAACAATAGCAGGTCTTGATGGTCAGACAGTGTCATCTCTCAGGCATGCACTCCAAAATCACTGCCTCTGAAGTGAGAATCAGCTCCAAGTGCCTCTGAAGACTTTTCCTAAATCTTTCTTACATCATATTGGAGAGATGTGGGTCAGATCTCTGCAAAGGGAAGTGAGTAAAGAAGCTGATTCTCAACAAATCACTTCTACAGCTGGAGTCCATGGGCCTGAGCCATCTACCTTCTGAGCTGTTTCTAAACTTGACTGATCATCAGAATCATCTTAGCACTTTAATAACAAAGAAATGAGATCCTGAGCCTATCTGTGTCCCCTTTAATATCCAGGGTTGGGCTCAGGAACCTGTATATTTTTGTAAAATTCTTCCAGTGACTCTGATGAGGAGCTGGGTGTGGGCACCTTTGCACCTAGGAGACCCATCACCACCCTGTGTTTACTGTAACTGAAGATTCACCAACCGAACTCCTTTTTTCTTTCATGGTGGAAGCATTTTTCTCTCTTTGGACCCATGGCAGGTTGATTCTTCTTAGACATTCTCTCTGAATTCTAAGTTTATTGCAAAGTCCAAAAAGTTTTGGGCCTCCTCCAAGCCTCCTCAGTGACAAATCCATTCTCTAGAATATTAAATACAGAGCTGAGTGATTCTAAACTTTGGCTAACCACAAACTCCAACCTCTATACATCTTGTAAAGAGGTTCAGAAAAATCATTAGACATCAAAACTTCAAATGCACCCCTGATAGAGACTTCTTCTTAGGTTTGACCATCCATCTCCCATGATTCCCAAACCACTAAGTCCCTGGGCCAAGATTTCTGTCATTAGGAAATCACCCAGGCAGGAACTGAGCCCTGGTAATAGTAGATTTATCTAGTGGCTTCATGAGTCATGTGCTTTATATACATCATTCCATGAAAACCACCTTGACAAGTTGGGGATATTAGCATTATGAGTCCCAATTATAGATGAAGAATCTGAAGCTCAGAGGAGTAGAAATGGGTTTCAAACCTATATCTGCACACATGCACACACATGGAAGAGAGGAAAAGGACAAGAAATCGAGGTGGAGGCTGGACACAGTGGCTTATGCCTGTAATCCTAGCATTTTGGGAGGCCGAGCGGGGGGAGGCTCACCTGAGGTCAGGAGTTCAAGACCAGCCTGGCCAACATGGAGAAACCCAGTCTCTACTAAAAATACAAAAATTAGCCACACGTGGTGTGGGCACCTGTAGTCCCAGCTACTTGGAAGGCTGAAGCAGGAGAATCTCTTGAACACGGGAGGTGGAGGTTGCACTGAACCAAGATCGTGCCACTGCACTCCATCCAGCCTGGGTGACAGGGCAAGACTCCATCTCAAAAAACAAACAAACCAAAAAAAAGAAAGACAGAGAGCATTTCCTTGTTGAGGTCTGCTTCCTATTTTCCTGATTCTCTGTGAAAGGTCCTTTCCAGAGAAAGTTCCCCCACACCTTTCACATTCTCATGCCAATAGCAGCCAATACAGAAACAGCCTTTGATGCTCCAAGGAAAACTTTAGCAAACAAAGTTGAGCTCCTTCTGCAAAAACTAGCTTCTCCTTTGCATCATTTCAGAGCCTCCATGGACCCACAAATATTATTTTCAGCTAATCACGTATGCGCCAGACAGTTATGATATACAATAAATGATTAACACATTCAGCTGATTCGAAGACAATTCACCAAATTTATTGGAAGGCACTTTTATTCAAGACACCACACAGATTCCCTTTCCCTACATTTTTTTGTTCCTTTGCTGATTCACTCTGTATTGTGGCTGAATCATTTAGCTTTTCTGTTGTTGTTGTTCCATTCCTTTGGCTTTTATAACTCAACAGAGCTGAATGGGAGAAGGCTGGGCACATGATTACTGCTGGGAAAATGGCAGTTTGACTCATGAGAGGTATGGTGAGCACACTTTGGGATCAGAAGAATTCTAAATCTGAGGCACTTGAAGAGAAAATAGCCATCACATTTGGTCTGTCTTCCTGTGGAGATTGAGTTCATCCCCCACACCCCACTCTACCCAGTGCTATTATTTGCTGATAGGAGGAGCGTTATACTGACTATGATTGGTCTGTAGCAATTAGCTCAAATTCTCCTCTGGCAGGCTGGACCCTCCAGAGCATTAATTGGTTTTAATGCAGAGTGGTTTAAAATAACTCACTCTTCCACAGGCTAATTCCTTGTTTCTCGGAGCAGATTGAATTGTTCGGAAATGAACCATTCTTCTCACTCGGCCCTTGGTTTGTAGCATCTTTCTAGAAAAGAGAGGCTAATGTGGGAATGGGGTCAGGGAGAGACTGGCTGTTGCCTGTTCTGTGACTCCAAAATGTTTTCTCTAGTCTGGACAGTATTATCCTTGTCTTTCGAAACTGATTGATGAATGCAGAATAATGTGCATTAAGAAAATCATTATATTCCCACACCACTCAGAGTACTGAATGGCTAAAAAATAATGTCAGCCAAGTGTTGTCATGTGCGTCTGTGTGAAGAGACCACCAAACAGGCTTTGTGTGAGCAACAAAGCTGCTTATTTCACCTGGGTGCAGGCAGGCTGAGTCCGAAAAAGGAGTCAGTGAAGGGAGATAGGGGTGGGGCTGTTTTATAGGATTTGGGTGGGTAGTGGAAAATTACAGTCAAAGGGGGTTTTTCTCTTATGGGCAGGGGCAGGGGTCACAAGGTGCTCAGTGGGGGAGGTTCTGAGCCAGGAGAAGGAATTTCACAAGGTTAATTGCTCAGTTGAGGTGGGGCAGGAACAAATCACAATGGTGGAATGTCATCAGTTAAGGCAGGAACCAGCCATTTTCACTTCTTTTGTGATTCTTCACTTGCTTCAGGCCATCTGGATGTATACGTGCAGGTCACAGGGGATACGGTGGCTTAGCTTGGGCTCAGAGGCCTGACATTCCTGCCTTCTTATATTAATAAGAAAAATAACATAAAATAGTATTGAAGTGTTGGGGCAGTGAAAATTATGGGGGGTGGTATGGAGAGATAATGGGCAATGTTTCTCAGGGCTGCTTCAAGTGGGATTGGGGTGGCATGGGAACCTAGAGTGGGAGAGTTTAAGCTGAAGGAAGATTTTGTGGTAAGGTTGTTAGAAGGAGCATTTGTCATATAGAATGATTGGTGATGGCCTGGATGTGGTTTTGTATGAATTGAAAAACTAAACGGAAGACACAAGGTCCAAATAAGAGAAGGAGAAAAACAGGTATTAATGGACTAAGAATTGGGAGGACCCAGGACATCCAATTAGAGAGTGCCCAAGGGGGTTCAGCATAATTACTTGCTTGGTTGGCAAGTTTTCGGGCTCTATTCTTGACAGAGACCTTTTTTTTAAGTTGGAGGCTGAGCTTAGTGAGGTATGATTTTAAAAGACCATTAGTCCGTTTTACCTTTCCTGAAGATTGAGGATGGTAAGGGGTATGAAGATTCCACTGAACACCAAGAGCCTGAGAAACTGCTTGGGTGATTTAACTAATAAAGGCCAGTCTGTTATGTATAGAGGTGGGAAGGCCAAATCGAGGAATTATGTCTGACAGAAGGGAAGAAATGACTGTGGTGGCCTTCTCAGACCCTGTGAGACCCATCCAGTGAAAGTGTCTACCTAGACCAAGAGGTATTTTAGTTTCCTGACTCAGGGCATGTGAGTAAAGTCAATTTGCCAGTCCTGGGCAGGGGCAAATCCCCGAGCTTGATGTATAGGGAAGGGAGGGGGCCTGAACAATCCCCGAGGAGTAGTAAAATAGCAGATGGAACACTGAGAAGTGATTTCCTTGAGAATAGATTTCCATGATGGAAAGGAAATGAGAGGTTCTAAGAGTTAGGCTAGCGGCTTGTAACCTACATGGAAGAGGTTATGAAATGACAACAGAATAGAATGGGCCTGTGAGGCTGGAAGGAGATATTTTCCTTGGTCTAAGAACCATTTGCCTTGTTTGGGGAGAGATTGATAGGTGGAAGTTTCAGTGGGAGAGTAGGTGGGAGTGACTGATGAGGAGGAGAAAAACTGGCCATGAGGGACAGAAGTTGGAACACTAGCTGCTTCTTTAGCTACCTTATCAGCATAAGCGTTGCCCTGAGCGATGGGATCTGATGCCTTTTGATGGCCCTCACAGTGAATAACTCCAGCTTTCTTTGGAAGCAAAGCAGCCTTGAGACGAGTTTTTATTAAAGAGGCATTAATGATGGAAGACCATTGCATAGTGAGGAAACCTGTTTCAGCCCATATAACAGCAAGGTGGTGCAGGATATGGAAGACATATTTAGAGTCAGTATAAATATTGACTGTAGTCCCTTTGCAAGAGTGAGGGCCTGAGTTAAGGCAATGAGTTCAGCTTGCTGAGAGGTAGTAGAGGGGGCAGAGCAGAAGCCTCAATGATAGATGTGGAAGATACTACTATAGCATAGCCTGCCTTAGCTGGTGAGTGGCGATTAGGCCTGGTGGAACTGCCATCAGTAAACCAAGTCAGGGTGAGGAACAGGAAAGAAGGAAATATGGGGAAATGGAGTGAATGCCAGGTGTATCAGAGAGATACAGTCATGGGGGTCATGTGTGGTATCAGGAATAATGTGGAAGGCCGGATTGAAGTCTGGGCCAGAAACAATGGTAATTGTGGGAGACTCAACAAAGAGTGAGTATAGCCAAAGGAGCTGGAGGGCAGAAAGTATATGCGTCAGGTGTGAGGAAGAAAATAGATTTTGGAAGTTATGGGAACGTAGAGAGTGAGTTGAGCATAGTTTGTGATTTTGAGGGCCTCTAAAAGTATTAAAGCTGCAGCATCTGCCACACGCAGACATGAGGGCTAGGCTAAAAAAGTAAGGTCAAGTTGTTTGGACAGAAAGGCTATAGGGTACGGTCCCGGCTCTTGGGTAAGAATTCTAACCACACAGCCCTTCTCTTCGGCTGTGTGTAATGGAAAAGGTTGGGATGAGTTAGGGAGAGCTAGTGTGGGAGCAGCCTTTAGGGCTGTTTTTAAGGAACGGAAAGAGGATTGGGGAAAGGATTTAGGATCTATGGGGTCAGCTAGGTTTATCTAGAGAAGAATAATGGGTTGTGGAGGGAGGTATTGAGGATAGGAGAGTATCCTATGGGCCACCCCATAGGCATATGTCTTGCCCCATAGGCAAGACAATTTGGTTGATAAAGCGCAGATCCTGAACTAACCTGTAAGACTTGTCTGGTTTTTGGACAGGTAAAATGGGGGAATTGTAAGGAGAGATTATAGGCTTTAAAAGGCCATGCTGTAACCGGCGAGTGATAACAGGCTTTAATCCTTTTAAAGCATGCTGTAGGATGGGATATTGGCATTGAGCGAGGGAAGGGTGATTAGGTTTTAATGGGATGGTAAGGGGTGC
Source organism: Homo sapiens (assembly GCF_000001405.40). Lineage (NCBI taxonomy): Eukaryota > Metazoa > Chordata > Mammalia > Primates > Hominidae > Homo > Homo sapiens. The sequence continues at coordinate 39,134,401 of NC_000006.12, forward strand.
ATCATCTGTCACCAAGGAGGGAGTAGAGGTGTCCTATACTTGTCAATTAAGGTGGGGAGATACAAGGAGAGGATGTGAAGGAGGCTTTGAACTGGGGGAAAAGGTGGCAATGAGATGTGGCTGTAGCTTAGGAATAGTCAGGGAAGCAGATAATTTAGTTAAAATGTCTCCACCTAATAAGGGAGCTGGGCAGGTGGGGATAACTAAAAAAGAGTGCATGAAAGAATGCTGTCCAAATTGGCACCAGAGTTGGGGAGTTTTAAGAGGTTTAGAAGCCTGGCCGTCAATACCCACAACAGTTATAGAGGCAAGGGAAACACACACTTGAAAAGAAGATAATGTGGAGTGGATAGCCTCCGTATTGATTAAGAAGGGGATGAACTTACCCTCCACTGTAAGAGTTACCCAAAGTGTCTGTGATGGTCCTGTAGGCTCCTGAGGCAATCCGGCAGTGTCAGTCTTCAGCCACTAAGCCGAGATCAGATAAAGAAAAAGGAGCTTTAATCTTGGCTATGCCTTCAGCTCCAGCCACCTCTTTAAGAGGAAATTGTTGGGCAGGTGGGGGAGGGCTAGTTGAAGAAAGAAATTATAAGCTGGATGGGGTGTGAGGAGGGGGTGATAAAAGGATTACAGGGTCAGGGAGTGGAGGCTGAGGAAGAATTGGGACCTGGCTTGGCCTGGCGAGGAGCAGCCTGGGGAGGAGGGGAGAGGTCAGATGAGTCTGTAGGAAAGGAGGATTCAAAGGACTCAGAGCTTGGGGTGGAGACTGAAAGAACAGACAGGAGAGAAAGAAGAAAGATTTGGGACGAGTCTCACTGAGAGCAGAGACTACGGAGGGACCGATGTGTAAAAGAATGCCTGGACGTCAGGCACCTCAGACCCTTTGCCCATTTTTCGACAAAAATTATCTAGATCTTGTAGGAAAGACAAATTGAAAGTGCCATTCTCTGGCCACTTGGAACTACTGTCGAGTTTGTATTGGGGCCAAGCGGTATTGCAGAAGAAAATAAGGCATTTAAGTTTTAGGTCAGGTGTGGGTTGAAGAGGTTTTAAGTTCTTGAGAACACAGGCTAAGGGAGAAGAAGAGGGAATGGAGGGCCGAAGTTTGCCCATAGTGAAGGAGGTAAGTTTAAAGAGAAAGCTAGAGACAATGGAGAAGGGGGTGGTAAGCAGCCCTGGGCTGCAATGTGGGTGAGCAGCCAAAGCAGGCATCCCTGCAACTGACTTGCCACCAAGGGAATGTGGGTGAATGACCAAGGCAGGCATCCCCGCGGTGATCAGACACCAATGGAGTGTGGGTGAATAATCAGGCAGGTGTCCCTGCAGTGATTAAACACCAAGGGAAGAATGTCTTCCCAAGTCTGTAACTGGCACTGGAGTTTTGGGTCCACGGATAAAATGAGTCTCCTTTGTCTCTACTAGAAAGGAAAATAAGTGGAATTGGAAGGACAGGGAGATTGAAGGATAGCAAGAGAGGGAGATTGAAGGGTAGCGAGAGGCTGGAGAAGAGAGTGAAAAGACCACTTACCTGATTTGAAATTGGCGAGATGTTCCTCGGGCTGGTTGATCTGAGGACCCAAGGTCATAGGTGGATCTCCTCATGGAGTGAGGGCGATGACAGGGGACCGATCTCCTGAAGCAGTCCTCCTGTCCCGGGTCTTCGGCACCAAATGTTATGCGCGTCCGTGTGGAGAGACCACCAAACAGGCTTTGTGTGAGCAACAAAGCTGCTTATTTCACCTGGGTGCAGGTGGGCTGAGTCCGAAAAGAGAGTCAGCGAAGGGAGATGGGGTGGGGCCGTTTTATAGGATTTGGGTGGGTAGTGGAAAATTACAGTCAAAGGGGGTTTTTCTCTTACGGGCAGGGGCGGGGGTCACAAGGTGCTCAGTGGGGGTCACAAGGTGCTCAGTGGCTCTGAGCCAGGAGAAGGAATTTCACAAGGTTAATGGCTCAGTTAAGGTGGGGCAGGAACAAATCACAATGGTGGAATGTCATCACGTAAGGCAAGGAACCAGCCTTTTCACATCTTTTGTGATTCTTCACTTGCTTCAGGCCGTCTGGACGTCTAGGTGCAGGTCACAGGGGATACGATGGGTTAGCTTGGGCTCAGAGGCCTGACAAGTGTAACTATGTGGAAAGGGTGCCATGTATAAGTACTTGCGCTGGCTCCACAACCACCTAAATCAGTTTTACTCATCTGTAAAATGAACCAGTTAGACTTACTGCTTTCTAAAGACTTAAGCTGACTGAAGAAGAGTTTGTTTAAATCCATTTTATTGTTCTAAAACAGTGTTTCCCATCCTCAGCATGAATAACATTTTGGGCCAGATAATTCCTTGTTTGGGGACTGTAAAGTATATTGTCAGATATTTACAAGGGCCCATGGTCTCTACCTATTATATTCCAGGAGCATTTACCCGCTGACTTGTAACGGCAAAGACTATTTTCAGATATCAACAAATTTTTCTCAGGGAGCAAAACTGCCACTGGTTGAGAGCCACCTTCAATAGCTTCTCATTGCCTACAAAAATGCACTCATTTGCTGATTTTTAAATATTATTTATTGAGTACTTACTGGGACAAAATATAGCTAAGACTCAGTCCCTGCTTCAAGGAATTCATATTCTAAGGAGGAGGACAGACGTAATTATAATCTAATATGGCACATATAATGAGTAAGAGAGATGCAGAGGAAAAAGGGAGAAAATCATTGAGGGTGAAGATAGAGGGAGCTCAGAAATCTTTTTGGAGAAACTAGTGACGAAATGGAACATTGAAAGATCAGCAGAAATTAGCCAGGGATTCCCAGCTGAGGGGCTAGCATGAGAAAAAGCAGAGTGGTGAGAAAAACTACCCACAGCCACAGTGCTCTTTGAACCGGGGACTGGTAAGGATGAATCCCTTCAGGGACAAAGAGACCACCTCCACCCCCCAAAACTTAGCCGTGTATTATCTCTTTTAACATCCCATTCTGGGAAAGCAGTTCAGAACCCTAAAGGGTTCCCAGCCAGTGTTACTGCTGAGTCCATAATGGAGCAATACTGTCATGGAGCTCTCCAGGGTGCTGAACTATGTCCATCTGAATCCCTTTTACTCAGTAGCTTTCTACCTGGGCACCTGCCTAGGACCCTGCTCTTCCTACTTATGCTTGCTGCTCTTGGTTGATGTCATATAGTAGAAAGAGCATAGGTTTACCAATCTAAATGAACCTAACTAGGGGAGAATCAAATAAATGATCAATTATTTTTATAAATTATAAATTGTGGTGGATTCCTATGAAAGAATATTACACAATGTTTTGGTGGCCTTATAGTTGTTTTTTAAAAGTTTATTTGAAAATTTATATATTTCCTGTGATACCTATACTAAGTATACATTTCTTGGAAAAAATACTATTTAAAATAATAATAAAGAGCTTTGGAATCAAATAGACTGGGATGAGAATTCTTATTCTGCCACTTAATAGTTGTCTGACCTTGGGTCAGTTAATTTAATCTCTCTGGCCATTGTTTACTCAACTGCAAAATGACTAGAAAAGAGACAGACCTTCAATAATTCCCCAATGCCTACCATGCAGTCCACAGTGGATATTGACCAGCTCAAGTACATGCATCTACTTCTATGTTGCTAAGTAAGGGAGACACTCAGCAAATTCTTGTTTGTTATTACTTACCTCACCATTTGGATGTCCAATTTTCTACTACAGCAAAGGCAATTCTGATGTATAATGAGGTGGAAACAAGCCTTTTAGGCACAGACTGACAGTGCCCTTCCCACCTCCCATTCTTGGGCCCTTCATTAGAAACAGTGCTCTGGAAAAGAACTGACTCTGAATTATAATGCCCATGCCATTTCCACACTTGGCTCCCAGTAAATTAGCATCTAGACCCTTACCCTCATGGCAAGATACTGTAAGACCATTCCTTGGGTAACTAACCATCTGGAGAATAAATACCTAAAGATATTGGGTGTTCTCCAAACAAACAGCGCAGCCAGATAACCCTACTTTGAAGCTAAGTTGACAGGCCTCGCCCACTTGCTGAGAATTTCCTATTAGTTTTTTTTTTTTTTAGCTGTCTATTCGTTATCATGAGCATACAGTCAAGTTTTACATATAAGGAAAAGCTCTAATATGGAAGAAAAAACAATTTGGCAGAAACAAAAACTATGCAGGAAAATTTTATTTCCCAAATAAATTTTATAATCAATATTCATTGAGAAGTAAAAGAAATTCCATGAAACAAGAACAGTATGCTATAAAAAAGGAATACTTAAGGAGATTACAAAGCTCTTAAAAATTAAAAAAAGATAAGGAAAATGAAAAACCCTGAGAAGGAAGAAATATTGAAGAAATATCACCTCATTTCCATCTCCCTCCTCATAAAGAGCAAAAATATACAGAAAGAAACTAAAAGGAAACAGATGAAACTGAATAGAAGACCAGTCACGAAGTTTCAATACTGCAATAATAGAAATTCTAAAAAGAGAGAACAGAGAAAATGGGGAAGGGAAGACCCACTCATGACCTTGTCTACCTATTCCTCCAGGAGAGGCTCTTGTAAACCCTTGGGGAAGATGAAACCAGATTACCCAGACACTCTGTTCAGCTTATCTCTCTCCTGGGCACCTTTATAAAATAGGCAACACTACCCTTTAATTCTCAGCTAGATTTGTGCTTCTACTTAATATACATTGTTATGAGATATATACCTAGGTGGTAAAACTATAACGAAAATCAGGATGGGGCCAAGTGTGGTGGTTAATGCCTTTAAGCTGAGGTGGGAGGATTACTTGAGCAGCCCAGGAGTTTGAGACCAGCCTGGGCAATATACTTTATAGAGACCTGATCTCTATAAAATTTTTTTTTAAAGTTATCTGGGTGTAGCGCTGTGCAACTGTAGTCCCAGCTACTTGGGAGCCTGAGGTGAGAGGATCGATTGAGCCTGGGAGGTTGAGGCTACAGTGAGCTGCGGTCATGCCACTGCCCTCTGGGCTGGGCAACGGAGTGAGACCTTGTGTCAACAACAAGAAAAAATAATCAAGATAAACATGAGCACAAAAATCAAGACAGTGTTTACCTCTGGGGAGGAAGCTGGAGGTTTTATTTAGAAAGGGGCATTTGGAGGACTTCTAAGGTTAGTGTTCTAAGGTTAGTGTTCACTTTCTTAACTTTTGTAGTAAATACATAGGTATTAAATGTACTATATTTTAAACTCTACATATATCTCAAATACTCTTTTATACATACGATACACTTCACAATAAAAACTTCCATACCAAGAAGACACCAAAACAAACCTACCTTGTGAAGTAATAAGATTATATGTTCCCATGTACTGTGTAGTCTTTGAACAGAGGGAAATAGGAAAGGGGGTGCAAGAGCTCTCCCTCTTCTAGAGGCCTAATCAGGGGTGGCAGTAATCACAATAAAATACCCGACCAGCAGCACAATGCTGATTTTCAGACCTGTTTAATAGATACATTTTACAGTGGTTAGAATCCTATTGTAATAGCCTGGAGTCCATGAAAAACAGCTCTGCTGAGACCGGCAGTTAAAAACCATCCCCTAAGCTGTTAGTGAGAGGGTAGGTGGCTGTGTATTCTTTCTTTGCCCACTCTGATCCATTCTCTGCCCTTTCCACCTTGCTCTCTGCCCCAGGGGCTGACTTCTATGCACATCACCCACGGTCCTCTGTTCCTTGACTATCTGGGTTTTGCCAGTGGGAGGCACTGGCAGGAAATCAGAGGGGAGAAGGAAAGAGAAGTGAAGGGTATTTCCTCCCCTCTGCCTCATCATCCCTTGTTGTTTCTCTTAACCCCATACAGCCCGCCAAAAATAGTCCCTTATTACATTATTTTCAGTTAAATCCTTTTCATTATGTCTTTCGTATCTTGCCAGGACCCTGGCTGCTACATTATTTTAGTAGTTATATGTCCCTGCCCAGTGATCCTTTTTTATGTTAATGTGGATTTTGAGGTCCAAACTAGTCTTTAGAATTCCAAATAAGTACCTCTACTGGGGTGGCATTGCAGGCAGTATTCCAGAGACGTTCCCATGTGTGCTCTCAAATCAGACTGTGCAGTTGTGTTGTCTCCACAAGCAGCCTTGTCCAAGGGAAGATATGCATCTAAAAGCATCTCCCTCCAATGGGTGTCTGCAGCGCTAGCTTTTTCTGGAAAGGGTACACATTGGTTTAATACTTGATGAATTATACTGCTAGCTAAGGATGGAAAGGTCTGGGAGGATTTGCCTCTGGCTTGTGGAATTTGAATTCTGTCCCTGTCTCCACCCAGGCACTGGCAGGGATGCACAGTTCTCACCAGCATCCTTGCTGGTTTCTTTAAGAGATGACCTTTTCGTTTCCTATCATGGAATGAGTCGTCACTCATTCCACTCTTAGCATCTCTCATCATCTTCCTGTGGCCCTTCCCTTCTGAAGATCAAAGCTCATCTCAGGAGAAACTCCAGAGGGAAAAATAGCCAACAGAACCTCAGGCCCAGGCAGGAAAAGCAAGTAAACAAGTGATTGACGCACTTTGTACACAGGCTCTGAGGGAGGGGGGTGAGTGTGAGGAGGGGAAGTTGAGGAAGCTGTCCAGGATGGGGGCGGAGTCCCGGAGGGCTTGGGTAACAGCTCATTGTTCCTCAGGGCTCCTAGGGAATAAGGTAGGGCTCCAGCAAAACAAATGTGCCAGGAGGACAGGCTATTTGTGTTGATAAACACAAAAAGAGGGAAGTGACTAGATGGAGGGAGGGTGCGTTTGAATGGAATGTGCCTGATTCTGGGAATCTGTACACTTGGCTCCTAGGGGACATGGGAGGAAGAGGGAGAAGGCACTGGGACAAAAGGAGACAGCATTGAGTACCGTTAAACATGCAGGACTGAGAGGTGGGCAGAGCTGGGTTCAAATCCTGGGCCCTCGCTTTCCTAGCTATGTAACTTGGACCTATTGTTTGATTTCTCCGGGCCTCGGTTTCATTATGTGTGAAATGGGAATGGTTCTTTCTCACCCTTAGGTTTCCTTGAAGACTTAGTAAGACAATGTACTTTAGGTGTCTGACACATGGAAATTTCCCCCCAAAAAAGTTTATTGTTGTTAGAAAGATGTTGTATCAGCGAGGGAGGAAGCGGTGTGCTGTGGGGAGGCAGCACTGCATTGTCAAGTTCCTGGGTTGAGTGAAGGCTCTGCCCCTAGCCATTGTGGGCGCCTGAGCAGGTACTCATCTCATCTCAGCTCATCTCCGGAGCTGAGGGTGCCTCCCGGGAATGACGGTGCTGAACAAGCGGATCTCCAGGGTTCATTCTAGTGCCTAAAGCCTGGGTTCTAAAGAACTATAACCAAAGCATGACTAGGAAATTCTCTGATTTAAAACAAAAATAATGCAGACACAGCCAAGTGAGGTTTGTGCCCATTAGAGAAGTCTCTTTGGAAATTTTACTCTTATGATAGTGGTGCTGCCGTTTCTCCAAACATATTCAGAATGGTTTAGAATTATCTGCAGAGCCAGTTCTGGGACCACATAAGACAATCATCTCATCGCTTTAGAGGAAACAAATGTCTTCTTTCTTTTTGTTTATTTTTATTTTTTATTTTTATCCAAAAAAAGGCTCTCATTCCCTTAAGGCAAGTTAGATTCCAGTTTCAGTTTTGTGAACTACTGGAGGATTGTAACTTCATCTCTTTTATCCTTAATTTCTACCTATAGAAATTGGGAATAATAATATCCACCTCAGAGCGTGGACACAGATAAGACAAGGACGCAGAAAGCAGTACCAAGCAAGATGCTGGGCTCAGGGTAGGTGGTAAAACACATGCATATGGGCCAGGCGTGGTTGCTTACGCCTGTAATCCCAGCACTGTGGGAGGCCGAGGCAGGCAGATCACGAGGTCAAGAGATGGAGACCATCCTGGCCAAAATGGTGAAACCCCGTCTCTACTAAAAATACAAAAATTAACTGGGCATGGTGGCGCACATGTAGTCCCAGCTACTCACGAGGCTGAGGCAGGAGAATTGCATGAACCCAGGAGGTAGAGGTTACAGCGAGCTGAGATCACGCCACTGCACTCCAGCCTGGTGACGGAATGAGATTCTGTCTCAAAAAAAAAAAAAAAAAAAAAAAAAGGCGTATGTGCATACGCGCAGACAGACAGACAGACAGACAGACCTTTATCCTTTCATTCCTTCCACATCCCAATTACCTATTTTACCACTTTATCTGCAGAATAAATTCACAGCCCACTAAACTATCAGGCTCCAAATAATTTTCATTCATTTTGAAAAATCAAATATACTTTCAGAGGAAAAGATTTGCCACCATGAAGGATATTCAAAGGGATGTGCCCAGACTCTAAAGATATCTATTTACACCATTTATATGTGTGTGTGTGTTTGTGTACAGTTGGTATTTAGTAAAATCCTTAGCCCCTCTGAATCCCGCAGACAGATCCACAGCCGGTGCTGTGATGCTGAGCCAAGATTCAGGATGATGGACAGGGGCAGGGAAAGATTGAGGACCAGGATTCACTTTGGAGCCAGCCAGACCTGGCCCCCAGGCTCAGGGAAACCCACTTTGGCTGGGTGACCTCCATCAGTCACATCATCCTTTGAAGTCTCAGTTTATTCATCAGGAAAATGAGGACAATAACATAAGTCTCATAAAGTTTGAGGATCGTTAAGTGTTAACTTCATAAACAAGCAAAGAAGAGGCACCAGTGGCTGGGAACGTTAATTCTAATTAAGGCATAAGGCATCAACATGCTTGCATGATATCTCGTGTAGCAGGAAAAGATGGAGTCAGAGGAAAAGGCAGATATGCAGGCTTAACTCTGTCCCAGCACACCTTCTAGAAAGAAAACAGCTGTCTCCTGTAATGTCCAGCTCCCCTGCCCTTCCTAGGTGGAAGGGTGGTGTTTTGTTCTCTCCCGAGGAAACCATTTCTCAGTCTCTCACCTGGTGTAGTCCATTGGGCCCTGAAGCTACCAGGCCAGTTTCAGTCAGTGTTTATGAAATGCCTTTGCCGGAGGCTACCTGATTGGCTTATCAGCCCTGGCCCTGGTAGCATTTCCGTACAATGAGCAGTGACATTTACAGCTTCAAGAAGTGCAAGGGAAACATTTTTCTTGCAGACTCCTCTTTCTCTCTCTAATGAAGCGGTCATTATAATCTTTCAGAGATGGTGCTCAAAAATGTACCCTAGCTTCCCACAGGAGAAACACTGTAAATGTCAGACACCCGATCACACTGTCTGTCTGGAGTGCATAAAACCAGCTGCTTGAACGCTGGAAAACAAAAGTCATGTTTCTTCCTGTTCTGCAGCCAAGCCTGGCTTCCGCGCATGTGACCTGTGCGGTCGCGCGGAGTCCTTCACTCAGAAGCCTCTGTTCTTGGTTTAATAATCTGCATCTAAAACTGGCACTGTACCATATAAAAATGAATCATAAACTTTAGGCTAAGAATTTACGCTTCTTTGTTTTTCTTTACATAGTTACTTAATGTATTAGTCTGTTTTCCCACTGCTGATAAAGACATATCCAAGACGGGGTAGTTTATAAAGAAAAAGAGGATGAATGGACTCCCAGTTCCACGTGGCTAGGCCTCACAATCATGGTGGAAGTCAAAAGGCACGTTTTACATGGCAGCAGGCGAGAGAAGAGAATGAGAGAGCCAAGTGAAAGGGGAAACCTCTTATGAAACCATCAGATCTCGTGAGACGCATTCATTACCACAAGAAGAGTATGGGGGAACCTCCTCCATGATTCAGTTACCTCCCACCCACCCTGCCAACAACATGTGGGAATTATGGGGGCTACAATTCAAGATGAGATTTGGGTGGAGAGACAGTCAAACCATATCACTTAGTCTTTACTTAAAATGGGGTCTCACTAAGTTACCCAGACTGCTCTTGAATGCCTGGGCTCAAGCAGTCCTTCTTCCTCAGCCTCCCGAGTATCTGGGACTACAGGTGTGGACCACCATGCCTGGCTCCCTCTTTGTACTTTAAATAGCAAATAAAAAGCACCACAAGTTGAGGGATTGCAGAAGAAAGGAGAAAGCTCTTTGTTTTTGTATATGTAACAGCACTTTTGTTCTGCTTTTTGAATGAGGAGCGCTGCATTTTCATTTTGCACTGGGCCCCACAAATTATGTAGCCAGCCCTGTCTGAAGCAGTGTAGAAATAACAGCTGTCTTTATCAGAAGGATAGGAAATAAAAATAAACACAAATTATGAGCACTCTGGCATAACTCACCTAATGATAACCCCTCTCATTGAGACCTCCCTTCTCAGTGTGTGGGCTACTCACTGTCCATGTTTATTCTTAACTGCACTGAAAACTACCCACTGCTGGACACATGTTTCTCTCCATTTCAGTTGCTTGATATTTGATATTCTGAGATTGAATGTAGAATACTGTTTCAGGAAATTACAATTTCATAAACCCTGTGTGAAAAGAAAAGACTCTTCTTTGTCCCTGGACATCTCTCAAAGGCCCTGTCTCTCCATCAGTCTCTCTGCCTCCTGGCTCCTTCTCTTCCACCACTGCCAGTTTTCTCACCCACTTCACATTTCCTGGAGATGTTGGACTGGAGTCACTAGTGGCCCAGAATTCAGACAGGCAACCATGCTCTCCTCTACAATGATAGTGCAGGACAGTAGACAGAAGCAAACATATCTCAGTCACATACTCACCCCCACTTAGGTCAAGCCACACTGATGAACCACAGTTTGGCCTGAGTTCAGCTAAGTGGGATTTCCCAAAATGTGCTTTGAGGGATACTAAGCCCTGAAGATGCCCTATGAGAAATGTGTTCAGCGCTCAAAGGTATTCAAGAAGAACTGCATAATTGCTCCTCTTTTTGAAGACTCACAAAGCACGGTAGCATCATTAAAGGCTCTGAGAAGTTCTGCAGCAGAAAACAAGCACACAAAACATCCAACCTGTTTCACTTTGATTAACCCAGAATTTCCAAAACTTGTTATTTTCCAAACTGGTTTTTATCTGCTTCTTTGGTGTAACACCTTTGAACATGCCCAGAATCAACAGCGTGTTCCAAGCCAGGCTCTGCACTCACACTCTCTAGATTCACCTCATGGATCCCGGGGGATCCATGCTTGTGCCAGGATCCCGGAGGAAGTCTCTTAATCTCTCCAAACCTCAGTTTTGTCGTTAGTAAAATGGTATTAATAATCCTAGTTTATAGGGTTGTTGTGAGGATTAAATAAGATCACATGTGAAACATCCGCAGCAGGCACTTGATGAGGTTGTTATTAAAACGCTAAGGATGTGTTTCCCTCCCTGCCTGCAGCAGTCATATCCTGTCCGTCTTCATGTTTCCTGGTCCATCTGTCTCTGTTTTCTTAACCTTCAACTTTGGGCTCAACTTTGGGTTCATTATGAAGTCAGCACCCACCAGCCCAATAACCTTGTGTCTGTGGTTCTCATCTACCAGTGCTGGGGGCAGTTTTATAAATCACTTTTTCTTATCCCCATCCTGAAACTGGACTACAGTGGGGAGTGGATCAGAGGAGGTCAAGAAGCTACTTTTTGCTAGCCTATGATGAAAAGTTTATGGTTTGTGTCCTAATTTGAGAAACGTGGGGTTTTTAAAATGAGACATTCCTTTAAAGGCACCCAAGTGTTTACAGCTATAAATATCGCAATGCAATAAAATCTGGCTGGGCCCTCTGGCTGGTGAGAGACAGACACCCAGCCCCGAGCTCAACAACATCCAGAGGCAGGACATCATATTCATGGAAGATTCTGGTTAGTGGGACTCTGTTCTATGATAAGATTTTAAATCAATGCAAGAGCACCAATGCAGTTAATGCAATGTTCTGTGCCAGGCTGGCTATTGCTGATTCTTTCTCTGCTTCTTAGGTCATCACGACAGCTCTAATCACAGGGCCTTGTCTCTCTCTGATGGGCCTGATAAGGAGGATCCAGGGAACCTTCCTGAACCTACTGGGTAAATGCAGAGAGGAGAGCATCATGAAGCCACTTTTTAGTGAGGTCTTTTGTAGAAGTAGGAGTCAGGGCACAAAGCAGAAACCACTCTGTCAAGCCCCAGTCAGACTTAATCCAAGCAATCAGATGTCAGGGGCCACCCCGAGGCTAATGGTTCAAGATCACATTTCCACAGCTGCAGGTCAGAGGTCAGGAACTGCTGTTGCTGCCCCTGCTGCTGTCACCATGGTTGTTGTGAGCCCATGAAGCTGGTGACCAACAACTGGAACTTGGTGTCTGGCTACTGCAACCACATCTGCCCCTTCTTGTTAACTTCTTCCTTCTAAAATTGCCTGAATGTATCTCAGCCTAAATCTCTCTAGCTCCAAGGGAGTCTAAAAAAGTAATTTAGAACCTTCCAGCCCTTGTAAGACAGGGGATGGGGGTACATGGAAGGGCATGGGCTGGATTCCAGAAGACTGTCTTAGGCATCTCTTCTAGACAAAACAAGAGTAGCTTGAATTTATTGCCTTCAATTTGCCAGATGCTGTGTTAGATGGTTTACATATTTATCCAATTTGATTTTCACCGCAGCCCTCTGAGGAAGGTATAATAATAACCCACTCTTACAGATGAGAAAACTGAGGTTCAGTGACACTGAATAAATGACTCAAAGCCTGTGATGGTGAATTTTGTGTGTCAACTAGGTGATAGTGGCCAGTCATTTGGTCAGACACCAGTCTAGATGTTGCTATGAAGGTATTTTTTAGATATGATTAACATTTAAATCAATAGATTTTGAGTAAAGCTGATTACTCTCCATAGTGAGTGGGCCTAATCCAATCACATGAAAACTTTTGAAGACATCCCCTGAGTGAAAAGGAATTCAATCTCCAGACCGCCTTCGAACTCAAGATTGCAGCATAAACTGCTGGGACCTGTTGGCCTATCCAGCAGATTTTTGTTTTTGTTTTTGTTTAGAGATGGGGTCTTGCCATGTTGCCCAGGCTGGTCTCGAACTCTTGGGCTCAGGCAATTCTCCTGCCTCAGCCTCTCAAAGTGCTGGGATTACGAGTGTGAACCACTGGCCTCGCCCAGCAGGTTTTGAACTTACCAGCCCCCAAAATTATGTGGGCCAATTCCTTAAAAGAGTGCACTCTCTCCCTCTCTCTCTCTGTCTCATATATATGTATATCTCCTGTTGGTTCTGTTTCTCTGGAGAGTCCTAATATGAAGTCCAACAAGAAGTAGTAAATGGTATAGGTGAATTTCAAATTCAGGCTTGTCCAACTCAAAAGCCCATACTCCTAGAAGAGAGACTTCAGACAGTCTCATCTTCCTAGACTTTCAACAGCTCTTTCAGTGCTTGGGGAGCTCCACACTCAGTGCAGGAAAGGTGGACCATGTATTTGGGGACATCCCAGGTGAAAAGAAAGCAATGGTCCACCTAACTATTGTAAACCCAGGTTACGAGGGGATTGCTGAATTTGTTCAAAAGTCATTCTTCAAACATTAATTGAGCACCTCTGAGGGGTCAGAGACTGTGTCAGGCTTAATACAGATGTAAAAAATACATTCAGAGCAACAATAGCAATTGTATTGCTCCTGACTTCCAGTTTGCAGATGATGGCCTCAAGTTAATATTTTCTTGGAAATCACCTAAAAGCAACAAAGATGTTTCCTGGAAACTCAGGAAACCTAAAAGCAACAAGCAGAACAAGAAACAGAAATTCAAATTCTATCTTTATAAAACTGTAAGAAAGCTGAAGCCCTAAATAGGAGGAAGAATGTCAAAAGATGTAGAAACAGAGGAAGAGCCAGGGAGGGAAGAGAAGAGAGAGTGCAGAGGTTGCAGATCTCAGGGAGCTGGCAAAGCGCACCTATCCCAGGTGTTATGGCACACCTGAAGTTCTTTTGTTGTTGTTTGTTTGTTTGTTTGTTTTTTGAGATGGAGTCTTACTGTGTTGCCCAGGCTGGAGTGCAGTGGCATGATCTCGACTCACTGCAACCTCTGCCTCCCAGGTTGAAGCAATTCTCCTGCCTCAGCCTCTGACTAGCTGGGGTCACAGCCATGCGCCATCACTCCCAGCTAATTTTTGTATTTTTAGTAGAGACGGGGTTTTGCCATGTTGGCCAAGCTGATCTCAAACTCCTGACCTCACGTGATCTGCCTGCCTCAGCCTCCCAAAATGCTGCGATTACAGGTGTGAGCCACCACGCCTGCCTACACCTGAAGTTTTAAAACACAAATCTTTTGTTTATAAGAGTGAGAATTGGGTGCTCAGACAGGAATTGGAGGTTCCCTGCATCCAGTTTGGTCCTGGGGAAGAAAGAAGGGGTGGCATGAAGAATGACACAGGCAAGCCAGGTCTGCAGGAAATAATCAGTGTAGGAGGGGGAGCAAAGAAGCTTTCTTTAGTACCAGGCCATTGGCTGTCTGTATGAATGATGTGAAGAGAAGTAAAGACTCCTACTGACATCCCTGGGTTATAAGGAAAGTTCCTGCTGGCTTGGAACCTGACTTCCTGCATGAACACCTGCAAGTATTTAATCAAGGAAAAACACTCTTCATTTAAAGTTTATTCATCAAAAGTCTATAAAGGTGATTTCTGCTTCTAAACAAGATGGACTAACAGGGACTGGATTTACCCTCTGCCTGAAAAAACAAAATTAACTAAAAAAGCAAATAAAATAATTAGAAGCAATGATGTTTAAAATATTGGATATCATACAGTGACATTCAGTGATCTCTGAGAGATGGGAAATAAACAACATGAGCCCTACAATTGCTCCAGGTTACTGCTCAGAGAGAGTTTTTAAGTCATGGCCCAGAGAGGGGAAAACCTGGATATAGCATGGTGGTCTCTTAGTTCAGCTGGAAGACCTGAAAGGCTAAGAGGGTTAGAGTTTTCAGAAAATAATAACAGAGAGAAGAGAGCTTCTCTGTCTCTGTCTGTCTCTCTGTCTGTCTCTCCCTGTCTCTGTCTCTCTGTTTCTCTCTCTCTCTCTCACACACACACACACACACACACACACACACAGAGAGAGAGAGAGAGAGAGAGAGAGTGAGAGACAGAGAGAGAGTGCTCCCTCCAGAGATCTATAGAGGGCTGGCTTGAGTCTTCTGCTATGTACTGATCAGTGAATGCACGTGAGGCAATTACCTGAGGCCAGGTGGAACAAGAACTATCTGAAGGATTAGAGGAAAAGTTCTCACCTAAGATCAGGTACAAGGCAAGGAGGTCTGCTCTCACCACTTCTACTGATACATGCAACAACATGGATGAATCTCATAAAAAATTATACTGGGTAAAAAAGCCAGACCAAACAGACAGTATGTATTGTATGGTGCCATTTGTAGAAAATTTTAGAAAAATGCCAACTAAAGTGAAAGAAAACAAACCAGTGATGTATGGGAATGGAAAAAAGGGTAGGAAGGGATACAGGGAGACATTATAAAGGGTACATGGAAACTTTTTGGGGTGATGAATATGCTCACAATTTGATTGGGGCAATGGTTTCATGGGTACATGCATATGTTGAAACTGATCTATCAAACTGTACACGTAAACATGTGCAGTTTTTGTATGTAATTACACCTCAATGAAAAATACACAAGAAACAATGAAGAGCAGGACAAGAAAAGCCAATGAAACACAATAAACCAATAAGTGGTGGCTCTGAAGAAAAAAACAGAAATCATGTAACAGAACAAATATTTAAGGATACAATTTATCAAAATGTTTCAGAAACCAAGGAGAACATTAATCTAGCTATTGAAAAGGAACAACAGATTCCAGAAGAAATGAACAAAAGTCCTCATCACTGAGACATATCCTAGCAAAATTACTGTACTTCAGAGATAAAGAGTCTTTGGGTCAGCCAGGCAAAAAGGCTAAGAGAAGTGATTTGTTAACTTTAGGCTTCTCCAAATTAGCATGCAACCCCAGAAGACAGTGGAACTAATCCTAAAAGCTCCCCAAAGAAAGCAAGTGTGATCTAAAATTTTTACACCTGGCTTTTTATTTTTTAAAAATGTAAAATCAAACATTTTTGTGTATGCAAGAAATTAGGAAAGATTGTTCTTATAAACCCTTCCTGGAGAAACTATTAGAGGACCAACTTCAACACTAATGATGCTCAAAACAGAAGATAATAACGAATTACACAAGGAACATTGCCCAGTAAAGAAATTGACTGTCCATTGTCAGAATGGAAATGCCTGAAGAGGATTTAAATGTTTTGAAAGAGTCTGGTAACTTAATGGTACAGGAGCTAGGAAACACCAGTGTTTCAGAATACAGCCAAGAAATAAATGCAGAAAAGCAACCACGTCTGACAGCAGTGGAGATTAAGAATTTCTAAATTGATATACCACGATACTGCTGTCCAGTCTGCCTGAGAAGGTAAGGTCGGGCTAGATTTTTATAAGATGCCCTGGGAATATGGAATGTTTACCCTTCTTGGGAGTGGGACACTTGCCATTTTCTTCAGGGGAAGACTTTTTCTATAATGAGTGGAAATGTCAAGTGATTGAACAATGGATTGCACAGAAATTTAAAA